>NC_000001.11:116220501-116523531 GCF_000001405.40 Homo sapiens | reverse complement strand
GTTTCTGGCCAGGGTCTTCTCAAATCTGACCAATAGGTGACTGCCTATTTGCTCCAACACACCTGTGTTCCTAATAAAAGGAAAGTGTGATCATATCCTTATTCTCATTTATTCATTCATTTTCTCTCTCTCTTCCTCCTCTCCCTTCCTTTCCCTTCCTTTCCCATATCCATGTCACATTTGTTCTTAGTGACCCCTCCCCAATCCTTTAGCAGTGCATTGTGTACTCTGATTTTGGATTTTCAATAGCTGGATAGAGTTTACCTTGTGAACATACCACAGTTTTTTGTGAAAACAAGGAGCTGCTGTGAAAACAACTTAGGTTGTTTTTGCCTTATGGTATATTAAGTAAGGCTGCAGTAAATATCTTTGTGCCTTTTTGCGGGGAGTAGAAGGGCACATCATTGATATTTTCCCCAGGATAACATCTTAGAAATGGAATTGCAGAGTCACAAGATATTAATAGAGATACCAATAACATCTACTCAATAGGTTAATGACAGTATATAACAGCTGTTCTTAAATGCAACTACCCTATGAGATAAGTATATTTATTAGTCTCGAGTATAGTTACCCTGTGAGAAAATGGAGGCACTGAGAGGTTAAGGCACTTGCCCAACATTGTAATGACTTAGTGAGACTATAGGCACATGACTTAGTGCAATGTCTAGATGCTTCATGATAAATATTTTTAAGGCTTATTATATACAACTGCCAGAATTGCCCTACCAAACACAATGCCAAGTTCTGCTTCCACTGGCAGTATGAGATGGTCAGAAACAAACCTTCTAGTGGAACACTTGCTTCTTTTATTAAATAACACAGGGTCTGGAATGTATCAAGCTTGTGCATATAAGTTTGTTTAGAAATAGTCGAATCTTGTTATTCATATTAGTTCTACAGAGTCAAGTTAACAGTGAAATAGCAAGTAGTGAAGTAATGTTCCTGGGGGAAATACAGGGGTAGGTTCCTGTGAGCCTCTAGTCATAAGATTTTTGTTAATGATCTGTTTATAACCTTGTTTTATGTGTGTCTCTGTTTAAATAAACCTTAATATATAGTGTTGATTTATTGACCTTGAACTCATAGCCAACAGCACTGTAACTCATGCCTAAGTGAAGCTTATCTAATACACCTATTTTCTCTGCAAGGCACATCGCAGCCTTCTTGCACTTAGGAACTCTTGTCAGCCCTTCAACACTATACTTTGGGACCACTTAAAATAGTGAAATCACCAACAAAAAAGCACAAAAATGCAAAATCATGGCACTAAATAGACTGCAAATAGGACACTTGTTAACAGTGTAAGAACTTGAAACAAGAAGGCAGAGCTTTACCTTTTTCCACCTCTGCTGGGAATCTGCTTATTGGGTGACTCAAAGTTTTCATCACTGTTCTTATGTCTGAGAATGACTGCTTTGGGTATTGATTTGTGGATTACAAATAAATTTCAGTAAATAAGCAAACCGCAAGGTGGAATCTGCAAATAATGAGGATCCATTTTGATCAGTTCAACTAGTTGAATTTCTTTTCTTTTCTTTTTTATAGGTCATTCAAGACACAGATATGCACTTATACCCATACCATTAGCAGTAATTACAACATGTATTGTGCTGTATATGAATGGTATGTATGCTTTTTAAAACAAAATAGTTTGAAAACTTGCATTGTTTTCCAAAGGTCAGAAAATAGTTTAAGGATGAAAATAAAGTTTGAAATTTTAGACATTTGAAAAGAAACAAAAACTTTTTTGCTTTACGTGTGTGGGACTGCTGAGCATGCTAGGTTCCTCCAAAGATCCACATTATCTCAAGGTAGAATGAATCCTTAGGCCACAGAGAGCTTTACAGGCCTGGGAACACAGCCTGGACCTGTTGCATAGCCTCCTTTTACCTGTGATCTGCTTCAAAATATAGTTAAACTTCTGGTCTCCAAGTCAGAGTTTGCTAAAGACCTCTTTAGGCTGCCACCTCTGTAATTTTCATGTCATATAACACGAATGGGGCTCCCAGGTAGGAAGGGAGTTTTGGTTGAGTTAAGTGACTTACGTAATACAAGTAATTGTGCTTGTATTACTTCCTGAGCCTTCTCAGTCCCCTAGCAATCTTGGGCAGTCATACAGCTTGGAGAACTGATGACTTGGAGAATTTGTTCCCAGCCTGTTCATTCCTGGTAATGAGTAATCCCTCTCAAATCCCAAAGGACAGGGAGCAGGCTGTAATTCTGAAGAGTGGATATTCTTGATGCCACAGCAGTTTCCATACCAGCCTTCACCAAAAGGAAATATGCCAGACAGGGAATGCCGAAGAGTAAACTTTCTACAAGTGATAGTATCTAGGATCCATTGTGTCATGAATCAAGTTTATAAACTAGATTTCAGTTTCCTTAGACCTGCACTGTTTAGTATAGTAGCCAATTAGCCACATATGATTATTTAAATATATCATTTAAAATGAAATACCATTAAATTTAAGATTCATTCCTCAGTTACACTAACCACCTTTCAAGTGCTCAATACCTACATCTGGCTAGTGGCTACCATACTGGATAGCCCAGATAAGGAATAATCCTATCATTGCAGAAAGTTTTCTTGGTCAGTGCAGAACTAGACTATTTTGCGATATCAGTGCTAAATATAATTTCCTGATGATAACATTTTCATATTATAAGTTGTAAATACCATGAAAATCCATCCCTAAGTAATAGATTATCAGTCAGTTGACTCTCCACTAAACAGTATTATAACGATCAGCTGAAGAAAGTTTTCAGCTATTGCCCAATGCATAAAATATTTTGGGAGCTCAAATTTTTTAAAAATCTATTTTAATCCCCAAATAGCAGTATAATAGTTAATCATCTCCTGAACAGGTTGGTTCCCAGAAACCAAAATCATTTTCCACTCAGTGTTGTTGTAGATCTCAATTAAAGAACTAACCCAGGATACCTGAACTAAAGAGAGGTGGCACTGAGTTTCCATAGAACTTCAAAACAATTGGTTGATTTCACTTAAAAAAAAAAAAAAAAGTCATTCAATATACAGAAAATTACTCCCCTGGTCAGTACTGTTAGCCCCAGATAATCTGAAAAAATTTGTTCTTAAAAAAAAAAAACAATTTGGAGGCCAGGCATGGTGGCTCATGCCTGTAATCCCAGCACATTGAGAGGTCGAGTTGTGTGCATCACTTGAGCCCAGGAGTTTGAGACCAGCCTGGACAACATGGTGAAACACTATCTCTACAAAAAAATACAAAAATTAGCCAGGCATGGTGGTGCATGCCTGTAGTCCCAGCTACTCAGGAGGCTGAGGCGGGAGGGAGGCAGATGTTGCAGTGAGCTGAGATTGTGCCACTGCACTCCAGCCTGGGTGATGGAGTGAGACCCTGTCTCAAAAAACAAACAAACAAAAAAACTCAGCAAGCATCTCAACCTTTAAGCAACCTTAAAGTCATTAATTGGGAAATAGTGAGATGTTTGGCATGGAATCTTCAGAAGAGGAAAGAGTTGAATGGAAACAGCTCCAGCTGCCTAGTTGTAGTTGACAGACAACTTTATAAGCTCTAGTCAACCCTATTGACTAAGCTTCTGAACCACTAGCATAGTTCTAGGGTCAGGCGGATGCCTACTGTGGGCAGGAAAGTGATGCATGCATGTGTGGGAGCAGTGTCTTAATGTCTGAAATAGTAGCCATGAGCTACATGTGGCTATGGAGCACTTGAAATGTGGGAGTCCAAATTATCATGTGCTGTGAGTGTAAAATAATATGTTTCTAAGACCGTGTGTGAAAGAATATAAAATATCTCATTAAAAAATGTTTATATTGAGTACATGTTGAAATAATTTTATATTTGTGACACATTGTGTTAAATAAAATATTAAAATTTACATTTTTTTTTACTTTGTAATGTGGATACCAAAAATTTTAAATTACTTATGTGGCTTGCATTATATTTCTATTGGACAGCACTGGTCCAAACTATTCTAGCCTTCCCTGCATCTTCAGCCTTATGCACGAGGTAAAATTAGCCATTTTGTCAACAGTTTTTGCATTTGGTTTTCTATCATGTTCTGACCAATTTTTGAACAACTCTTTGGACCAGCTCTGTAGCCGATTTGATTTAAAGCATATAGGATAGCAGGAAATCCCAGGGTGATGGGGCTCTGGCTTAGTTTTCCATATTTAGGCCTCTAATAGGCAGTCAGTAACTCCACATTTCACCTTTTCTTTTCAGTTCTTTAATTGAGAAGACAATTTCTTCATTTTTAGGTATTCTGAAATGTGACAGAAAACCAGACAGAACCAAGTAAGTACACTGCAGGCTGTGCACTCTGTGCCAGAACAACAGCAGCCCTGCTGTAGATGCCCATTACTTGGGAAGCCAGATTGTACTCATCTGTTGGTTGCCTTGTACAGTAATAAGAAGTAACATCAGCAGATATACTAACCATAGTGTATTAAGTACCAACTGTGTGCCATGCACTGCACTAGCCACTCTCTGCATATCGTTTCCTGGAACCCTCTCAATGAGCCTTGCAGGAGGAGTATCATACCCCTTGCTTAGAGACAGCGCATATGAGATTCATAGAAGTCAAGTGAGATATCAAAGTCACGTTGCTAGTAAGTGATGGGCTGGGATTTAAATCTAGGTCTTTGGACTCCAAGAGTTATACTGTTAACCACTACAATACACTCCCTCCACCTCCCATCCCAGAAAAAGTTGGATCAGGGATAGGGTTCACTTCAGGAGCCAGGGTCAGAGCTGGGCCTGTAGTCACATATAAAAGATAGGACACAAACACAATTAGCAGCAGTGTTGGTTTAATAAACCGCCGTAGGGTGCTCCAAGAGGCCCCCTCCTGGCAGATCCCACTGGTGGTCAGGAGGCAGAGGCATGAGCTGGGTGTTGAGGGATGAGGGGAAGAGTTAAGGCCCAGGGTGTGAAGGGCAGGACAAGAAGTAGCAAGCCATCCTCTTTGGAGCAGAGAGTGTTGAGGCATTAGAGAAAGATGGGGCTGGGCTGGCAGGTTGGGCCAGGCTGAGACTTTGAGAGAGGCTTTGGGTCATTCTTTAGGGAGAACCGCAGAGTTTTCTAGCAGAACTATGCTTTAGTAAGATCACTCTGCTGGCAAAGCATGGGACTAATTAATAGGAGATGAGATGAGGACACTGGTTAGTGGAGTAATGAAATAATCCAGCCAAGCAGAGAAGAGGGCCTGAGTCAAGGTGATGGTGGCAGAACTGAATATGCAGAGCTAGGTTTGAGAGAAACAGCAGAGGTCCTGTTAGCAAAACTTTCATCTGGCAGTGTAGGCTCTGATGCCAAACTCCCTGGTTCAAATGCCAGCTCCATTTCTCACAGGCCTTGGACAAGTCACTTAAACTCTCTGTGCTTTGGTTGTCTTCTGTGGAAAATGGGCATAATGATAATATAGAAATGACAATGATAGCATAGATAATCACATAGAAATAACTGTGTCAAAATATATTAATATAAGTACAATGCTTACAATAGTGGCTGGCTCATAATAGTTTTCAATAAATGTTAGCCATTATGACTATTGTTACTATTATTTTTCAAGAAAAATAAAAGCGACAGGACCAAGTGTCACAGAGGAGTCACACAGGAATCTTGGTTGGGAAGGAAAATTATGAATTTTTGCTTTGACAGGTTGATTTTGGGGTGCTGGTGTATTACCTGGCTAGTGATGTCCATGCACAGAATTGGAGCGTGGGCTTCACGCTAGAGTTACGGATTGGGGCGCCTCTTCATCTGGACAGTAATTGATGCCGTGAGCACCTGAGGTCACTAAGAAAGAAAAGCTAGATGCCCTAGGGTGATGGGAAGAGGCAGAGGAGGCGGGACTGGGGAAGCAAAGTCCAGGATCAGAGCCAGGGTAGCCCCGGGTTAGAGACTCGAGGGAGGAGGCTACATGTTAAAGCTGCAGAGACAAGGAGGTAGGCGAGGGGTTAAGACCTTTGGTTTTGTGGAGTCGGTTGCTGTGGTCAGTGCAGGGATGAAGTGAGGGTGGCTAAGCAGCAGCAAGGGCCTAGGTGAGGTGGGATCGATGGATGGGCCACAGGTGTCCTTTCTCCTCAGCTGCCAGGTGGAACAGTGCAGGAGAAACAAGCTGTGGCAGGAGGCCTGGGGGCAAGGAAGTACAAGGGGCAGCTCAGCCGGCCACAGACCCAAGCTGGGAGGACCCAAGGCCATGAGGGGTTGATGGGCCAGGAGGCTGGGCAGAGAGGAGCCAAGTAGCTGGAGATGAGGTGAGGTGGGAGAGGTAGGGACCTCCAGGCTTGTGGTCAGAGGAAGGCATTTCAGATCTGAGCAATATGCGTGAGCCCCAGGTGAGTGTGAGAGCCAAGTCAGGTCTCTGCTGAGATCTAGGTGGTTACAGTGGAGGGGAACTCTGAGTGGATGGGGGAGGCATAGCCATCACTACCAATGATGGGGGTAGGGGGGCATCATCCAGGGCCACGGGGAAAGGGGATGGGCATTCTGGAACTCATCCCTTCCTCTGTTCCTTTCATCACAACAAACGTTATGGAGATTATGCGATACCAGGCACTGTGCTAGCTGATAGGGTGGGGGTCAGAGTACCCAGCGAGGCTAGACATTGTGTGGGATTCAGAGAAAGCATATAATAGGGCTCCTCCCACAAGAAGCTTGTGGCCACACCAGGGAGAGAGAATGGATGCACATGAGCATACGAAACTCTTAGAAGGACTTAGGCAGGAAGCACAGGTGATAGGCAGAATGTGTGATATGAGGGTAAGGGCTGAGCAACCAACGCAGAGGAATTGGAGAGGCCAGAATAATCAGAAAAGCTTTGGAGGGGGTAGGATGTGACCTACATTTTCAGAACAAGAGTGGAGTAGAAAAGGCATTCCAGGTGGGATAAACAGCGGAGGCAAATACATGAGAGGGAATTAAATCTGTTGTGATTTATTTGATAGTAAGATTGACCTGCCTGGCATCGAGTTGAAGTAGAGGCAAAAGACACTGAATATTTGCAAGGAGGTCCTTAGAATGGAGTGATATGGAAATAAGCAGCCATTATAGGTTCTTGAGCAGGAACATTTTGCATGAAAAGCACTGCTTTGGAATGATGAGTCTAGAAAGGTAACACTGACCTCTCTAAGGTGGCATTCTAGGGAGAGACCTGAGTATTTGGGGCTGAGATTGAGAGAGGAGCTTACTTTTCTTGGTATATTTTTATTTACTATTCAAGTTCTGCATCATGTGTGTTTACTGCCTATTTAATAATTATTTTTAAATTTAAAGAACCCATTGTGGCAGCAGGGGGAATTCTCTAAGCTCAGTTACTAAAGGGTTATGAAGCTGGGTATGGTAGCACACACCTGTAGTCTCAGCTACTTGGGAGGCTGAGGTGCGAGGATCGCTTGAGTTTAGGAGTTAGTGGGAGGATTTCTTGAGCCCAGGAGTTAAGAGACCAGCCTGGGCATCAAAAAAATTAAGTTAAATTAAAATGTTAAAAGGTTCTGTATATGGTGGAGATGGAGGAGATCGGGGGAGGAGATGAGAAAGGGGCAAGCATAAGTAGGAACAAATGCAATATTTCCCCAGCTGCGCGAGGGCAGGAGCAGGAAGAACTAAACCCAATTAGGAACAACAGAGGACAGATGAGTAGATAGCAGACATCTGACGGGAAATGGCCACGCCACACTTCTCACCCAGGCAGTTCAACGTAGGCAATTTCTGAGTGCCCTGGTATTTTTTGTGTAAGTGTCTAGAAAACAGATCACAAAGTTAGCCAAATTAAAAAGGAAGCAGGGAGTCCTATTTCTCCGAGAAGAAAGATTTACAGGTGGGATCTCAGGCAGGAGCCAAGCTGGAGAAGCAGGCTTGATTCCTTGTAGTGGGTGAGGAGACTGCTGGGAGAGGGCAGGGAAGCAGAGACCGGCAAAAAGCTGCCCCAACAAGAATCCTGTGCCTGCCAACCTGGTTTACAAACATTTCCCACTTTATCCCCCTCAGAAAGTCACAGCACCCATTTCATGTTCTGTGAGGCTCCCAAGGAGGGAAACTTCTAGTTTGCTGTCCTTTACCTCACCCCTGTGACCACAGCACTAATTTCTCATGAATTCTTGTTACCAATGAGATACAAATGTTTGGGGAGCTCTGGCCTGGTCTGATTTTGAGCTCTGTGGAAATACGCAGACCACGGGGGAGGAGGCCGGGAAATGGACTCGGTTTGAGGGCTTGCTCAAGGATGCGGTTTTGTTTTTCGGCTGATTTACTCCAAGACAGCCAGAGATTGTTCTGTCGTTGCCACAGAGGTGACTAAACAGGAAGGTAAGTTTGAGGTAGGAAGAAAACCATCCCCAGGAGTTTCATGTAGCAAAGAAGGAAGTAGCTGTTACAAATGGGTGACAGTTTACATGTGGGTCTAACAGTCTCAGCTCTGTTGTTCAATCTTTCAGTTATACTCAGAGAGTAAGCGGGAGGAGCCTTGGGGCTGCTATTGAGTGCAGCATCCTGAAGGCTGTTCTTCAAGTGTTACTCAGACTACTATCCCAAGAGCACTCAAGGCAGTTCTTCCTCCATCCCTGCTCCCTAGCTCCCTTGGCTTTGATGAGTTTATTACAAAAGGGCTATTCACTTTAGAATAGGAGGGTAATTAAGACTCCTGGTCTGCAGCCCAGATTTACTGCATTTTACAAGTTAATAATATGATTTTTTTTTGTAGCTCCAATTGATTGGTAACAGAAGATGAAGACAACAGCATAACTAAATTATTTTAAAAACTAAAAAGCCATCTGATTTCTCATTTGAGTATTACAATTTTTGAACAACTGTTGGAAATGTAACTTGAAGCAGCTGCTTTAAGAAGAAATACCCACTAACAAAGAACAAGCATTAGTTTTGGCTGTCATCAACTTATTATATGACTAGGTGCTTGCTTTTTTTGTCAGTAAATTGTTTTTACTGATGATGTAGATACTTTTGTAAATAAATGTAAATATGTACACAAGTGACTAGGTGGTTTGGCTACTGTTTTCCTAAGATAGAAAAATAAGGGTCACATACCCTTTTAAAATCTATACTCTTTCTCCCTTGCTTTAGGGGAAAAATAATTCATTGTAGGGTCATTCATGGAGTGAGGGAGAAAAGTACTGTCCCTCACTGGGTTCCACTGCTGTCAGTACGAGGCAAGTGAACACATGGGTCTTTACTTCTAGCTGCTTTTGAAAAGAGCAGATCACCACCATCCAGTGCAGTTGTATAACACAGGTGGGGCAGGGAGACTTCTCTCGCTGCCATTAATTAGCCTACTTAGTTTGTTGCATTGGTTAGCTGTCACATTGGGAGGTCAACAGCAGACAGTAGCTGGAAAACCGTAGTCATAACAAATACAGAGTGGCAGCCACTCCTGAAGTGGTGGACGGTGCCAGTTGCCTCTGGCAGCCATGTAAACCCAAGTCAATACATAGACGCTTTAGCTTGTGCCTGCACTGTCCCTGGAATTCCTGTCACATGAGAGTCTCCAGGCTGAAGGAAGAAATCAATATTTCTTGACTCCAAGATGGGCCTGTCAAGGTGGGTGGATCACAAGGTCAGGAGATCGAGACCATCCTGGCTAACACAATGAAACCCCATCTCTACTAAAAATAAAAAAAGTTAGCCAGGTGTGGTGGCGGGCTCCTGTAGTCCCAGGTACTCGGGAGGCTGAGGCAGGAGAATGGCGTGAACCCAGGAGGCGGCGCTTGCAGTGAGCCAAGATCAGGCCACTGCACTCCAGCCTGGGGGACAGAGCGAGACTCCATCTCAAAAAAAACCCCTCAGGCTACATGTGTTCTCTCTAGAACAGCCTGCATCTGAGCTCCCACAGGCCTCAGCAAGAGTGGGAAAGGAGCCCAGAGTGCTTCTGGGAAGACCCACATCTCCCCAGCTCCCCCCATCTCCATGTGGCATGGATTCCTATCCTGTCTCAGACTAATCTTGTCAAACCCTTTATCCCAGACCCTGTAGGAAGCCCATGACTCCCCTGGAGACTTCTGTCCCATGCAGCTCTGTAATGCCCCACTTTCTGCCCCCATCCATCAGCAGCGACATCCCTGATGTCCTCTTCTGTGAATGCCTCCTTTGCTTCGCTGTTCTAATCGAAACCCAGCTCTCCCTGGGGATGCTGCCTCCCACAGCCTCTCAAGGGGTAGCTGTGTTCTTTCCTGCATCCCTTGTATTCAGGGCCTAGGGGAAAGAAGACGTCCTCCTTGCTCTTCTCTGCCTGCAGACCAGTGCTCCTTCCTCGGCTTTGATGCTCATGCCAGCTAATCATCACCACCTGACATCCCTTGTTCTGGTTATCTTTGTTATTCCCTATCCCTTGGAGGTTTTAGCACTATGTCAAAGTCTTCTCCCTGACATCACTTCTTCCAGATTTTGAATGCTTTCAAAATCTACAAATCTAATACCCTCGCATGGTCTTTTCTTCTCCCTTTTTCAGCTAGCCACCCCATAGCCATACTGCTGACCTATAACTGCAGCATCCCCGAATAGTCTCTGTAACAAGCATCTCACTTCGCTAGTCCCTACTTCGCATCTTCCGCATCACCCCCTTGGGGGCTCCAGCGCCAAACATTCTTCAACCCCACTAGAACCTACAAGCCAGTGACCTTGCTACCTGTTCCCTGGCCCTGAACCCCTTCAAGTTCTCACTCTTCCTCTTACCTGGCTTAGATTCCCATTGTTCATCATTACAATTACTCCTTTTTCTTTTCTTTTCTTTTCTTTTTTTTTTTTTTTTTTTTGAGATGGAGTTTCACTCTTGTTGCCCAGGCTGGAGTGCAGTGGCACGATCTCGCCTCACTGCAACCTCCACCTCCCGGGTTCAGCCTTCCAAGTAGCTGGGATTGCAGGTGTGCGCCACCACGCCTGGCTAATTTTTTTTTTTTTTTTTTTTAGTCGGAGTCTTGCTCTGTCACCCAGGCTGGAGTGCAGTGGTGTGATCTCGGCTCACTGCAAGCTCCACCTCCCGGGTTCACACCATTCTCCTGCCTCAGCCTCCCAAGTAGCTGGGACTACAGGCAGCTGCCACCACGCCCAGCTAATTTTTTGTATTTTTCAGTAGAGACGGGGTTTCACCATGTTAGCTAGGATGGTCTTGATCTCCTGACCTCGTGATTTGCCTGCTTCAGCCTCCCAAAGTGCTGGGATTACAAGCGTGAGCCACCGTGCCCGGCCTATGCCTGGCTAATTTTTTTTTGTATTTTTAGTAGAGATGGGGTTTCACCATTTTGGCCAGGTTAGTCTTGAACTCCTGACCTCAGGTGATTTGCCCACCTTGGCCTCCCAAAGTGCTGGGATTACAGGCATGAGCCACTGTGCCTGGCCTACAATTACTCCTTTACTATCACTCTTTTCCTCTCTCGCTTTGCCATTCTCATTTTGCCAAGTCCCAACCATGGTTATAGTTACCTCTACCAGTTTCCTCTCTGCATCCAAACTGCTGAACATGCCTGGAGAAAAATCTAACACCAAGCTGATTAGTTTCTCTTTAATTACTTCAAACATTTGGCAGATTTGTAGTGTTTCTCAAATGTCCTCATTACATTGCTTTGTCACTGTCTCCTCACTTCTCTTCCTAGATCTTCAATCCTGTGTCCTCACTCTCAACTGATCACTTTGCTTCTCAACTTTCTGAAAAAAATAGCATTCAGAAGATACCTCCCTCACACTTCCATCACACCTACACACCCAGCTCTCTCAGCACCACTGCACTTTGCCTCTCCTCCTGTTAATCCAGGATACACTCTCCTTGCTCCTCCTAAAACCAGTCTCTTCATTTGTATTAGTCTGTTTGGATGGTGCTGGCTGTCTTAAACAGATGTTTACTTCTCATAGTTCTAGAGGCTGGAAAGTCCAAGAACAAGGTGCTGGCCAATTCAGTTCCTGGTGAGGGCTCTCTTCTTCGCTTGCAGACAGCCACCTTATCACGCTATTCTCAGTTCTTTGTTTTGCAAATGAAGAGATGGACAGAGACTTGCCTCAGGTCAGTTATAAGTGGCAGAGCCAGGATTCAACCCCAGGCAGTGTAGCCCCAGAAGCCTCTTAACCATCAAGCTATAATGTAAGAAGATAAATGTGTGCAGTCAATCTTCCACATATAGTAGGGAGCCCTCCGAAAGTCTTCTCCAAGTTTTGTTTTGTGTTTCCTCCAAGAAAGAGTCTATCTTTAATTTAGGTATTCTCTAAAGAGGTCATTCGCTTTTAACCACTTACGTTGAGCATGTAGCAAATACATCAAATACTAAGCTGAACTCTGCCTCTAGACTCTTAAAGCTAGATGGGTCCTCAGAGGCCTCGTCAGACAGACAAGAAAACTTGGACTGTGATAGGGAAGGTAATTGGACCAAGGTCTTATAGCTAGTTCGTGGCAGGAGCCCCAATACCCTGGTCTCCACTCCAGTGCTTTTCCACAACACCAGGGTGCCTCCCAACAACCACTCCTAGTGTAGAGTGGCACCAGCCTGGGGAAGATGGCACTGGCTTCTGGGCTATGCAGCTGGAGCCTAGCTGCAGCCCAGCACCTGGTGAGGGCTTGTGGTGCTGGGCGTTTTGGGAGGCACCTCTGGGTCAGAGCGGGAGTGGTGGATAATGGCAGAAGTAAATTCAATGTGAACAAATGTGTGGATTGCCCAAGCCACCTGTGTTGACATCTGATACCTAGAAAATGAGGTACAGTCCTTCCTGTCTCCCCAAGCCTTTCCTCTTCTTGATCTCAACAATTCTTTTTCTTTTTCAAGATCCTTCCATGCAAAGGAAAAACTAGTCCTCATTGGAGTAGGCCCACATGGCTTGATTTGGGGATGACTGAGAAGCACCCCCAAAGAGGCAGTCTCCCTCAACAGGCTCCTGAAATCCCACACCTCTCACTGCTGTAGATGAAAGCAATTCAGGCTGTGAACATTACAGCGGTTGGCTTGGGAGGGATGGCTCATGATACCGCTTCATCAGCATGCATCTGCTGAGAACCATTGCCCCGGCAACCCACATGTAGCCTGGAGCAAAAGAAAAACGTGGGCCTCTGTGGTACAGGTCTTGATGCATTTCCCTTTTTAAATTTTTTTTTTTTACTTTAAAAAAATATAAAAACAGGTTCTTGTTATGTTGCCCAGGCTAGCCTTGAATCCTGGGCTCAAGAGATACTCCCGCCTCGGCCTCCCAAAGTGCCTCGGATTACAGGTGTGAAACATACACCTGGCCTTGATGTATTTTAATCGGTTAATTTTTTCCAGAACATTGAGGTAGCATAAAAAAAGTTGGAAAGTTGAAAAGTAGGTACATTAAAACTTTATATTAAGTTTAAATTATTTTACTTATACCAAACAAACAAACAAACAAAGCCCAAGAATTTATTAGAATGTTACTTTCCTGGCTTTGATGGAAGAACACTCATTAGTAAAACCTTCAAAGTCTACTTCTTGTTTTGTTTTCAGTTGAGAACATTGTCATGTTTGAGAATTTTTTCTTGAACAAGTGATGATTTTAAATATTTTTAAATTAACTTTAGCTCACTTGCAACTTCTTTTGGATGTGCCTTTATTTAAAAATTTGATAGTTTGTTTATCACAGATTTTTTGCACTGTGACTAAAAAAAATTGCATTAAAATATTATTGATCTTGATTACTGAGGTTTTTGATGTTGCCCTTGCAATTTCTGCCTAAGGTGAGTGTCTCATTTCACGATGAAGTCATCCATCCATCCACCCATTCATTCAACACATAGTTCTTGACTGCCTACTTGGGGCTTGCATTCTAGTGGATAGAGATAGACATTAACCAGGGTAAATAAGGAAACCACAGCACTAAGAGCCATAGAGAAGAATAAAACAGGGAAGGGGGTGGGGAGTGTAGGAAGGGACAAGGAAAGACCTCACTGAGGGACCCTCCAGCAGAGCTGTCAAGGGGTCACAGATGGGATCCCAGGATGGGGATTCCCAGTAGAGGCCCTGAAGTGAGAGCAGGCCCTGCACATTCGCAGACCAGTGAAGAGGCTCATGTGCCCAGTCAGCCCACAGGCATGTTTTTTTTGGCTCTCACAGTATTAAACTTAAAAAAAAAATGATATGCCTTTAGATGGGCATCTCTCTGCAGTTCACAAGCTCTACTCCTCCCTATTTTCTTGCACTCATTTGTTTCCTGCCTCTGAACTCAAGCTGTGGGGATAATTGTGTGCTTTGAACATGTCCTGGGAGCAAGAGAGACACAGGACAGGAAGACAGGGCAAAGCACATCTGGCCTTAAGCTGTGTAGATTGAAGATCAAGGGCAAATCCCCACCCTACTTCATAATGTGAAGTCATAGTCCACAGTGCAAGGGCAGCGGGCTCCCCAGAAAAGGGTGGGGTTTAAATTCTTCACCAACCAAGAGAAATGGGAACTTAGAATCAGAAATAAGTTGAGTCATAGAAACTAGAGGGCATTATTTTTTTTCAGATCTTAGTTTGTGGACTGAGTCATACCTACAAGGATAAAATCTATTCCACCTCTCCTGTGTTCCAGACACCTTTGATCCCATAACCTCTATTTAATCCTCACCACAATAGCTCAAGCTAGATGGAATTTTCCTACTATTATTCCTGGGTGACACAACTAAAATTCAGTGAGATTAAGTGAGTTGCCCAAGGATGTGCAATGGGCTGCTGGTGAAAGCAGTATCCAGATCTCCTCTGCCTACCTCCAAAGAGTAGGCTCTTCCCCAGGAACCTTGCTGCTTGTCATAGAAATGGAGTCCCTCACTCCATCTCATTGCTACAAGTGTACACAGGGTGTGTAGGTATGAAAGCAACTCTGATGGCCCTGTCATTGTGGCAAATACTTTAAAAAATGTTTATCTTATTTGAGTCTCAAAACATCTTGGTGAATCAGATAGCATCACCCCATTTTGAAGACAAGAGAACAGATGTACTGAGTTGAGACGACATGCCCACAGTCACCTAGCAGTGACTAGGAGATATGAATCTGGGTCATAGTCCTGTCCCAGCACTGCCTTGCTGCTCCCAAGACAGGATTGTAGTATGCTGTCTACCCTACCCAAGCCATGCCACTCATCACAAACTTTGCCACATTAGCAAAATGCTACACAACGTATTTGAAAAAGGAGGATGTAATCCTCCATGCCTCCCAGCCCATGCCCACACGCAACCCTAGATATTTTCATCATAGAATAACAGTAAAATCAGAGAGCTGGGTATATCCTGACAGGCTAGTTACCCACTCATCAACTCATGGCACATGAGGATTTTCAGTGCTGCTACTAGGAACTGACTCAGCAGGTTACATGACCCGGGGCTCACTGAATGCTCAGGCCAGAAGGATGCCCATGCCTTCCAGGATGCCACAGACAATGGTGGCTACCTGCTGACATGAATGTTGCCTACAATGAGATGTGTTTGTTCCCAAGAATCTATTCTATTAGGTATACTTTAACATTGTCACGTAAGCTGGTGAAGTGTGAATGCAAAAGAAAGTTATTGTTTTTATAAGAAACAAGTTGACAGTTTTACAAAGACTTAATAAAGGAGAGATGCTAAAATGAGATTAGTGGATTGAGTACAAGCAAGACAGCTGAAAAGATAGTGGGAAAAGTACCACATCTATAAGGTTTCTGTACTAAAATTGCTTTGCAAGTATCTAAGCTCTCGCTCCACTCCACAGAAACTGAAATTAGAAATTGTAGACAATGCATTAAGGGCGTGATTTTTGTATGAAAGAATAAGGAAGAACTCTGAAAAATATACTTAGTTTCAATGAAAAGACTTTGACTATGTCAAAACCTTAGTGAAGCAATGTGTATTTCTATGTTTTAGGTTAACAAAAATATTTAAGATATATATACATAATTTAAAATTTTTCTTACATCTGCTCACAATAATATACTTTTACATTAATACATAACACATAAGTGTAAAAGTATGTGTATGAGTAGATGTAAGTAGAAAATATATATTAATATATAATCATTTTTTAAATATATAATATATAATTACTATGTAATTAGTAATTACATACAACCATGCCCGGCTATTTTTTTTTTTTTTTGTATTTTTAGTAGAGACGGGGTCTTGCCATGTTCCCCAGACTGGTTTTAAACTCCTGAGCTCAAATGATCCATCTGCCTCAGCCTCTCCAAAGTGCTGGAATTACAGGCATGTTCCACTGCATCCAGCCTCCAATTTATTTTTTAATGGCTGCAGCATATTTCTTGGCAAGTCTAAATATATTCAACCATTCTTCTTTTGAAGAACGTTTGCTTTGCTTCTAGGTTTTGTTTGTTTTCTACCATAAACGGTAATTTATTATACATCCTCGTTTATATAGCCACACATTTAGGTATTCCTATGGGGTAGATTCCCATGAATAGAAATGCTAAGTCAAAAAGTGTATGTATTTTTAATTTAATTTTCTTTTTTTCAGAGACAGGGTCTCACTATGTTGCCCATAGGCTGGAGTGTAATGGCTATTCATAAACGCAATCATACCTCACTGGAGCCTTGAACTCCTGTGCTCAATGATCCCCTTGCCTCAGTCTCCCCAGTAGCTGGGACTAAAGGCACATGGCCACCACTTCCGGAAACTTCAATTTTAATAGATCGTGTTAGGCTATTCTTGCTTTGTTATAAAGAAATACCTGAGGCTGGGTAATTTATAAAGAAAACAGGTTTAATTGGCTCATGGTTCTGCAGGCTGTACAAGCAAGGTGCGGGCATCTGCTTGTCCTCAGGGAGCTTTTACTTTTGACGAGGCCTCAGGGAGTTTTACTCATGGCAGAAGGTGAAGCAGTAGCAGACATGTCACCCAGCAAGAGCAGGAGCATGTCGGGGGAGGGTGCCACACACTTTTAAACAACCAGATTTTGGGAGAACTCTCTCACTATCGTGAAGACAGCACTGAGGGGATGGTGCTAAACCATTTATAAGAAATCCACCCCCATGATCCAGTCACCTCCCACGAGGCCCCACCTCTAATGCTGAGGATTACATTTCAACATGAGATTTAGAGAGGACACATATCCAAACTATATAATAGATATTGCCAGATTGCTTTCCAAAAAGGCTATAATACCTGCTATGGTTTAAATGTGTGTCTCCTATGAAACTCATGTTGAAACTTAATCCCCACTGTAACAGTATTAAGAGGTGGAGCCTTTAAGAGGTGATTGGGTCATGACAGCTTTGCTCTTATGAATGGATTACTGGGCTAATGTGTTATCACAGGAGTGGGTTAGTCATTGCAGGAGTGGCTCTGTTATAAAAGCCTGTTTGGCTCTCTCTTGGGCCCCCTCACTGTGTGATGCTCTGTGCCACCTCAGGACTCTACAGAGTTCCCACCAGCAGGAAAGCTCTCACCAACTGGCCACTTGACCTTGGACTTCCCAGCCTCCAATATATGAGAAATTATTTTTTTTCTTTATAAATTACCCAGTCTCAGGTATTTAGTTATAGCAACAGAAAATGAACTAAGACAACATCCAAGAACAATTATTAAAGTAACTTTTTCCCTACATTCCCATTAGCAATAGATATTCGTCTTTCTAAATCTTGATCATTCTGATAGAAGTAAAGAAATATCTCATTGCTACTTAAATTTAAACATTACTCTGATTACTAATCTAAAATCTTTTCATACGTTTTTGATCATATGAACTTGTTCTATGAATTGCCTATTTGCACCTTTTCCCCATTTTTGTGTTTAAAAAAATAATTCATTGCTTTAATTAATTTTTGCAGCTAGCCTGTCAGCTTCCATTCCCTGTCCTGTTGGGTAAGACAGAAAAATGTTACAAATATTGACATTTTGCTGTCATAAATCACTTAACAGAGTAAATGAAAGTTTCAAAGTACAATTAAAAATTGTCCAGAAGCCAGGTGCGGTGGCTCACACCTGTAATCCCAGCACTTTGGGAGGCCAAGGTGGGCAGATCATGAAGTCAGGAGATGGAGACCATCCTGGCTAACAGTGTGAAACCCTGCCTCTACTAAAAATACAAAAAATTAGCCAGGCGTGGTGGCAGGCTCCTGTAGTCCCAGCTACTCGGGAGGCTGAGGCAGGAGAATTGCTTGAACCCTGGAGGCTGAGGTTGCAGTGAGCTGAGATCACACCACTGCACTCCTGCCTGGGTGACAAAGCGAGACTCTGTCTCAAAAAAAAAAAAAAAAAAAAGTCCAGAAAAAAGAAGCTAGAAAGCCAAAAACAAAAGAAAGGATGAAAAGAAACCAGGATGCTTGAGAAGATAGAAATGATGTGAGCCATGTGGTCTGTAATTGGTATATGGTGGAAAAATATAGCAAAGAAAAGTAAAATGCTCAGGAGGAACACACACACACACACACACTTTCATTGAGCAATTTCTTTTTTTCTTTTATGACAGAGTCTCACTATGTTGCTCAGGCTGGTCTTGAACTCCTGGACTCAAGTGATCTGACCGCCTCAGCCTCCCAAAGTGCTGGAATTACCACTGAGCATTTACTATGTTCCAGGCCCTGTGCTAAGTGCATTGCCTGCTGCGTCTCACCCTTCAGTGGGAGTAGGTAAGTAGTATTAGTCCCACTATATAGATGGAAAAACAGAAGCTCATAGAAGTGTAGTAGTAACATGGTTAAGGTTACATTGCTAGTCAGTGGTAGAACCAGGATTTCCATCCAGGTCTGCCTGACTGCAGGCACTGGGTTGGTATATGGCTGGGCCTGAGAACTATCCAGGAGTAAACAGCGTGGACAAAGCTGGCATGGAAAGAGCTCTGGCTGAGATACAGATTCTAAACTGGGCCTCAAAAGGGGTTAAAGGGAAGTAAGGCGATGTCAGTAGAGCTGAAGCTGGGGTTGAGAGGCTTCCTGAGGAACTGGTGTGGTCAGGGGAGCCTTTCAGAAAGTCCCAGCCCTGCTAGACTGTTAGGGCCCTGAGCTGGGGCAGGGGAGGGTGGTGGATGCAACAGAACATCGCCCCGGATGTAAGACCCAGCCAGACAAAGTGACTCATCACCCTGATGTCACCCCACAGCCTCAGCTGCTAATCATGGTGAAATAAATGTCACTGCAAGTTTAAGGAAGACTATGCACTATTACCACTGAGCATTTACTATGTTCCAGGCCCTGTGCTAAGCGCATTGCCTGCTGCGTCTCACCCTTCAGTAGGAGTAGGTAAGTAGTATTAGTCCCACTATACAGATGGAAAAACAGAAGCTCATGGAAGTGTAGTAGTAACATGGTTAAGGTTACATTGCTAGTCAGTGGTGGAACCAGGATTTCCATCCAGGTCTGCCTGTCACTATTACAACTGTCACTATCAGTTGCTGACAGAGAGAGAATGGGTGACCTTGTTATCACTGAATTCCCAAGTGCTTTCTCACTGCCACCCCACCCCCCTGTTCTTCATCAGCCTTTGGGTGACACAAACCCACTGAGAGGCCTGCCGGAGCCACACTGTTGAGACCCAGTGGCTGGTGAAGGGCGTCTTCTGCAGTGGCAGGCGCCATGAGTGCAGAGTCCTGGGCTGCCCACACGGGCCCTGCTGTGGGGCCTCCATCAAGTGATGGAAGCTCCCTGAGCCTGCTCTGAGCCTGCTCCCAACCTCAACATGAGGAAAATAATGCTGTCTCCACTCACCTAACAGGAGTGAGTGAAATCATTGTGAAACACTGAGGCACAAAATAAGCATGAACGCTTTGATGAATTGGAGTGGTCATGATATAAAAGACTTGACAAACCACAGGAGGAAGTTGAGAGATCCCCTTGCATAGGGAGACAGTGATGCTGGTTCCATTTCAGCTAGAATGAAGGGTGAGAAGGCCCTGGCACCAGGGCTGCCTAAGAACATGGGGGTGGATCATGTCTGATTGCATAAACCAGTAGGGCTTTCTGGAGCAACTCCCAAGCAGAAGCCTCTCCCAGTGGATTCTCCGCCACCGCATCTGCCCCTGATGTGTAGCTTTCAGTCTGTGACAAGAGTATTTGGGGTTGGATTCAGTAGACTGGACTGAGTTTCAAATCTCAGTTCTATTTATGACCTGAAGACAACCCTGACCTTCAGTTTCCTCATCGGTATAACAGAATAGCAATACCTGGTCCATGTGATTGTTGTGAATATTATATATGAAAGAACTGGACAAATCACATTTGAGCACTTACTATACTCTTGAAGAATTTGAACTAGTTTAACTCTATTCTCCAGTTCGGGTGCTCCCCTCCGCAGTAGGAGGAGAAGAGGTTTGAGGGAAGGAGGACAGATGACATTTGCAGGAATTTGGCCAGGCATTGTGCTATGTGTTCTCTGTACAGAGACTCATCTGACCCTTCCACAGCTGCCCTGTGAGCCATGTACTCTTATCCTTACTCTACACTTGCACGCCTGGTGCTCAGAGAGGGGAAGCTATCTACCTCAGTGAACCTAGGCCTGACACCAAAAATCTATATCTTTTATAGACACCCACAATCGATTATAACACCCACAATCTATCAAAACTACAATTTATTTTTTTCTGGCTGACAATGCAAGAAAATCTCAAGGTGGAAATTCATGCAGATGAGATAAGTTTCAAACACAATCTCCTATTATTCAATTACCCTGTTATCCCCCATTAAGCCATCTCTTAGATGACCCCTGGTTACCACTGTCCTTCTTATCTCAGTCTACCTCCCACCCAGGCTTATGCTGGAGAAGCACAAAAGTACAAGAGACCTTAGAGATCGTTTGATCCAGCTCCTGCTCTAAGAGCAAGGAAACTGAAGCCCAGAATGAGTTCCAAAGCCGCCCAGTAGAAGCCTGCTCCTGAGGGTTGTCCCCTGCCCCCTGCCCCACTCTTGCCCTGGGAAACCCGTGCTTCCTCCCCTCTTGCCCCTTTCTCAGAAGCAGGCGGCAGAGACACAACACAAAGGACAGAGCGCATCACTATATTTTCCTTTGAACTGTACAGCTGGTTCATTTTACCCACTTTTTTCTTCTAGATCTAGGATATCTGATTTTGAAGAAATGAATGTTTTCATAGAAAGTGGAAATAATAACTCCTTTTGCTAAAAAGAATGCAGAGGGAGGGGATGACCCAAGAATTGATGGTGCATTGCATTTTGTGTAACGTTCTAAACAAGTAAGCGAGGTCCTTTCCTGCCCGGGCCTGAGCTTCTTCTGCACCTGCCTCAGTCAGCTGCGGTGCTGTTCTGGCTGCATCCCTTCTTCCTATGGCTCCAGCCAACCCTTCTTCCTTGGGTCCTGGGCCTTGCTCCCAGGGCCAGCAACCTTCTACTGAACCTCCAGCCATGATGGTTCATTCCAGCTCCCTCTCATTCTTTCTACTTCTTGGGTTATTTCTCACATTCTATATGAGGTAGTTGAGCATTCTGTTCTATTTTGAGGCTGCGCTCCATCACAGAATAAAAATTGCTCAAAATCAGACACATCTGCATTTCAAAGCTAATTCCTCCATGACTACTGACAGTTGTGTGACTCTGGGCAACTCGGTCTCCAGACCTCAGTTTCATCATCTGTAAAATGGGGGAAATAGTATCTCTTTAGAAGGTCTTATGTCAGAATCAACCAAATAGTGTCATTAAAGAGTTTTGCATATGATAAGGGCACAATAGATGGTTGCTTTTCTTCTTCTAGCAGGCTGATTATCCTAAATCTTATACTCCTGCTAAGTCTAGTTGTGGCGCCCCCAGGAATCCACCTGGATAGCGCCAAGTCGAAGTCATCTTTATGTCACCCAGAGATCTGTCAGGGTATGCCTAGCATCATTCTGCCCTACATGTGGCTAAGTGACACTGCTGCAGCTCCATGATATTGCATGCACCACCTTGTCTGGAGCCAGACCGGGCATGCCTCCAATGTCATAATAATCTTCAGGGTGTGATTATCACAGCACACAGAGGCCTGCCAAGGCCCTAGAAGAAAGTTATGATAGGGTGGAAAAGAAACGTGCCTTGGAAACTTGGGTTCAGTGTCCTGCTGTGTCACTTACTATCTCTGTGTCCTTGGGAAAGTTCTTTAGATTCTCTCCATTTTAACTGTAGAAAGCGATAGAAATTTCTTCCTCCCTCCTCCTCTACCCTACCCCATTTCCCTTCAACAAATATGAATTAGGCATCTAGGCACTGGGGAAGCAAAAGCGACTAGAAACAGATAAAATCCCTCCACGATGACATCATGGAGCTCATTGTCTGATGAGGTAGAGGTATGTTCATCAAATAAATAAATGCAAGACTGCAGCCCTCAGGACACTTTATCTGATAGGTTCATGGTGCCAGTGCATGTCTCATGGTGCAATTTGAACCTGTCAGTGAGGTCATGGAATGCATTTTGATGAAGTTGTGACTTCATAGCAACCTGAAAGACAAAAAAGCAGTTACCAGCTAAGAGGGGTGAAAGAGCTTTCCAGGCCAAGGACGGGGTTAGTGTAAAGTCTTAGTAGATGGAGACAAGGGATGCTGGAGGAACTAGAAGGCTGGGGGAGTGCTGGGCAGAGACGATGGCTGGAGGGGCCAGCAGACACAGTGTCTCACAAGCCTTTTAGGCCTTATGAAGGATTTTGGTCATTAGTCTCTTAGGAGCAATTGGTAGCCCTCATATGGTTTTAAGAGGAGGGGATAGACATTCAATAAGTAATTTTTAGAAGAATAAATGAGTCTGTTAATCACTTATCTCCCAAATCACTTATCAAATTAAGTAGTTAGTCACTTATCAAGAGCTTGAATGTACGGGACACAGCAAAGGATGTTTTGGTAGAAAAAAGGGATGGGAAAAATCCGGAAGGTGAGGTGCTGTCTTAGAGTTGAGGCCCAGACACTGTGTCACAGTGGGGTCCCTGGGCCCTGCGGGAAGATCTGAGTACTGCGCACTTGGCATGGGTGTGTGGTTCAAGACAGATATGCTGAGGAAGAAAGGGGAGGATATTCCAGTGTCTTTAACATCAAAGACGCTTTGCTTACTTCATGACTTGAGATCAGGGTTAACCATTCTTGAATATGTTGCAGGTGGAAAAAGAGGAAAACCTAGTGATTATTTGAGGCCTTTACTGAGCCAGTCACATCTCCTAAACCAGTTAGAGGAGTTCATTATCTGACATGGTAAAATGCAGATGTCCAAACTGAAATGCAATTCAACCCTTATAAAGACATTTTCTGATCCTGACATTTACTGACCCTGACTTTCTATGTCTGTAAATTGGGAATAATGATACCTATCTCACTGGGTTAAATGAGAACATGTACATACTGTGCTCAGCATAGTGTCTGGGATCTGTGGCAGCAGCTATTTTCATGGCAATTATTCTGTATGTATGACATAACTTTAAAACTTCTCTAGGGACCAACAAGGCAATGCAATCAAACACCAGCACAGCCAATAAGGGGCAATACGGAGTGGTGGGGACTGTGGCAAACTGGAGAATCCTTACCTGTCCAAAGAGGGCAACAGCTCCTCTTTAGTTTCAGCTATTAGCTACTGAGCAAGAACTCAAAACAAGTGCTTTCTGACTTTTCCAGAAATGCTGGAAATCCTAATGCATAATTTTGTTATCCAATTCAAATAAAAAACTGCAAACAATAACAACCACCAGAATTAGCAACACTATGGAACACAAAAAACAGGTTCTGGAGCAAAGCTAGGCTGAAAGCAGCTAAAACAAAGTTTTACAAAGACCAAGCTGTTCTGGGAAGTCAGATCTGCCTCACAGAAAAGACTCTAAAAGCATGTGAAAGGTCATAATAAAATCAGGTGCAGGCCAAGCGCAGTGGCTCATGCCTGTAATCCCAGCACTTTGGGAGGCCGAGGCGGGCAGATTACCCGAGGTTGGGAGTTCGAGACCAGCCTAAACAACATGGAGAAACCCTGTCTCTAGTGAAAATACAAAATTAGCTGGGCACGGTGGCACATGCCTATAATCTCAGCTACTCAGGAGGCTGAGGCAGGAGAATCGGTTGAACCCAGGAGGCAGAGGTTGTGGTGAGCCGAGATCGTACCATTGCACTCCAGCCTGGGCAACAAGAGCAAAACTCCGTCTCACAAAAAAAAAAAAAAAAAAGAAAAAGAAAAAGAAAAAGAAAAAAAAATCAGGTTTGAAGGAAGCGTTCCAAATACATTCTGTGAAATGGCAGCATTGTTAGAACATGCAGGCACCAACCTCCCTCGGGAAGGATTTTGAAGAGGACAATGCTCATTGGGTTTTAGGTACTGGGGCAATTACTCAAATGTAATAATCTTGAACACACCCAGCTTCTGGGAGCCTGGAAGGTGTTTGCCGAGCTGCTTTTAGGGACAGTGATACCAGCAATATCCACTGGGGGTCTCTCTCATACAAATAATGGCATAGCTGTTCCCAGCAGTTAGAGGAAATGGCAGCCCTGGGACCTGGGGGGATCCAAGGGCAGTCCACGTCTCCATGGGAAGATGGCAGCAGCTCTGTGGCTCTTCACAGTGAAGTGACGACCTGTTGTTAAATGTTTAACAGAAGCCAAACTTGGCTTTTAGGGGACAGCTCTCCTGCCAGCCAGCCAGCTTGCCAAAGGAATCTTTCCTGTGCACAGAGAGCACACTGGGCTTGGAGACATTCTCTGCACAGTGGGATTTGGTGAGAATCTTAAGAGTTTCTGTTCAAGGTCAGTTTGTCTCTCTCAGACCGTGGCACCAAGGAACCTGCTGCTACCCTACTTGATGGGGCTGAACAGGAGATATATTCCACGCTTCACAATTGCCACCTTTCGGGAGCGGCTTCACCAGGTGAAGAAGCCCTGGTTTAGAGATGAGATCTGGGTTTGGGTTCTGGTTCTGCCCCTCATTAGCCATGTGACCTTGAGCAAGCCTTATCCTTTCTCGTTCTCGGTTTCTTCATCTGTAAGATTAGGAATACTCATCTCTAATACTAATCTCAAAAATTGTTTTGAGTGTTAAATAGGAACGAATGCATATGAAACTTTAGAGAAGGGCTTGGCAGATGTTTTCTATGAAGGGACAGATAGAAACTATTTTTGGCTTTATTGACCTTACAGGCTCTGTCTCAACTACAGAATTCCACGATTGTAGTAGCGTGGAAGCAGCCATAGGCAATTCATCAAGAGATCAGCAGGGCTGTGTCCACTAAAACTTTATTTTACAAAAACAGGCAGTGGGCTGGGTCTTGCTCATGGGCTGTACTTTGCCTATCCTCACAGCCTGTTTCTGTGAAGCCCGTGAGCTCAGGATGGTTTTATGTTTCTAAAGGGTTGTAAGGAAAAAACAAAGAAAAGGTGACAGTGCCCAGAGCGAGTATTTACCACCGGCTTCTTGGAGAAGCTGGCTGGCTCCGCTCTAGAGCATTGCAGGAAAGTCAGCCCAGGAGGCAGGCAGCTGTGTCCCTGAGTATCAGGGGGCCTGCCTGGTAAGTCACAATGAAACAGACAGTGGCCAGATGACCCCTGGGCCCTATCCAGCTCCAGGGGCTAGGGTCCACATGACTCTGATGACCGAGCTCAGGGGCTAGAGGAGGGAAGGGAAATGGCCCCCTAGTTCTCTTTTCAGTTGTCTATTTCAGATGGTCCTTATGAAAGAGGATCAGCAAAGCTTCCATCAGAAAATGAACCAATAATCAAGTGAATGGGGCTTTCGTTTCCTGAATTGTCTCTAGCCTGTGAGGCTGTGCTTCCATATGGAACTTCTGAGTTCTCTACGAACTCGAACAATGAGTCATGGGCGAGCCCAGGACTCCCACCCACTTGGAGTCATGGGGCTCTGACATGGAGACAAGACCACAGGGTTTCTGTCAGGCCAGAGCCCTGACCCCTCAGCTAAGATGTTTCTTCTTTGTTCTAGATTCAGTCATATAAGCAGAGGCAGCAGGTACTAGGCCTCAGAGTAATAGTCCCTGAAGAAAATAAAGAGAAAGTCTGTCTGAGAAAAGCCAGTTGTGCCAGTTAAAGAATGACCTATGGCCACAATGCCTTACTGGAGGGTGCTTGGGAGCCCATGTCCTCATGTCTGTTGTATCGGGTTAGGGAGATCCTGGTGCATTTCAGTGGGGAGGGGGTTGCTGCTGGTCGTGTTTTCACTCCTTCTCTCTCCTTCCCCAGTGACCCCAAGACAAAATGCTGTTAGGTAAGTGGGGTCTGCTTAGCCCCACTAAGTTCCCCCATCCACCATTAGGAATCAGTGGTATTGTTATAGTCTACCAGGACCGACCTGGTGCTGCTCAGAACCAGGGGCTCAAGGCAGGGCCTCCCTTCATCTTCTTAAATTATTCTCTAGCAGCTCTGAGTCTCCCAAAGATTGGTCCTAGAGAAAAGACTATGTCATTTACTGCTTTTTCTGATGGTAAAAACATGCATATTTACTGCAGAAAATTTGAAAAATAGAGAAATGTGTAAAGAAGAAAACGTACAAAATAACTTTAGACTCAAAACCAATCTGATTAAATCAGGAAATCATTATTTATTGAGCACCTACTATGTGCCAGCCACTGTTGTTCTTGGTGCTGGGGACATAGCAGTGAAAAAAAAACAAAGTCCTCCCCTTCGTGGAGCCTATATTTCAGTAGGGACAGTCAGTACAGTACAGGAAGGGGCTGGGCTGATGGAACAGGATGCCTTTTTTGATAGGGTGGTCAGGACAAGAGGAAGCAAGGGATGCAGCTATTTGGGGAAGAGTGTTTCCAGCAGAAGGAAGAAGACCTGCCCAGGTGTCGGATAAGAGCCTGCTTGGTGCATTCAGGGATACGAAGGAGGCCAGCGTGGCTGAGATGAGGTAGGGGCAGCCGGGGTGAGAACAGGTGGGACTTGCCGGCCATGAAGAGGACCTTGGATTGCTGTTGAGTGAAATGGAAAGCCAAATGTAGGGTCTTGAACAGAAGAGGGACATGATGAGCCTTATGTTTTGAAATGATCATTCTGGACACCAGATGGAAAATAGACAGGGGCTGGGGGTGGGGTTGGCAAGGGGAGAAGCTTGGAAGCCATTTGGTTATTGCGAAAGTCACACAAAGCTGTGAAAGCAGAGCTGGCCTGGTTGAAGGAAGGGTGGAGGTGGGGGGAGGGCCGGCATTTCCTCCCACTGAGCCTCTGCCCTTCCCTTTTCCTGCTCTCTGAGGTTCCACCATGGGACCCCAGGGTACCTAGGATTACAATTTGAAAGCTATTGGACTAGAGGTTCTCTAAGGGCCCTTCCAGCTTTGCCTCCTGTGCTCTTGTGTTTCAGGACCATGCTGATTCTGTGGGACCAGGCCCGGGCTCTACCAGCCAGGCCTCTGAACATGTCAACTTGAGAACTGAACAGGTTCAGGGTCTAGGAAGGGGAGACATTTCAAAATTTTAATTAAAAAATATTTTTAACGTTTAAATTTTTGTAGAGACAGGGTCTTCCCATGTTGCCCAGGCTGGTCTCAAATTTCTGGGCTCAGGTGATCCTCCCGCCTTGGCCTCCCAAAATATTGGGATTACAGACATGAGCCATGAGATTTGGAAACTTAATTCAGCTCCCACATACTAAACGTGGCCAGCCCTGTGTGGGGATTGTAAGAGGGGATAAGTAAGAGGAAATGTCTGCTCCAAGAAACTCACTGGCTGGGATGGGAACTAGGGAATCACACAAATGGCCCAGCCCAAAGTCTGAGAGGCCCCGGCCCCTCCCTGCCTGGCCTTTTTTCCATGTGGCCCCTGAGCCAGTGGTTCCCAAACTGGGCAGGTCATGGGGTCATCGAGGAACTTCAGAATATGCAGATGCCCAGACTGTGCCCTCAAAGATTCAAATTCAGTTAGTCGAGGGTGGGTGGGGCCTGGGAATCTGTTCAGACAAAGGCCTGGCCTGAAGCCTGGGCTGGAGGGTTCAGTCCAGACAGAAGAACAGAGACTGATGAGAGGGCTTCTGCCAGCTTCACCAAGCCCGTGCTAGGCAGGATGTGGAAATCAAGCCTGTCTTCCAGTGGGGCACGGGGGTGGGGAGCTGGAGGAGGGGGTGGCAGCTCCTTTATCAGCTGTCCCCATCAGAGGCCCTTCTCCCAGGAAGGAATGTTTAAAAAACTCCCAGGAAGGAATTGCTGGGTTTGGAGACTATGAGAATTCCCCATCTCCCCCAATCTCCTCAGCCACCTCAAATCAACCAGCCCGTCTCCCCATGTTTGGGTTAACTCCTTATTGGCTCGGAATGTCTCGCCTGGGTTGACTACTGATCTGTGAGATCGCTTAGTGGCCTGAAATATTTCCAGAATACAAGCAACACTGACAAAAATATTCTTGTAGGGCCCCACAAATCTCACTGAGAAAGAACCCCTACAGGTGGAGAGGAGTGTGGGGTATGCAGACTGGAAGGTGGGACCCTGATTCATTCCAGAACTGGAAGGAAATCAGACATTTCCAAACAGGAGAGAGATGGGAAGCCGGAGGAAGGAGCAGGAGGAGGGAAGAGAATGAATCTTATGTGAATGAATGGTAATTTTCTCTCAGTTACTGGGAAGAAAAAAAAATAACAAAATCAGACCTTGGTCTGGTCCACTAAAAAGAATTCTCTGAGTCAGACTTCTTTCATGGAAGTTGTGAACTTTATCCTCTGGCAGCCATTTATCTAATATTAAACCCCTTAACCTTCCTAATTGTTCTCTTTCAGTATCAGCTGGTTTCATATTAACCTTTCAGTCTTTCCCATAATGCAGTTACCTCCAACTCCCGCCAGACCCAATTCAGAGCTGCCATCAGGTCAGACCTTTGCCTGCTCTTGGCAACACGTCCCCCTGTCCTGCTCCTCTGCAACCTGCCCCTCTTTTTCTTCATGTGCTGTGAAGGCACCATGTGGATGGGTGTTCAACTTCTGGATTGGGGATGCACAGAGCCTGAGGGACACACTTTGCAAACCTGCACCTTGCACTTTTGGGTTCTGGCCTGCAAGGTCTCCTTTATTCTTTTGGACCAAGGCTGTCCCTGGGAGAGGGCAGCCGCCGGCCTGTCAGAGCAAATCAGCCTCAGGCGGTTTCTGCGGCTCTGGTATTTGAGCTTTGTTTTCCCTCTCTCCCGGGAAGAACTCATTGAAATAGTTTCTCTGGGAAAGACAAAGCGTCTCGCCCAGATGCTGAAGGATCACTTGGTAACTGCCTGTCTTGGTTTCCCGTTGTGCCCATGAAGGCGCCATCAGCTCTAAAGCTGACCTGTGGTTCCGTCTCCAAACAGCTAACCCAGACGTCACCCCCTTGCAGCCAGCCGCACAGCCTGAGTTGGAGTTCTGGCCTCTCCTAGCAGTGAGTGACAGTGTTGGAGGGGCCTTGGACACCTTGGGTAATTGCTAACTAAATATGAGCAGTAGGGGAAGGTCTTCTGGTCCACGGCAGAGCCAACGGGGCACTTCCTCTTCTCTTTTCTAGTCAGGGTAGAAAGCTAGAAAGAATCCTAAAAATCACTATCCAAGTCCCCATTGTGTGGGGACAGAGGCCTGGCCTGAAGCCTAGGCTGGAGGGTTCAGTCGGAAGCAGAAGCCGGGAGACTGCATGAGAGGGTTCCTTCCAGCTTCACCAAGCCCGTGCTGCGCGGGATGAAGAAAGTCAAGCCTGTCTTCCAGTGGGGCCCTGAGGTGGGGGAGCTGGAGGATAGGGTGGCAGCTTTTTTATCAGCTGTCCCCAAAAGAGGCCCTTCTCCCAGTTGCCACGGACCAAAGCTCCTCCTGGGAGCTCCAGCCTGTCTGTTCAATGTTTGCCTTGCGCCTTTTCCTGGTGAGGCCACCCCCGGCACCATCTCAGGCCTCAGAAGGACGACCTCACTGAAACAGCCCTTAGGTTGGGAAAGAAGCAAGCCCTCCGCGCCCCGTCCAAGTCTCTCAACTGGGCACGAGCACACACAGACGCCCAGGCCCTGTCCCTGCGCCAGAATGGCCGCTCGCGTTTCCAGGCACGATGCCCCTTTCCATGAGTGCACAGAGCCCTGGGCTGAGCTGGGGGCCGAGCTCCACGCTCTCTGAGCAGCTCTGAGCGGCACGCCAAAGAAGGTCTTTCAGATGGGCTCTGGGATGTGGAACCATGGCGTCCAGCCCTAGCGTCGACTCCACACTAGAGGCACCCTGACTTTCGCCCCCTTCTTACCTGAGTATCAGCTTACTTCCATCTGGGGACTGAATATGGGGCAGATTCCAGAAAAAGGAGGTTGGGGCACCAAAACCAACACCAACTCTGCCAACGGAGCCAGCACAGCTATTTGTCTCCAACCACAGGCCGCAAGGGAAGTTCACGGGCTCGGCACCCCCAGGTCCCGGATGTAAGGATATTGCCCGTTAGACAAAGGAAAGGCCCCAAGTCCACAACTCATGTTTGTGAGCTTAACCTTGTCCTATAAAGCACTTTGGAACAGGCCCAGGTTCTCCCACCATGTACAGCTGCCATTGACCTGGACAGTCCCGCAAGGTCCTTCAGTGGAAACCCAGAAGGGAGAGTCACTGCATGTGAACCCTAAGGGTTCTGGAGGTCAAAGTTGCTGTGGGTGACAGGCAACCAAGACTAAGGGCAAACTTGAAACATAAATGAGTTAAAACCCACAAAAATAAGACAGTTTTAAATAACTAAACTGTTTTCTCATTCTTCCTTTTTCATCTGAGGACGTTTTAGGCAAATGAAGCTTTAGAGTTTTTCTCCTTTCATTGGGTTGACAGTGTTTAAAATTATATCCAGAGCTGTCTAATTTGCCTATTGCTCTAGGCATACTGATCCTCAGGAGGTAAGATTGGATGGGTTAAAGTGGACAGGCTCAGGGGCTGAGACTGTCCATCTCTCTGAGAGTCGGGGGCAGCATTTATCAGGGGCCTGTGGTCAGCCAAGCTTGGCTTGGGCTCTGTGGGAAGATAAAACCAACTGGCCCAGATGGACTTCTGTGGGGCCTGGATACTGTTGGGAAGATAAAGCACATAAGCCCGGTAAGAAAAAAAAAAAAAAAAAAAAAAAAAAGCCCAGGAGAAGGAATGCAAGTGATTCCAATGCAATTGAATTAAGTACAAACTCACTAGGAATGGGGGGGGGGGTTTGATTGGCGAAGGGGTTAGTCAGGGGTGGTTAACCACAGAAGATTGAGGAGGTGAACTTTAAGTTGGACTTGGAGGTAGAAGAGAGAAGTTAGGGGAAGCATTTGTTTTATATTTGGGTGGGGTGCGTGGGAGTGTGGATAAGTGAAGTGTCACACACACACACACACACAACTTTGAGTAGGAAGAGGGTCAAGATGACCAGGTTGGCCTAGACAAGTCAGTACTAGCTTAAAAAGTCACACTCAGGATTCCTGCAGCACCTCCCCCATACCCACCCCCACCCCAATGGGCACAGCACTCCCTCTTCTCTCCAACGCAGGCCTCCTGTCTGGGGTGCTATGATCATTTCCATAGCAACCAATTGCTCTGTGACAGAGACATAATTCTGACTCCAGGTAGGTTATGAACAGAAGAAACATATGAAACCAGTAAGTGACAGAGATCTAGTTTTCCAGTAAGTGCCCTGCTAATAAAGAAGAGAAAATGCACAAACTAAAAGATAAATGGAACAGGAATGAGCAAATGCTAAATTTTCTATGAGGCATCAGCTGTTTGTTTGCTAAAAACAATAGCAACCTAATAGTTTCAACAAGAATGGTGCTGGCAAGGACAGCTCAGAACAGCCTCTGTCAGTCTGCAGAGTAGGGGCGATGGCAGAGCCCGGGTATGCACAGTGTCAGGGTTGTGAGGCAGAAAGATGCCTTAAACGCATCACCTCAATCCTGCACACATCCCTAGTGCCTTTATTGGAAAAGCTGCACTGCTGCTGCTGTGAATCCAGCATGACCTCGCCTTCATTCATTCATTCACTTATACATGCATGCATGCATGCATATATTCAAGAACTCATCAGTGCTAGGTAGGTTACTAATTAGAAATAATTGGGAGAAAAGTCTGAATTACTAGGTATTTTAGAAGCAAAGCTTTCTTACTCTGAAAGCATGGCTGAGATGGTGCCTTCAGCAGGGACTCAGAGAGTCTGATCCAGTCTGGGTCTGCCACTCACACTCTGTATAACCTTGTGCAAGCCACTTACCAGTCTTGGTCTTCATCTTGTAGATGAGGTGATTGGTGATCTATGTGATGCTTCCAGATCTGTCTAGTTCAGAGGCCTGCTTTAAGTGTCTAAACGGTTAATGTCAGAGTGAGTTGATGTGTTCGGTATTTTCATAGAGCAGAACCAAGACTGTTTACTCATTTACCATTTATTTCCACCTTCTGTTGATATTGATTGACCACTTACTATGTGACAGTCACAGATCTAGGCATCAGAAATAAAGGTAAGACGTGATGGTGGCTTCAGGGCCCTCATGGCCAGGTTGGGGGACAGGCAGGCCCAGGCTCAGACCCATAGGGCACAAGCTGGTCTCCAAGTGTGGACAGAGCTCATCAGGTGTGGGGAAGGGCACCTCCACCTGTGGTCAAGAGCTCTCTCCACACCCTGGATGGGGCTGGAAGGAAAGGCAGGAGGCAGACTCAGAGAGGAGGAGCTGCATGGAGAGGGGGTGCTGAGGAAGCCCCACATGACCCAGGAATCTTGCGGGGAGCGGAGAGTAGAGAGATGCAGACAGGCCATGCCAAGGCCCGTGCTCTGACATCATGGTCATCCTTCTCAAAGATCTGGAGATTAACAGACCACATAGAAGAAGGGGCAATAAGTTAAGGAGAAAGAAAATAAGCAGAATCCCAGGAGAGAAGAGCATAAGGTCTGGGCTTTGTGCAGGCATATTTGCCTCCAGGGGAGATACCAGTTGCTGCCTAGTGCTGTCATCACTAAGGCCTGGGGTGAGGCTAAGAGGTGGACACCTGGGGAGGAGCTGGGAGTGAGTGCCCAGACTGGGAAAAGACTAAGGGAACATACTAGGCTGCCAGAAAGCCTGGAGCTTTCTGAACTCACCTGAACCTTCTGAGCTTTGGGCAGGGTGCTTTAGTCTGCCCTAAAACCGGCAGAGGGCTTAACGCATGGTTTCAGTGCAGAGCAATGTCCATCTTCTCTAAAACACCCAGAAAGATTTGGTGAGTGAATTACAGACTGTGGTGCTAAGGGGAGTCTTAGCCAAAGAGACAACTACTTGCCTTTGAGTTTTCCATGCTTGTCTACTTAACAGAATCATGAGGACTCCCATATCCTCTCCTAAAAATTAACCAGTTAATTATTCAACACGCATTTTGCAGCAGCTAGTTGGTATTATTCGTTATGCTACAAATTCTCAGGGCTCAACAGAGGCATTGTTCATGTCCTTGAGGAGTTTATAGTACAGCTGGGAGTTTGCGTATGCAAGTGAAAGTTTATATGCACTAAGTTATATCTATTAAGGGCTAAACCAGGAGTGCAAGCAGAGAGGATTACAGAGGTAGAAGAGAGAGAGCGCGTGTGAGACTGTACATAGTCTCTTGGGACGGGCTGATCAGGAAGTCTTCATGGAGAAGGTGGAATTTGTGTGGGTTTTGAGGACAGCTAGATGGAAAGAGGTCAGAACAGAGATGTGTTTGGGAGAGACAATGCTCTGCAGTAGCATTTAGCAGCTGCTACTTGTCTGAGAGGAAACCTGGGCACTAGCATGGAAAGAGGACATTTTCTGACATTGGAAATACACTTCAATGTCAACCTCGATCCAAGTTTGAATCCTGTGTCTGCCACTTAGTAGCAGATAGGCCTGGGCAAATTCCTTAACTTGCCTTATCTAAATTGCCCCATTTATACATTGAGAGTGGGGATAATGTTGATCTCAAAAAGCTATTGGGAGGATAGAATTAATGTGACAACAGGTAAAACACTTCCAGGAATACTTATCCCTTCTCCCTTTCCTGGCCCATCAGGAAAGCTGCATTTAAGACCAAAAGGAATAATTATTCCAGAAGTCCTCTGAGTGCCCTTGTAGAAGTAGATAAACAGATTGATCAGTGAGAAAAAAAATATGTTCTCATCCAGCCTGTGGGGTGAGTTAACCATGCATGCTTTTCTCCGGATGTTTGACTTCCTGAATCTTTCCTGAACAATGCCATCTCTGTCCTGGCACCCCTGGCAAGCAGTCCCATGTGAGACAGGTTCTTGTCACATGTCCTTTTCCTGAAATGAGTCACTAGAGAGTGGGCTGTAGTCATAACCTTCACCAGTTAAGGGAGGTGAATGTGGATTGGAATGAACACAAACACGGTACTACTTGGTGCTTAATGTTCCTTTCCATCAACATTTTGCCCCAGGCCTTAACCTTGCAACTCAAAAAAGTAGGGTCGCATAATGAATGGGATAAACTGAATGACCGCTTGTAATCCACAAACAAAGGGCCTTTCAACAGCCTATGGTCGGAGGCCTTATCTATTCCAATCAAATCTAGCCAGTTGCAAACTGGAGAAAAAAATGGGTGATCCCAGTGAGAATTAGTCCCAGAAGAAAATTGAAAAAGACATTTTGTTACCTCCTCAGGAAAAGTGATAATGAGCAGAGAAGGGAAAAATCTAAATAACTGATGCAAAGACAAAGAACTGAAACTGAGAGAATTGGATGCATGTCTTCCCCCTTTAGTTGTATAAGCATAAACTGGTTTTATGACGGCAAGCATAAAATTAAGATCAGCAGTGCACAAATCTCTGTGTAACCTTCAAGACCTTTTATTTCCCCAAATTAGAAGTGACCTTAAGAACTGATGGTGTCTTCACCCTGGGCAGCTATGGTGGTGGAGCAGAAAATAGTAGACTGGGATTGGGACAGGCTAAGTCCCACCCTTCACCCTGGCTGGGTGACCTTGGGCATACTCACCCTTGCTTTTCTGGGACTGAGGGTCTTCATCTGAGAAATGAATCATTTTTCTTGATAATTTACAGTTTTCTTTCAAATCCCTCCACACCCCCACCCCCACCAAGGTTTTTATTTTTATGGCAACTCAGATCTTGAACCTTAAAAAAAAAAATAAAGTAGAGAGGACAGCAATCCTTACCAGTGTCACTCTATCACCCTATACAGCTCCTCAAACACAAGCCCAGAAGGGGCTTCATTTTGGTGGAAGTCCTGGGCCTACATTTGTATATTTAAGTGGAACCCGAATACTTGCTCCCAGAGTGGTGTCAGTGGTCACCCCAACTTTCCAAATTCTGGCAGGCACAGCAGGTCATTCTGTGAGCTGTTCTCATTCACATCCTATTTCCAACTGGTTCTGTTCCACGGAGCCCCAGCTGTACTCTGCAATTCAGTTCTACCAACGCTCATTGCATGTTGCTGATATGGCAGGCACTAATGTGAGATGCTGTGAGCAAGCAAGCATAGCCCAGCCCCACTCTAGTAGGGAACACAGAAATACTTGTAATGTGAGCCGAATGGAAGCATAATGCCCTGTGGCAACACTTAGGAGGGTGACGGTCATTCTAGCTTGGGCAAAGCTTCATGGGGGAGGAGGCCTTTGTCCTGAGCTTTGTGAGATGGGTAGGATTTAGGCAGGCTGAGACAAAGGAAGAGCATGCCAAGCAGAAAGAAGAGCAGGAAGGAAGGCATGGAGGCAGAAGTGTTCAAGTCATATTTAAGGAGTGGCACTTGCTGGATCTCCAAGTGTCTTCAGAGTGATGAGCTTAGGAATTCAGGGAAAGGCCTTGTCATAGAAAGCCTTCAGGATTCTAAGGAATTTAGACTTTAGGGCAGAAAATGGGAAACCATGGACATTCTTGAGCAGGGATATATCATGGTGGGACTTGTGCCTCAGGAAGAGCAATCCATCAGCAGAAAGGCTTGGAGAGTGAGTAGAGGCAGAAGAACAATGAGGGCATTATTGCAAAAGTCCAGACCAGTGGTCACGGAGGTCTGAAGTTTAGTGATGAGACCAAAATTGGAAAGGAGGGAACTTTGGACAGGTGCTGTAGCAGCAACAGAATGGAGGCTCTGGGGCTTATGGGGTATGGGGATTAAATTCACACTGAGGCAGGAGAGTGTTGAGAGGGAATCCAGCCATCTTCTCTTCCTGGGCTCACAGGGTGGTTTATCCTGGGGGTTGTTGTGCAGCAGTTCTCTGATGTCAAAAATGAGCAGGCTTAGGGAAATTGATCTACTTTGGTAGAGATTGTGGGCTGTCCACCAATATCTAGCTACCTTACTTTATTAAAAATAGAATCCTTAATTTTTAGCTAGGCAAATGCCTCCTACCCCTAGTTGGAATAAAGACATTTTTCAGTTTTCTTGCATCAGAATGGGTTTGCATGAGTACACCTGGGCAGTGATTTGTCAGACTTTGGGAAAATATGATTTTTTTGTTGGCAAGAAAGCAGCCTGGATGGAGCTCCAGTGACCATCTTAAACCACTAGACAAAAACTCATGTTGAAGATAATGGAGCTATAAGATAGTGACTGATGATGACTGTAGAGTTGCCATACTTGTCCCAGGCTGCCAACATCTGGATTTCATTGACATGGGAGAGAAATAAATGTACATTTTATTTATGCTACTGTTTTGTCTGTTTTATGCAACCAAATCTAACCTAATCTTTGTCCATATAACAAAAGTCAAAAGAGTATAATGCAAACTCATTTATAACTTTTTAACAATGGAAATATATGTATCTCATCTAAGGACACATCTTCCAAGGATTTTAGCACCCAAGAAGCCAAAGTATTCATTCAAAGATTGAGGGGTGACCAGAGTCTTGGATGGGGCAAGTCCATCAGGTCAGTTCTTGGGCTTTAGTCCATCAGGCTCTATAGAAACTTCACCAACTCTCTTTACTGCACAACCAAGCCCTCCACTCTCATGAGAGGGGAGCTCATGTCCTCTAAGCCCCATGTCTCTTTCCACTGAAAGAGCACTGCTCTCAGATTCCCATTTTCCCCAATTCTATTCAATTTGTGTCTTGTTAACATAATCTTCCTTTAAATCAGATGCAATACAACTGAGGATGACTCAGGTCTTGGAGTTGGAATCGGATCTGAGTCCTGCCCTTTCTATACTTGACCTCTTAACTGGCCAGTGACTCATTTACACAAAATATTTTGGGTTGGTTTGGCAAGTGTTCACTGCTTAGATACTTTACATTCAGGATGTACTTTATCATATTAAGAGTATAGGGGATACATTTTCTTACATACTAACTGTAGGGGACAAGTACAAATGAATAGCCCAAACCGAGGCTGATGTTAAAGGTTAGCTGCCGGGGAGGATGGAAGAACCAGTCTTCATTCCCCAACCCTGTAAAAGACATCTAGAGGTGAAACTGGTTTTACCAGGAAGATGTCAAGATCAGTTTAAGCCTGCTGAAGTGGAGGTTCTAATCAATATCTGATAATATCTAAGATGTATTGAGCACTTGCTTTCTGCCTGGCAATGTTCTAAGCACTTAGATTCATCAAACGCATCACCTCACAACTACATGAGGCAACTACTCCCAATACCCCCACTTGCAGACAGGGAAACTGGAAGCTAGAGATGAAGCAATTTGACCAGCATCATTCAGTTAGCAAGTAGAAGAGCTGCTACTTGAATCCATGTGTTTCTCATCGCAGAGCCCTTAACTATTACCTTAGTTGTTCTTAGGGAGCTTAACAAAATTTCCTTCCTCACAATCTCCCTCTTATCAGAATGTATTTCTTCTCTATGATGCCAATTCCATACTTGATGCTTTATCTGAGAAACCTTTACAAACAGGCTGGTACTTGCCCCTTCTCAGGTGACAACATTTTAAGTTTGATAGAGGTTTTGCAAAGGTGTACTGATAAATCCACTGGAGGAAGAGTTACGGGTGGAGAAAACTCTTAATCTGTAGCCTTTGCCAATTTCCATGGTGTAAATACTCCCACCATGACCAGTGCAGCTGGTAAATTTCCTGAATATTTGATGATTGCCTCCTGCCCAGCAGCTCCAGCACACCACTGGGCCGAGGGTTCTATTATAGCTAAGAGTGCCCACGCTGGCTGGGAATTCTGGGAATCCATGGCCAGCCTGAGAGAGTTCTGGCATGAGAGAGCCTTGCAGTCCCCTTCAAGGCATACCTGTTAGGGGGGTCCCCAGCTTCTTTTCTTCAGCTATCTGGCCCAGGGCATGCTGGGAGGTGGTGCTGTGGCCCACAGAGAGGCTACAGACCTGGGCTCATGGCCCAGTCTCCCTCCTGAGGCTCCAGCTCCCCTTCTGGAAGCAGCGCTGTGACCAGCAGGTGGCAGCACTCTCACGTTCAAGAGTCTGTGCCTCAGCAAAATGAGGGGCCTTTGTTCTGAGCCAGAGGCTGTGTCACCAAGAGAAAGGCCCTGAGGGGCCAGCTAATCAGCCTGTCCTTAGCTGACCTCCATCAATGTGAGCCAAGTGGACAGTCTCTGGCAGCGTGATACCATGAGAACAACCTTAGCAAACAGCAGAGACAGCACAGTCTCAACCCACCCCTGCCCATCCTGAGGGCTTGGCCTGGGGAGGCCTCATAAAAACAGGTGGGGCTCCATTCAGGAAGGGAGGTAAATGCCAAGAGTGGCGCTTCCAGTGCTAAGGAGGAAAAGACTCCTGCTTGCTCCCACCACCAGCTATGCTGTGGTGCCGCCTTCCTTCTCTGCTGACTCCATGGGTGCTCAGTTCCCACCAGGTGACCAGCTGTTCCAGCTTGCCCAGGACTGTCCTGGTTTTAGTACTGAAAGTCTCAGGTCCTGGGAAACCCCCTGTCCCCAGACAGCAGGCCAGCTGGCCATCTGAACTCCCAGTCCCTGTCCATGTGCAACGCCTGCCTAGCACACAGTAAGCACTTTCGAAGGCGTTGCTGTTGCAGGAGAAGGCAAAGCAGAATTCAGGTGGGACTATAAGAGCTGACTGACCCCGATAGACAGGTTGGTTAGTTAGTTAATTGGTATTGATTGATTGATTTAATTTATTTAGAGGCAGGGTCTCACTCTGTCACCCAGGCTAGAGTGCAGTGTCACGATCATGGCTTGCTGTAGCCTTGACCTCCTGGGCTCAAGAGATCCTCAAACCTCAGCCTCCAAGTAGCTAGTACCACAGGCACATGCCACCATGCCTGCCAATTAAAAAAAAAATTTTGTAGAGATGGGGTCTCGCTATCTTGCCCAGGCTGGTTTTGAACTCCTGAGCTCAACTGATCCTCTTACCTTGGCCTCCCCAAAGTGCTAGGATTATGGGTGTAAGCCAACACACCCTGGCCTCATTCCATTGGTAAAAGCTGCTCCCTTTGCTTTCGGTCAGAGGTAGGAGCCAGAATGTGTGAGGGGAAATCCTCAAAACAGTCCGTTTCTTCTCCAGCTCACCTTGTATCTTTGACCTCCCTCCCTCTTCCTTCCCTCTCATGCTCGCCCGCCTGCCTCAACAATCTCACCCTCCCCAGAGTCCAGAGGCAGAGAACTCCGTGTTCCAAGGAAGGGTGGAGCCTCTTAGAGTGGGCAGGTGGCAGGGCTGGTAAACAGGACAGGCCAGAGGAGGGGTTGAGGCAGGCCAGGAGGCGCTTCAGCCACCTAGACATGGAGCAGCGGGATTTAGGCAGCCCAAAGAATCTGTGCGAGGTTTCCTGGAGCCCTCCCCCTCCTGCCCCCACATCCAAGCAGGGATGTGCACATTCCTCTTTCCTCCTCTAGCTCAATGTGCTGTGGCTTATCTGCTCACGTCACTGTTGACCCCTCCAGATGGTTCACTTGGACTCCCAGTGCCTAGCTTGGGGAGTCAGGCACGGCAAACGCCACCCTGTGCTATGGCTTGAAGGAGGCCAGCAAGCTTTGCTTAAGCCAAGGCATGTGTGAGAAACTTGCAAATCCTTCTTCCCTGCTCTGGACATGGGGAGAAAAGGCAGACTTCTTGCCATGGCCCTCAGGTTCTGCACAGACCGGCCCTTGTCAATTCTCCAGGCTTATCTTGTGCTGTGTTTCCCAGCACTCAGTGTGGCCATCATCCTGGCCTTCTGCCAGGCCCTGCTAATGCCATGCTCACTCCTGCCTCAGAGTCTTCACTCAGGCTGTTCTCTCTGTCTGGTCAAGAATAGCAGGCAGGGTCTGGTTTAGACATGGTCGTCCAAGAAGCCACTGTGAGCAGGGGAAAGTGAAGCTTTGATCTGGAGGATGTGAAGGGTCATGGTGTCCACCTGGGGAGGAGGTCTGCTCTGACAAGCACACTCCCTGTGGTGGCACCAGCTCTCTGTCACCCTGTTAGGAAGGAGTTAATGGGCATTTCCAAAGGCAAACTTCTCATGGGCTTTCTGTTTTAAATTTTCTATATAACTGACCACTCCTCATATCAAACTATCATACTCAGCGGGTTTGTATTTTCATTCCACTGGTGACAAATTAATGCAGGCATAGCCCTATTCTGGATAAAAATTGACCATCTCAGTGAAATCCTGCTGACTCCTGTCTCCCAGCCAGCACTTGGATTTGGTGGAGCCTGCATTAACCCCAGGGTCTCAATAGAGATTCTTAGGTCTTGGAGATTTCTACTAAAAGGCCCACTCTTCCACCTTACAGAATATAGGTCAGAAGTTTGGGCTACTTCAGCTGCCAGATCATAGTAAATAAATATTGAGTTTATTGAAGAAATACTGATTTTATGACATAGAGTTTGCCAAGTAAGCCAAATCCTAGATACAGTGCACAGCAACTCTGGTTATTAAGATATAGATGGAAACCCAGGCTGGCAACTATAGTCCCAGCTACTCAGGAGGCTGAGGCAGGAAAATTGCTTGAACCCAGGAGTTCAAGACCAGTCTGAGCAACACAGCAAGACCCCATCTCTAAAAAACAAAACAGTTCAAAGCTTTGAGGAGGTGGTGAAAGCCTTTATTGGTGTTAAATACTCCATCTCAAGAGCTATAGAAAGATCTTAACTCTTCCAGAGAGGCCATAGCCTCTGTGTAAAGCACACTGTGTAAGCTCCATGAAGGACACCCAGGAGGCACGCATGCCCAGAGAGGAGCGGCACCTGCTCCTCCCCTACCCTGGAAAGAGCCAGGCCATGATTCCTGTGGAAAGTGCTGCACCTCACCCAGCTGTGAGCAACCTCTTCCTGGGTCCTTGGGGGTGGGGAAACCAAATCCCTGGGTTTGAGTAGTATTTGGTCTTTTCCAAGAGCCTGTGTCTATGTCTGCTTGCTTTTTGGGTTAGCTCCAGCCAATCCCTGTTATCTTTCACAGAGGAAGAAGTATCCAGCTGTTGGGGAAAGTCCCAGGATCTGGGGCCCCGGGCCAGTTACAGGGATGTTGGGTTATGGCTGCTCTTTTCTTTCACCTATTTGTCTAGAAATGCAAACTATTCAGGTTGCCCATAGCAAAGAGGCCAAGGTTGGGAAGCTAAGGCATGGATGTGGTGAAGGAGAGTTGGAGGAAAAGGCTCAAAGAACCTCTGTTGGTTTTTGGGGGGTGTGACTTCAATCTTGTTCCTTCATTCCTACGTGGCCGAAGAGTCCCCTTGAGTGACCTCACCTTCACCCAACCCCCACCCAACCTGCTTATTCACCTACACTGACACCTGCCCTTCAGTAAGAAGCCCCACCCTCCCCAGAACACAAAGTTCTCCCTAGAGTCTGGGAGGAAGATCTGGGGTGTGAAGGGATGAGGGGAGGGCAGTCAGGGCTGGAAGTGAGAGGAAGAAAGGGATGGTTTTATTGCTCCTCTCTCGTACTCTGGCTCCTGCCAGAGCTAAGGTAGCAGGTTTTAAAAATGAAATGAAAGCAGCTCTTGCTTGTTAGAGTTGGTCATCCTCTGTAGGCCCCTTTGACTCGCCTCTCTCCTTCAATAACACCAACTCCTGCGGCAACATTTATTGTGTGCTCACGGGGGCCAGGCATTTTGTGAGGCTCGGGGCTGGGAGTTGATGCTGTGTTGGGGTCAACAGTCAAGGGGACAGCTAAATTCCAGCACAGTGAGGTTTGGGCCACAGTGAGTGGTGGAAATATAAAAGCTCCCCTCTGAGAATTGGAAAGCATCATATTTTTAAACAACTGTTGCTGGAGTTTACCTTCCTTCTTAAAGGAACCCCAGCTGCCTGTTCCCATGATGCCACTGCTGGAGTCTCAGCCCTGAGGTTGGGCAAGCCGGGGGTTGAGACTGTACCTTCTCTGTTTACTGAAGGTGTTCCTGTCTATCTTACTGCCTATGCACTGTGGTCCCCACAGCTGAAAGTCAGTAGGCAGAACAGCTGGCCCGGTAGGACCCATTTCTTCAATGAAACAGCCTATGGCCCAGACAAAAGCCCCTGCATGGGTGGGTGGAGGCTAGGATGCTCTGGTGAGCCCCTTGGACGCCATTCCTGTAGTGGTCACATTGGAATCAAGTCCATTCACCGATGGTCTTAATGTGGACAGAAAATTGAATTTATTAATGGTAGATGTAAAAATATAATCAAACATTTCCATCCATATCATTGAGTCCTATCCAACAATAAAAAGGAATAAACTATTGATACATGCAACAACGTGGGTGGATCTCGAGGCAGTTATGTGGTGAACAAAGCCTATCTCAAAAGGTTACATACTGTATGACTTCATTTTGTAACATTTTTTAAGTGAAACAATTATAGAGATGAGGCACAGGTTAGTTGTCAGGAAGGAGCAAGTGTGGCCACAGAGGACAGCACAAAGAGTGGCTTGTGATGAAACAGCGCCACACAGGTGATAAAATTGCATAGAGCTACACACACACACACACACATACACACGCACACACGCGCACACACACGAGTACTTGTGAAGTCTGAATGAGTCTGGGTTGTACCAATGTCAGTTCCCTGGTTTTGATAATGTATTATAGTCATGCAAGCTGTTACACTGGATTGGCCTAGTGAAGTGTCTGTGGGACTTTCTTGTCAATTTTTGATTGTGGTAAAATATACATAACATAAAATGTACCATTGTAACTATTTTTACAGGCGCAGTTTGTTGGCTTTAAATATATTCACATTATTATGCAACAAACACCACCATCCATCTCCAGAGGACTTTTTATATCTTCCCATACTGAAAGTTCATACCAATGAAACAACTCCTCATTCCCCTCACCTCCCAGCCCCTGACAGACACCATTCAAATTTTCGTCTCTTTGAATTTGACTACTCGTATAAGTGCCTCATCTAAGTGGAATCACAGAGTTTTTATCTTTGTGTAACTGGCTTATTTCTCTTAGCATAGTGTCTTCAGGGTTCATCCATGTCATAGAAACATATCAGAATTTCCTTCCTTTTTAAGGCTGAATACTATTCCATTATCTGTATGTATAGTAGCCCATCCCTGCTTATCCACAATTTTACTTTCCTTAGTTTCAATTACCCACAGTCAACAGCAATACAAAAATATTAAATGAAAAATTCCAGAAATAAACAATTCATACCTTTTGAACTGTGAGTAGTTCTGAGAGGTATAATAAAATCTTGCTGAATCCTGCTAAGGGCATGAACCCTCCCTTTGCCCATCGTGTCCACTCTGTCTACACTCTCCACCCAGTAGTGACTTAATAGCCATCTTTGTTGCCAGGTTGTCTGCCCCAGTATCGCAGTGCTTGTGTTCAAGTAACCCTTATTTTACTTAATAATGGCCCCAAAGCACAAGTGTAGTGATGCTGGCAACTCAAATATACCAAAGAGAAACCATAAAGTGCTTCCTTTAAGTGAAAAGGTGAAAATTCTCGGCTTCAGGAAAGAAAAAAAATGATATGCTGAGGCTGCTAAGATCTATAGTTAGGAATGAATCTTCTATCTGTGAAATTGTGAAGGGAAAAAAGAAATTCGTGCTAGTTTTGCTGTCACACCTCAAACCGCAAGTTACGACCACAATACTGGTAAGTGTTTAGTTAAGCTGGAAAAGGCGTTAAATTGTAGGTGGAATATGTGAACAGAAATGTGTTCCCACTGACAGCAGTTGGGTTCGGTACTATCCACAGTTTCAGGTATCCACTGGGGGATCCTGGAATGTATCCCCCCAGGATAAGGGGGGACCACTGTACCACATTTATCCATTTATCCATCGATGGACATTTGAGTTGTTTCCACCTTTTAGCAACCTTCTGTGGATTTATAATTCTTTGAAAATAAAATGTTAAAAAATACAATCAGAAATGAAATCTATGAATTGGCTCACTCTTTCACCTACTGAGTATGTAAACTAGTGTTTGTTGTTGACCTGTTGACTTTTGTACAGTTCCCATCACAGAGACGATTTAAGCTTGGTAGGCCATATAGAACCTGATTTTTTCTTTCCTGCTTTTAAAGAAGCAACACGTATGATTGTTCAGAGGATAGTATGTGATATTCAGTGAGCTTTAATTAACCTGGCCCATGACACTATATACATGCTTAGATCAAGAAATAAGAAAGGAAATTCAGAGGTCTCTTGCACTGACAGGTGATTTCAGGAGAGACAATGACATTAACATTGAGCCAGCTCCTGACTATACAGAATATGAAGCCATTCTTTTTTTTTTTTTGAGATGGAGTCTCACTCTGTCACCAGGCTGCAGTGCAATGGCGCGATCTTGGCTCACTGCAACCTCTGCCTCCTGGGTTCAAGTGATTCTCCTGCCTCAGCCTCCCGAGTAGCTGGGACTACAGGCGTGTGCCACTATGCCTGACTAATTTTTGTACTTTTAGAAGAGACGGGGTTTCACCATGTTGGCCAGGATTTCTAATGCAACCAGGTAAAAGTAATTAGCAGGAGAGGGGAATGCTTGGCTTTGGAGGACTCATTTGCATTGCAAAGTATTTCCCATTGGTGGCTTGGCCAGGCATTCCTTTGTCCAGCCGTGTAATGGTCTCAAGACTGCGGAGCATGTTCACGCACAGCATGGACACCACTTCATGTAGGGGCACTGGACTGCCTAGAGTTGGAGGAAGGGACCCTGTGAGTAAGCATGACCTCATCCTGGGAGCTGCATGGCGGTGGGCCTGCAGGTGGGGAGGAGAGGGTGGGCGCTCACAGGGCAAGACAGAGGCTCAGCAAACAGAATGTGTATTGTGGCTGACGCCATTGTCATCTTTCCAAACTTGTTTCTGAAAGGCATCACATGGAGAGGGGATGCTGACAGGGATGACACAGTCCCAGCTCCAGAAACACCGTCAGCTGAACCCAGGGTTTTTTCATTTTTGTGTTTTCTCATGGAGGTTTAGGGGCTTAGTAAACCCCTTTATGTGTATTTTTTTTCTAGGGATAAACCCCATACCTTTCCTCAAATCTTCAAGGTCCATGACCTCCCGACATGTAGAACCTTATGCTAATAACTGCTCCTGGGAGACCTCTCCTCAGGAACTGACTTGACCCACCTTCCTACCAATGTGGCAGGAGGAAGTCCCTAAATGTGCTCGAGCCTGTTTGATCCAACCCCTGTGGGAGTCCGTGTTCCTCTCTCCCCACTTTGCCCTGTCCTTCCCTTGTTCTTCTCTTCCTTCCCTGTCCTTCTTTGGCTTTGCTACCTCTCTTCCCTTCCCATTGTTTTTCCTCCCCCCTCCTAGGTTCTCACATCGCTTTCCTGTTTCCCTCTCCTGCAATATGGATTTGACATATTAATCATTACAGCAACTGCTAAAATTCCACTGTGCTTCATTAATCCGGAGGAAAATACCATGTCAGCTGGTAAGTGCTGTAGGGTATGCTCATATGTTTTTCCTGGGGTCCATGGTAGTGGAAATTTCTCCATTTCTATGAGTAACAAAACAGGAGGCCATATGGAAGGCCACGGTGAGCACGGGTGGTGGATGGACACAGGGAGGGTGGGAATGTGGGTGGGCACCAGTCCCTGAAGGCATTAAGTCACCCATCACGGACCCTGACAGACCCTGGGCTGTTCAAGGACTCTAGTCAGAGAGGTTGAGTTGTAAAATCCTATTATGGTTGCCAAGACCAGAACAGTGTGACTTTAATAAGGTTAAAGTTTGGCATTTTTACAGCTTTCATTATGATAAGGTTTTCAGTCACATGACGGGGAAAGAGCTAGAGAGGGTCCATCCAAACACAGCCGGTCAGACCTCAAGGTCTCCTGCCAGCTCCCCAGGGGTTCCTCATGCTGCAGGGCCGGCTTTCTAGCTGCAGTTTCTGCCCTGCTGGTGGAGAAAGCCTGCTCCTATCTTTGGCCTCTGGGACTAATTGGGGAAATGAATTCAGGCAGCTATTTTCAGACAGAAAGAGCCCTTGGCTGACTTAGAAGCAAATGCCCCATTCTTTGGCCAAAGGTGTCACCCTGACCTTGGTCAGCAATCAAGCCACCAGCTACAGTGAGAGCAGAGGAGACTGTTCTCCTCCCAAAGAACTGAGGGGGTTCCATGCTTTGGTTAATACCCTCCAGCCTAGAATACATACTCTATTGTCCATCTGGATTTGTCCATCCTTCAAACATCTGCTCCTCTGGGAGGCCTTTCCTGATTTCATCCTCCCTTCCTGGCCCCAGGAAGAATTCATCCCTTCTCACTCCCATGGAGCTTAGGCCATACTTCTCAAGCAGCAGCTATTTCAGTGCCATGAGTTCCTTGAGAAAGTGCCTTCAGCCCCACTAGACCCGTAGCTCTCCATTTACGATTCACCTGTGCCTAGTTTTTCTTTGAATACTCAGCCCATAGTACAGTGCCTAACACACAGTAGGTGCCCATAAATGTTGACTGAGAGAAAAATTTAGCTGAAGGCACATCCCTTACACTGGGAAGAAGGCTTAAATGTCATGTCCTCCATGCTTGGATCATCTTTGCCCATGAAGAACAGGAGAAGGTATAATTTCGAAATAGGTTACTAGTTTCTCAAAGTTGGAATTTGCATGGGTTCCTGTATCTATAGCATCTACCATCATGTGTCCACTAGTGTAAATTTCAAATGCATTAATGGTCTCATCTATATCCATTGTGTCATAATGTCGACTCATTTAGAAAATTCTTTATTCAAACTGGACAATTCAAATCAACACCATCAATTATATAACTACCCTGTGTCACAGCCAGCACTAGGCCATTCAGAAATACAGAATTAAGAAGTCCCTGTCCAAAGGAGTAGAGTCTAGTCGCCAAAGAGATATAGTCAAGTGTTAAGTGCATATGAGGTCATGGTTTGCATGCTGGCTGTGTGCTGTCATGCAGGCACACAAAGATAAGGGCACAGCATGTTCCCTTGAGAAGTTTATGGTCCAGCTGAGGAGCTAAGCCATTCACTAATAAAAAACACCAAACCGCAGCTGAGCATACTCAGGTATACAGAGATCCCTTAGACCACAGCTCCCAGGATCATGGCGGGTAGCCCCTCTCTGGACCCACAGGTGTGTGAGAACTACCAATGGGAGAAGAGCTTGGCCCTTCCTAATGCTTGGAGTCTGATGGACTCCAAAGGCCACTGTGTTTTGGTGCAGAACTGGAGTTTTTCTCATGGGCCTGGGACTGACCTGAACCATCAGTGCTGCTATGGAGCGGAACTGACTCTTCGGCTAGGCCCTGAGAGACCCCCCCATCAGGGCTCCTTGGATGAGGGATGCCCAGGCCTGGGCTTGACCTCCCAAGGTTATTTTGGACCATAATGAGCCCTGCTTCCGGCACACCCTCGGCTCAGAACCAGCCCAGAACTTCACTGGATGCTACAGGAGGCAGGAGCATTGGTGGATGACCTTCAGAAGTGGGCAGTGCTGCTTAAGGGGGAGGGATCACCCCCACTTCACCTCCACAGCACGTAAGCTTTGCAATTAGAGACCAGGGACCAGTAGAACTTGGAGGATGGCAGCGTGACACTAGAACTGGCCTCCCACGCTGCTCTGACTGGCTTTCCCCGAGTACTGGAGATGTGAGAAGATAGTCAAAGCCACCGGCAAGGGGTTGGGGGCTGAGAATTGTCCCCTTTGCTTGACCAAGGGCCAAGGGACAAAGTAGCAGGGTCCAAGGAGGCACCTCTCTCACATGGAGGGGAATCAGGCTCTATCACTACAGAATAAGTGTCCTCAGTTGGAGGCCCTCCCTGCCCGGGGGAGGGAGATATCCTTGGCAGTGCCGCTCCTGGCCCCCACAGTTCTCTCAGCTGAGCCGAGAAGCAATTCTCCTTTGCCCCTGGCCACTCCTCACTCGTGAGTGGGGAGCGTGACTCACATCTGTGGGGAGGGCAGGCACAGTTAGGTGAGCCTCATTCAAATGCCAGGCAGACGCAAATAGCACGCTTTCCTATGAATAGCTTCCCCAGCTGTTCTGCGGGAGGCTGAGCGCGTCCTTATCCAAAGTACATTTGCCCTGTTCTTATTTATGAGCCGAATCGGGAACCATGGGCTGCTTACCTTTGGCCCCTCAAGGCCAGCTTTGTGTTCTTTGTTCTCTAAAGTCTCACCCAAGTGAAATATTAACTGGTGGTGGGACAAAAGGGCCTGGTGCCTCTGAAGGCAGGGCTGGTGGAGAAGGATGCCTGGAGGGTGTGTTGTTCCCTGACCTGGAATTTTCCATTCCTCTTGTGCTCACATGACCAGGGCAGTGCTTTCTTCAAGTCACAAAATGAAGATGGCTGCCAGGGTGGCTGGTGCTAAAAAACCAGATAGTGGTGGCCATGGCTGTTAATGGCACCATCATCACTGATGATGATAATCTCAGTGGTACAGCCTGATGGAAGCTGTTAGGCCTGAGTGCCAGGAGGCCAGGGCCGTGGCCATGGCTCTGCCTCCACAGCAGCCTGGAGAACCTTGGGGAAGCCACTAGATGCCTTGGCCCTCTACTCCTCAGCTGTAACACGGGGAGGCTGGGAGCACAGAGGTCCTTTCCTGCTCTGATGATCTCTGCATTTATGAACTGCATTGATAGCTGGTCGCAGTAGCTGTATTGCTTTATCTGTGAGGAGTTATTAGGGTGCATCCTCCACTACCTTTGTACCTCTCTTTCCCTTCTCTCCATCTGCCTCACTGTTTCTTGGCCTCATTCCCTTTATCTCATTTCCTTCATCTTTATCTTCAGGCCGAGGACTTCTAAGCTAGACTACACATTGATTCAGTGTCTTTTGAATCAAGAGGGCCCACCTCTGCCACTTTCTAGTTCTGCCACTTCCTAGCTATGTGACCTAAGCCAAATTATTTTGTTTCTCTGCATATCAATTTCTTCATCTATAAAAAGGCAATCGGGTTAGGGCTTTTGTAAATATCGCACATAGTGTCTTGTATGTGAAGGCTCCACGGATAGAAGGCATGGCATGTTTAACATGTGAAAATTGGCATACATAAAGAACTCATCTTTCTTCCCGCAGACCTCCTTCTGTCTCTGTTTCTGTTACCAGGGATACTCTCCTCCGAATTATTGGGGTTTGGGGTTGATGTCAGCTTGCCTTTTTTGTCCCCTTGTTCCCTCCAGTATGTGTCTCCAGAAGCCTTCCTTTCCATTCCTGTGGGGTCTGACAGTTGTTGGAAGAAGGCCTGCAGGTCCAGGGCCGAGCAGGGGCCTCCACCGTCTGCTGAGGTGGGGATACTATCTTTGGGAATCACTGGAAGTTTTACTTACACAGGGACTTTGCCTGGGGGTGGTGAAGGGATTGGTTTAAATCATTGTTGACTGGCCAGGATTTCCTGAAGGTGAATGTGGACCTCATTGACTGGGGCCAAACAGACCTGAGTACACTTTCTTGGACTTGCTGCTGACCTCCTTACTGTCCAGAGTCTACCTGGTGCGTTCATGTTCCCTACACACTGCAGGTTGTGCATGAGGATGTCTTTCAGGGTGACACTGGCTTGAAAAGTTAAGGGAGGCAGCCAGGTGCAGTGGCTCATGCCTGTAATCCCAGCACTTTGAGAGACCAAGGCAGGCAGATCCCTTGAGGCCAGGAGTTCTAGACCAGCCTGGCCAACATGGTGAAATCCCATTTCTATGGGTGTGGGAGCCTGCACTTATAATCCCAGCTACTTGGGAGGCTGAGGCATGAGAATTGCTTGAACTCAGGAAGTGGAAGTTGCAGTGGGCTGAGATTGCGTGACTGCCCTCCAGCCTGGATGACAGAGCGAGACTCGTCTCAAAAAAAAAAAAAAAAAAAAAAGAAAAAGAAAAGAAAAAAGAAAGAAAGAAAAGTTAAGGGAGGCAGGTACTTCCAGAATAGCCCATATTACTCTTTGGGAAAAAATTTTTTAAATTGCTTCCTCTAGAAGATGTCGCTCTGTGGGCACATAGCTTAGTGGAATATAAGCTGGGTTTCAGTACCCACTTGCCCCCTTAGTGCAGAGCCTTTGTGCAAGATACAACCTGCCCAGTCTTAAGTGAGTCCTTAACTCCCATTCCAGACCCTGGCACTCACTCATTAGATTCCAAGTTCCATGAGGACAGGGTCCATGTCTCCTTCATCAGTGAGGTCCCAGGGCCTAGCAAAGGGCCTGGCACGATGCAGATGCTCAAGAAATATTGCTGGATGTTGAATGAATGGATGAATGAATGAACAATGCCTTGTAGCTAGGAATGCCTGGTGTAATTGGTACCAAAGAGCTCTGAGGGCAATAAAGTGGGGCAGTTAAGAGCAGGTGCTTTGGAATCAGAAAAGACTGAGTCTGGATTTTGCCCTACCTCTTAATAGATGTATGATCTTAACTGAGTCTGACTTCCTTCATCTTTAAAATAGGGGTGTAATAACACCTAACCCATTAGTGTTATAATGAGGCTTCGATGAGATGATATATGTAAAGCACATATATTAGTGTTTGGCCAATGGTGAAGTTGTAAATGATGCTTCCTGGAGAGCACTAAGGATAGCATTTCCCCGGGGGCCTCCCCATCCTAACTGCTTTAGGGTTCCCATACCAAGTAGCCTTCCCAGTCATTCTCAGTATGCATCTCGGATATGGAGTGAGGCAGCTTGTGGCTGCAGTGATTTGTTTGCTCTTGGCACCCATCCACATAAACTTACTGAGGCTTCAAAACCCATTAGGCACTCAAGCATTCAGTGCTTCATGCATTTCCCAGAGAATGCTTGATTTTTGTTGCTTAGATTACAAATATGTCCTACGATTTACTGCTTCCCATTACTGTACCCCTACTTACTCTTTTTCTTGGTCTTGGATACCTGCCACCATCATTTAGCTGATCTCATGCTATCAGCAAAGGCAAGGAAAACAATAGCTTCTCTACAGGACTTTGCCCTCCCACAGCCTCAGGGGCCACAGATCCTACATGCTGGGCTAGAAAACACATGTCCCCAGCTTCTGAAGATGTTCACTTGAGAAATATAATACAGGCACACACTCACTGCTGCTGCATCTGTTTTTTTGAAGCCCACAGCAGCAGTCCAGCTGAGAGCACATCAGGATGTCTATCCTTCAGCAGTGCTGCAAGTGGGAATTTGTGAAAGGCTCTGCTGAGGAGCTGAAGAAAAGTTGCTAAGTCAATTCAGACTGGAGGGGGAGAAGTGGGAGAGGATTTTTCTATCACTGGTTGCATATGTCCTTGGGGACTTAAAGATGATCTTGACTTTTTTCAGCCTGAAAATTTGCTATTTTAAAACATCAATGTTGGCTCATGCTAATTCACCAAGAGATCAAGTGACTTTGCAGGGGTGGGCAGGTGAGGGGGAAGTAGGGTGTGGTAGAGGGGAATGTTTATGGAATAATGAAATGGACACAGGATGGGGGGTGGTGGGGGGTCAAAAATATAGGTTTAATCTCTGTTTTGTCAATGAGTGGTTATGTGATCAGTTGATGCGACTTATCAGCCAGGGCCTTTGTGCCTCTATCTGTCCTATGGGAGCAACACAGGGATGTGCAGAAATTATTACAGGCCATAGATTTGAGTGTGTTTGCAGCACACACGGGGTGTGAAGCCACTGCCCCCACAGTTGGCCAGTGCAGGCAGTATTGGTTCTACAGCCTCTGCGGTGTCCAGGGGATACTTCTGAGGAAGGGAAACAGAAAAGAGAGCTGTAGAAGATTCAGAGCCTTATTCCAGGCAGGTGCTCTCCTCTTGATGATTCAGCCAGGGAGCTTGCCCTTCCTGTCCAGATGACAGGATTTCATGGCAGGCATTAAAACGCTTCTTCCATTATAAAGCAAGTCAGTTGTGGGTAGAAGGGAAGGGAAGGATGGAGCAGGCTCTGGAGAACATGCAGCCCTAGTGTGGATGTTGGGTGAGATGGCATTGAAGCACAGGGAGGGGGAGGTGCAGAATGCTCAGACTGCTAGAGGAAGAAGGGAAGGCAAAACTGGAAAGGGAGGTGAATCAGGCAAGCAGAGTGAGCCCTCGGGATACGCAGCTGAGCCCTGGTGATAACTGACATCCAGCTCCTGCAGAGGGAGTCTGAGTTTCCCCTGTAATCTGTGTATCAGGAAGGCAGAGCTCACGGGGTGGGGGCCCCCAGGTCCGGGAGCTGTGGGGGCAGAGTGAAAAAACTCAGCAATCAAAATAATTGATATTTTAATAAATAAAAATTAATGCAATTAATCATGATGCACTAAAAAAGTTAAATAAAGACAAAATGTGATCCTGTAACTTGTATGACTTGGTCTCACTCATCTCACCCTAGTCTGAGCCCTGTTGGCTTTTACCTCAGCAACTGAGCAGCATTTTGATGAAAACTTTTCTATTCAACTCATATTTCTCAGAGACCCTGCCCATGGTGTCTTAGTCCATTTTGTGTTGCTAGAACAGAAGAGCACAGAGTGGGTAATTTATTTAAAAAAAAAAAAGAAATTTATTTCTCACAATTCTGGAGGCTGGAAAGTCCACTCTCAAGGTGCTGGCATCTTGTGAGGGCCTTCTTGCTGTATCACCCCCATGGCAGACAGTGGAAGAGCAAGAGGGTGTGAGAGAGGGAGAGGAAGGGGGCGGAACTCATCCTTTAATGAGGAACCCATTCCTGCAATAACTCATCCACTTCCCCAATAACAGCATTAGTCCATTCATGAGGGCAGAGCCCTAATGACCTAATCATCTCTCAAAAGTTCTACATCTCAACACTGTTGCATTGGAGATTAAATTTCCAACACATGAATTTTGGAGGACACATTCAAACCATAGCATACAGTAACTTCAAAATGATTTACTCTTTACCGGGGTAGTACCATTAGTGACTCCAAGTAATCCTCTGATACTTTTCTTGTTAAAGAAATTAAGTATACATAACATTTACACCCATTTTATCCCTGTTGGGGGCAGTCCACGACCCCCAGGAATATGCATGCTGGGTAAAAAAGGTGCACTGTAAATATTGGAAAAAGAATGCTACCTGATTTGATGCATTGAAATATTGACTTGTAGCTAATTGTTTGCAAATGGTTTTATTTGTATATGTTCAGTTTCCTGCCTCCTCATCAACCAGATATTAAAGGTTAGGGTCATTCATTCATTTGTGCATTCAGCAAACATTTATTAAGCCTCTATTATGTGCCAAGCATTTGCTTGGTGCAGGGAATACAGAGGTAAATGACACAGGCCCTGATCGCCCTGATCTAGGAGTGCCCAAAGACTGATGGGGGAGATACTTGAAGGACAGTGAGGTTGATGAGGATGATGTTCAAGGATTTTCACAGGATGTCGCAGTACACAGGGGTCGAATATATAACAATACAGAGAGGGCTCCCTAGCCTGTAGGGATGTGTGGGTACTAGAACTTAGCTAAGGGAGGAGAGGAAGAAAATATTTCAGGCAAAGGCAACTAAATGTGTAGGGCAATGACTTCCTAGCACCCTCAGGGTGCCAAGGGATAAAGTGGCCAGGGGCCATGCCCTCAGCACACCCCCTACAGGCCACTCCCAATAAATCTACATCCATTTAAAAATACTAGGCCTAATATGCTGGCTGGCTGGATGCCCCTTGTTAGTGTATGTGCAGCACCCTGCCTTTCCCACAGCATTTATCCCACTGCCTGTGGCTGCCAGCATCCTTGTCAGTGTCCCCCATTGGACTATTAGCTCATGATGTAGGGATGATTCTGTCTTGCCCAATATTGTAATACCAGTGCCCAGCACAGTGTGCCGTTCCAGTAAGTGCTCAATAAAACATGTGTTCAATGAATGAATGAATGAATGAAAATAAATAAATAAATAAATAAATAAATAAATAAATGGAGGTAAAAGCAACAAGTTCAAGGACTCCCAAGTCACTTAGCACCTGGATTCATTTATATTCCTTTTATGTTCTTTTAATATTATCTAATGTGTAGACTCTGGATATAGCCAGTGTCCAATATACAATTTTAATGAATTATGATCCATCGACTGGGAACACCAGACCCATGGCCTAGGCCTTAACTAAGAGCTGGGAGACCTCTCATCTTCCCTCTCCTGCCAACAGGGTCCATATGACAATCATTACTTGTGGGATGAACCTATGAGGTTAATAATTATATTCTTCTCAACATGACAAACTGCCATTGTCTTTTATGTTTAGCTTTCAAAATAAAACTTAGAGGAATTAAGAACAATATTATACAATCATGGATAACATCAATGCAGTAATTAAAGGGTAGGTTAAAAATTCTCTACTTCAATATTTTCTACCCATTCCAAGCAGCTAACTAATAGATATTTTAATGAAGTAAATATATTATTTATTAGTTTGTAACATTCAGACTATAGGGTTGATAATACCACAGTCTAGAGAAGTGCAACCTTAAGGCAGAGATGATGAAAGATTCCATAATTGTTAAATCCTAGGACTTCCATTTACTTTTTGTAAATCCCTGGGCAAGTTACTTATTCTCTCTGAGCATTTCTTCATTTGTAAAATGGAAACAGTAATACCTCACCTACTTACCTTAACCAGAGCTATTCTGGAGATCAGATGACACAATGAAAGTCAAGACATTTTATGAACCACAAAGTGCTATACTAGTATGAAGAATTATTATTAGTTATTTGCTGGATCATATTCTTACAAAAAAGAAATGTGAATAGTAATACAGGATTCAAAATTGCTAGATTTCTAGAGACACGGCGTGGTAGATAAAGTGCCCTTCTGCAACCCTTCTTCTACCAACCCAGACCTAAAGACTAAAGAGATGGGAAAATTGATAGCCTTCTAGAAACTTCGCTTAGCCATCTGCAGCAGTAAACCAAGACAGTGTAACTATTTGACTGAAGGCTTGGAAACACTCAAAACTCTGTCAAGGTAATTTTGCTATAATCTTAAGCAAACAGGTCTGAATGTAATGCCCCATTAGAAAGCAGGAACCAATGTCTTCTGTTTTGCTTTCCCAAGTCAACTGTGAGGTGGCACTGTGCCTCAAGTGTGTTCTACAGGGAATTCACACCAAAATTACCTGTAAATTGGGTAGAGGATATTGTATGTGGGGGAGAGGGGAAGGAGGGTGCTGTTAAGATGCACATTCCTGGGCCCCACACCCCAGAACCATGAATCAGAATCACTGGTGATGAGGGCTAGAAGTCTGAACTTTTAATATATACCCCAGGTTTCACAACAACTACTTTTTAGAGTCTGTCTGATAACAATCCACTTGGGGGCATCTCTTCATCTTAAGGCTAAAACAACTTTGGAAAGATTTCAGAGAGGAAATAAATAATTTAGGGGAAAAGGACTTCTTCATAAAAAAATTAAATATGTATAGGATTGGCTGTATGAAGTCATGATTATGGTTTATAAATATTTGAAAGGCACAAATTCAAAAGATAGAATCTAAATGTTTTAATTCAGGTACCAGACGGCATAAGTAGGAGTAATGATGAAATGACATAAGCAAAGAGAACTAGGGCCAGATATCAAGGAAAACATCCTGACAGCGTAAAAAAAAAAAGTTATAGAATCATTTTAAATGGTCAAGTTAACCAAAATATTAATCCATTTAGTGGAAAAAACCAGCTGGGCAGCAGTTGAAAAAACAACCAACTGAGTGGTTAAATTCTCTCTCTCTCTCTTTTAAACTATTGTTTTGATGTTTGAAGCTTTCTGATCCTAAGTCATAGAAATCTAATTTTTACTTAATAAGTAAATAGGTGACTCATGAAAAATGTTTTGGGTAGGAAGTGCCTGCTAGTCCTAGCTAATATCTAGGTTTAGGAGAAGCAGAAAGTAAGCATAAAACTGCCGGGAGCGTCATTACCTCCCCTTCTGGGAAGAGTGTGACATTCATTGAGAACTACGTGCCATGCTCTGTCTCATTTAATTTGCCCAGCCTTGTCAAGTAGATGTCATTTCCATTTCACGGATGAGGAAAGTCAGGCTTAAAGAGGACAAGTTAGTAGGAAATGAAAAGCCTGAAATTTGAACCCTCATCCGTATAACACCAAAATCCCTGCTTTTTCTCCTCAAGCAAGTACTGGGTAAAAAGCACAGTAGTCACCACTGGTATCTTCTTTCTGTATCTAAAGATTGCCAAGGTGAGCTAACAAGTAATGACTCATACACATGATCAAACTCTCTCCAAGCAATCTTCATACTGGGAAGCTCTGTGAGAAATTACTGTGTTTTTCTCATTTTGGATCCTGCTATTGTCTACAAAAACTTGATGTTTTTGAATGCTAGCAAGGCCAGAGTTAATGGGGTAGCCTATGGAAGGGAATCCACTTTGGGCAATCTTCCAGGCTAAGAGTCAGTCACAGACCTAGGATCATGATAATGGAAATATGTCCCTCCCCATTACCACTCCTCCCTCCTTTTCTCTTCACCATCATCTTCCTCTTCTTCCTCCACTAACAGTCTTATCCCCATCATCTCAACACTACCTCTATCATCACAACCACTGTCAATTGTCACCGTCATCACCATTATCATCAGCACTACTATCATTACTGTCATCACCATCACCACCATCATTACCACCATCTTACCATCATGACTGCTACCACTAGTACCACCATCACCATCATTGATTTATGGAGAAAAATTGAGTTTTCTGTATTTGATATTGCTCATGAATACTACTCACCACCACTTCCATCCCAAAGACCCCAAATAATACTCTGTGCTAGATAGTCTTTTTTAACACCAGCCACACTTTGTGGAGCAGGAACTAGACCAATTATACTAACATAAAAACAAAACTGAGCCATAAGTCCTCACCACAATCTTAGCAAAACACAACCATGTACCAAATTATTAAGACTTCAAAACTCCTTTAAAAAGAAAGCGGATAATAAACAGATATAAAGGAAACTCAGCTGTCTTCATACACCCCTAGGGCAGCCCCTGAAGCAACATAGTCATTAGGTTGAAAGAAAGAAGCATCTGATAAACCCCAGACATCCTGGTGCCAATTTGCGTCTCTCCCTTTCTGGCCTGTGCAGAGCTCAGAGACAGCGTCTAAGAGGGCGGCTGACAATCTGCCTCAAACACAAACACATGACAAATATAGTTCTGCAGTGAAGACTTTAGCCCCACGGGGAAAGCTGAGACTCAGGAGCCTGATGGCATAAACAAGGCGAAAGGCTTGGTAGCAAATCAGAAGACTTGTTTTTGGAAGCTGAAAACTTACTTCGGCAACAACAGTCCTCCATGGCTCCCTGTTTGTGCTCTTGCTGGCCAGGCCTGGGAAGCCCTCTTGGGGCCTCTGAGGCTTGTAACCAGCCCTGCTTAGGTAAGTACACTGTGCAAATAAGCCCTCTGGGGCTTACAGACATGTAAACAGCTCTCCAGCTGACCTTCAGACACAAACTCGGGATTTAAAACACTAATTTCAGACCCATGAGTCCAGAGAGGGTCTGGGCTGGAGGAATGGGGGCGCCAGAGAAGGGGTCCCAAAATGATTGGTCAGTGGGCCGAAGGGCAAGCCATAGGAAAGAGGGGAGGCAAATGAGCCAACAGGTGTGAAACCAGCTCCCACAGGACCTGGAAAGAAATGGATAATCAATACAAAGGCAGTGATTGTTCCAGGAAACACAAGTGTTGCTGACAAAGTAAAAGGAGAGCAAAAGGGAAAGGGATGATTGAGAGGGAGGGAGAAGGAAGGAACGAACAGGCAAGGTTCAGAAGGGAGCCACGTAAGTTAAGTATTTTTCAAGAAACTTGTTGTTATAAGGGGCAAGGGGTGAAATTTCTTTTTTGCCTGCCCTGTCCAAAATCACAATGCAAAATGAAGTAGCGTTGCACAATGTCATCGATGTTAACACTGCTGAACTGTAAATTTAGAAATGGTGAAGATGGTAAATTTCATGTTATGTGTATTTTATCACAATAAAAAAGTAGGAAAAAAAAAACTAAGTAGGATTAGGTGACAATCCCAAAGTACTGGGATATTCTTATCAATAAAAAAAATGGAAGGTAAAGTCTTACTGAGAACATGCATACTGAAAGCACTTGGCTGTGTCTCCCCATTCTGACATTTTAGACAACTATCCAAGGCATTGGGGAGGAAAGCGTTTTCAGTATGGATTGGCAAAATCTCTCTTTTCTATGGATTGTTTTGGCTTTATGTCTTGACCTCCCCTTCCAGGCATGGTTGGCACGACACTGGCTCCTGCGTCTTCCCCAAAAGTCCCCCATGCATTAAATCCTGCAAGAAATGACACTGAGTCATGTTCTCCCCACAACATGGTTTCCTTCAAAGGAGGAATTCTTCCTTCCTGGGTGATGCCCCAACTAAGAGCCTTTTTATTGCTATAAAAAGAGGCATTGACTTTTCAGGGTTGTCCTTCCTCCGAAAGCTCTCTTTTTCCAGCATGGCAGCCTCCCTGCCCACCATTTTATTTCCTATTCTAACCAGTGAAGCCCACAGGGGAAAGAGCAGCAGGCTTTTGGGGTTCAGTTTAAACAAATGAGGTGGTACAGTGAGGATGACTGGGACAAGAAAGAAGCTGGTAAGTAATCTGTAGTTACCATCTAACTTCCTGCCAGTTTTCCAAAAGGATTATGTATTTTTATTTTAAAATTTTACAATTATCTGTTATTTTATGCAAAATAGGCATATCAGCCAGGTAGACAATAAAATGAGTTTCTAAAATGCAAAATCCATTTCTTCACTGACTTCATCATGAGACTGCAGATGAGTTCCTACAGGAAAAAAAAAATTCCCCAATTATTGGAGATAAAAATTTATCACAAGAAGAGGTTAAGTTGATGTCAGTTCTGTGGCAAACATAGTAATCTGTTATTCTAGCAAGATTCTTACCTGCCTGGAGTCAAATGGTGAGGAATAGTGTGATATGGTTAAAGGATCACAGGATTTGGAGTTAAGCAGGTTTGGATCCTAGCTCTGCCTCTCACAGGTATAATATTAGGTCAACTAAACGCTGAGCTTTGGTTTCTATTCCCATGAAAAGATAATAATCATATCTATTTTTGTAGGATCTTCAATGAGGCTTAAATGAGACAGTGTTGCTGGGCACAGTGGCTCACACCTGTAATTCCAGCAGTTTGGGAGGCTGAGGCAGGCAGATTGCTTGAGCCCAAGAGTTCAAAACCAGCCTGGGCAACATGGCGAAACCCCATCTCCACAAAAAATACAAAAAAATTAGCCAGGCATGGTGGCATGTACCTGTAGTCACAGCTACTCAGGAGGCTGAGGCGGGAGGATCTCTTGAGTTGGGGAGGTTGAGGTTTCAATAAGCCACGATCATGCCACTGCACTCCAGCCTGGGCAACAAAGTGAGACTCTATCCAAAAAAAAAAAAAAGACAATGTGGCAAAGTGCTTGATATATATGATAGGTGCTCATAAATGATGGCCACTCTTACCTAACAGCTCTCTTTCTTTTAGAGATAAGAACCAATTTATATTAAGGGCTTATTGTTTGCCGCTCGTTGGCTATAGGCCCTCTACATACCAATAGTGACTGCTATTTCCTGCATACAGGAAATGTGACAGACATTTATGTGATTTATGACTTCACAGATAATCCTTACAGCAGCAGCTCTGCACAGTATCATTCTCCCCTGTACAAATGAAGAGACGGAAGCTCGAATTCTCACACGACACCCTTGCAGCACTTGAACCACTCCAGGATTCTCTTCTGCTGGTCACCCAACTATTCTCCCAGGTCACCGGGGTTACTTACAATCTTGGATTTAGGGTTGCCAGATTTAGCAAATAAAAATACAGCATGCCTGGTTAAATTTGAATTTCAGGTAAACAGATAAAATTTTAGTATAAGTATGTCCCATGCAATATTTGGGACATACATTCAAAAGACAATTCATTCTCCTGTATTTCATCTGGCAATCCTACTTGAATTCCATTTGTAGAGTTCTCCCTGTTCCATTAGAAATGATCACACTTGGAAACATTGGATGGTTCTATCCCATTTCCTGACAAATGGTGCTCCCCGCACATTCTCTAAATCAGAGGCATCAAGTATTCGCCAGGGTGTGTTTGAAATAGCACTATGTGCATCCTCCTTAAAAATGAGAATCTATGCATTTATTTCAGCTTAGATCTGTAAATATTTTATTTGCTGCTGCTACTGAGTTAAAACCCCCAGTTTCATCATGTTCTGACTGGCAAGTGTTTGAAGTGTCTGATTTTAAAACAGCTCTAGTTCTCTTTTAATTAGATATTTAATTTAACTGGCTGCTGATCAATAGTTTCAGGATATTTGTTTTCAGCTTGATGGGAATGGCAAAGGACCATTTGTGCATAAAATAGCCCACTAGTTATCCTTGTTTTCAGTGACACCGTTGCTCTTACTGTTCTTTCTTAATGTCACAACTGTTGGCTCCTCAGCAAGTTAAATATCAGCCCTGGTAGAAGCTGATCTGATGAGTCCCCTTCTATATTGAAAATGCTGGTAGAAACACTGAAGCCAGGAAAGCAGAGGAATAAAGGAGGGCAGGGCATTGAGGAAATGAGGCCAAGGGTAGAGCGATCATACTTGAACCTGCCAATCGTGAAGCAGGAATCTGTGCTGCCTTGGGAATGGAGAGGCTGGGGAGGAGTCTCGAGCCAGCCCTTTGGCTGTGGCCAGGGATGGGTCATGGGGAGTCTTAGCCCAGCTCACTCCAACACGATACCCTCATGATCCCAGATGCTCCCATTTGCTTTCTTCCCTGAATAAAAAGAGAAAGGGATTTCTATATCCAATCCCCTACCAAGCTGTGTACTTAGGTAGAGCAAATCCATTGCATTCATGAAGCTTCCATCAGACCTGGGGAAATTCTTAAAATGGTAAAGACTTCTATAGCATATCATTTCGGTCAGGTCTCCTCTTCTCTTTACACGTTCTCATACCTCAAGTTCCCATCCTTTCAGATTTCACACAGTTTTCCAGACAAATATCTGTAGAAATTCACAAACCACTTATTCTGAGGTTTTGCATAGAGCTTATGGTAGACGTGATCATGACACAGATCTGGGTCACTGCCAATCCCATGTTCCACTCTTCTTCAACTTGTTTAAGACTCCCATTTTGAAGAATGAATGACCATTTTTTTATATCTCTTTGCTTCCATCATCAGCACCAGCAGTTATCATTCTTGTGGCATCCATTTTCCATAAAGAAACATGAGTTTTTGTCATTCACAAATTTCTACATGAAAAGCAGCAACAGAGGGTAATAAAGCTATGACGTGATGCAGATGTGTCACAGGTGGCTCAGCCCATTCACTGACAACAAGATCAGTGCTCAGAAACCAGATTCTGAATCCAATACATGACTCAGATTTATGCCTCTGGAAAATTAGAAATCATGATCAGTTATAGGTCTTTAGACAAACCAACTAATATTAAATGCAGGAGTGCAAAAGGTCATGTATGTGGAATCACTTTGTATCATCCTGTATCCCTGACTTGACTAGAACCAGCCATTTACCAAAGAAGCTTGTTCCCGGGCATTTTTCCAGTGTTACACAGTGAAAAGGTAGCTGAGTTGAAGCTGGGTAAAATAATAATGCTAATCCTCCTATCATTGCCCAGTACCTGTTGCATACCAAGTGCTTTACATCAGATTTTGCATCGCGATTAGGGCTGAGCATCCTGGGTTTGAATCCTGGCTCTGCTACTCCCTAGCTGAATGACCTCGGAAAATTTACTTCATCTCTCTGTGACTCAATGTCCTCATCTATAAAATAAGGACATGAATATTGTCTACCTCACAGGGTCATTACGAGGATGAAAGGAGCTACTATTTGTGAAGTGTGTAAATCAGAGCCTGGTATGTAGTAAGCACTAAGTGTCTGTATTTCATATATATATAAATCTCTTATATATAATAAATATATATACACACACTTATACATTCAAATATACACCCATACTTATATTTATTTATATTGCTATGTATGTGTATTTGAATGTATATATGTGTGTATATAGTCACATACATGTATGTGTGTATACATGTGTGTGTGAAAATTTATGTGTTTGGTTTCTGGTTCACAGCCAGTTCAGCTGTCAAGGGTGAGACTCTTTGGGTGGGTTGCCTATAGAGAAAAGGCAGGAGAGACTTAACAGGACATCTCTCTTGCAGGCGCTCTTAGCAACTCTGCATTACTTTCTCCTCTTTCCCCAAGCAGATGGTAATCATAGGGACCCACAAGCCAAGTTAGATCTTCAGTGGAGTAAGTGATCTTTAGCAACTGTATCAGACTTGGCTAAAGTTTATTATTCACTGAGGGTAATCAGCAGAACCTGGGCCAGGCCAGTCACGCAGAAGTTCATAGGTCAGATTCCCTAGGTCTGTTTGAGGCTAGATGTCTCTGAATCTCTGAAATGCAACCAGTTCTAATGTGGAACAGAGAGAGAGACACAAGCAGGGCGGGAAGGTGAATGCTGAGGAACTAGGAGGCCAAAGGGAGCCCCTTGCCCTGAAAGCAATCTGGCAGGTGTGATGACAGAGGCAGGGAGCCGCTGCCATCACTGACACCCAGTTATTTCACTGCAGAGATGATTCCAGATTGGCCCCTGATCTTAAAGCCTCTGGGTCTGAAGGTCCAGGACTCTGCTCTGTGCAGAGGTCAGGAAGCCCATCTCTCCAGGCTTGGCTTCTGCAGCGGCCAGTGCTCTCCCTCTACCTTGTAGGGTGGGGACCTAGCATTCAACATCTCAGTGCACAGGTGTCTTCTCAAAAAGACCTGGAGGGCAGGCTCTTTCTGCCTCTTCTGGGAGGAGCATAAGGGGGAGTTGCACTGTAGGAGTGGAGATGCTGTCCTTCACTGCTAGAGAATAAAGCAAGGAGTTTTGTGGGTTGAGCTAAGATCATTTAAGAAGCCCCAAAGGCTAGAATTTGGGGATTTTCCAAGTCAAAGGAGCCAGATGATAAAGGATCCTGGGCACAGAAGCAAGAATCTGAGAACCGGGAGAGAAAAGCAAACACCAAGTGGATTGACAGTCAAAAGAGGGTTTGCTTTTCTAGACTGGGATGGCTCCTGGGTGGGGCAGCTGAGCTCTCCATGAAGAGCTTAAGGACACAGAAAGCCAGCAATCAATCTCCTGAGATCAACACATCAGCTCCCATGCTTCACTCTTCTATCCACATGGCCAAGTCATTGAAAGGAAATGATGTATCTGAGCTTTAGATCTCAACTGTAGCTACTAGAACCCTCAAGACAGGTCTGGATCCCCTAAAGTCACAATAGTGCCTGAAGGAATGAGGATTTTTTTTTCACTGACTTCTCCAGGCTACTTCAAATGTGGTCATACCTTAGAGTTAACCCTACTTCCCTCGAGTTTCTCCTTACTGTTAGGCCCTGTCCCGAGGCCCTCATCTGTCCTGGTTTCCTTCACTTTTGTCTTATGATCTCTTTGTAGACTCACCCTCTTTTTTGATAAATCACGCACTTATTTTAAACTCATTGTTGCATTAATCCTTAAAGCAAGTGTACATTTTAAATGACTGTTGGCATAAACCTTTTTTAAAAAATTTATTTTTTTTAATTTTATTTTTTGTGGCAGGGTGTGGTGGCTCATGCCTGTAATCCTACCACTTTGGGAGGCCAAGGAGGGTGGATCACTTGAGGTCAGGAGTTCAAAACCAGCCAGGCCAATATGGTGAAACCCCATCTCCAGTAAAAAATTCAAAAATTAGCCAGGCATGGTGGTGTATGCCAGTAGTCCCAGCTACTCAGGAGCCTAAGGCAGGAGAATCGCTTGAACTCAGGAGGCAGAGGTTGCAGTGAGCCGAGATCACACCACTGCACTGCAACCTGGGTGACAGAGCCAAACTCCATCTCCAGAAAAAAAAAATTATTTTTTAATGGTATAAATATACATAACATAAAATTTACCACTTTAACAATTTTAAGTGGCATCAAGTACATTGATATTGTTGTGCAACCATCACCATCATCTATTTCCATAACTTTTTCATCTTCCCAATCCAAAACTCCATACCTGTTAAAAAAAACTCCCCATTTTCTCCTCTCCCAGCCCCAACAACCACCATTCTACTTCTATCTCTTTGAATTTTACTACTCTAGGTACTTCATGTAAGTAGAATCATATAGTTTTTATCTTTTTGTGTCTGGCTTATTTCACTCCAGTTTCATCTATGTTGTAACATGTATCAGAATTTCCTTCCTTTTTAAGGCTGAATAATATGCCATTGTATGCATAGACCATATTTTGTTTATCCATTCCTCTGTTGATGGACACAGGTTGCTGTCATCTTTTGGCTATTGTGAATAATGCTGCTATGAATGTGGGTGTACAGATGAGGAGTGGGAGATTTAAAAGCACCCTCTTCTTCCTAGGCTGTAGCCACAGTCACATTTGGTAGAGGCTGTATCATTGTTAGGCCATGTTCAGATGCAGGGATGGTTTCTTTAAATCCTTTCCTGTCCAGGACAAGCTGAAGTCCTCCCTAATTATTTCTCCTTAAGCTTCAAGCAAAGCAACCCAAGCAACGCTGCAATGAATCTGGAGTCAGGACTAGGAGCAGCCAGAGACGAGGGCCCCTTGGCTTTTCTTTCGAGCCGCAGACAGATTGCAAATGCTCGAGTGCAGGGAGAGAGGGCTGGCTGCTAAGTTAAGAAGGGCAGAGAAGAACAAAGCCCCTGACGGCCTGGAACAATTACAAAGAAATGAGTGTGTGGGGTATGGGGAGGGGGGAGGGATAGCATTAGGAGATATACCTAATGTAAATGACGAGTTAATGGGTGCAGCACACCAACATGGCACATGTACACATAGGTAACAAACCTGCACTTTGTGCACACGTACCCTAGAACTTAAAGTAAAAGAAAAAAAAAAGAAAAAAGAAATGAGTGTGATCCTAATCATTTAAAAACAATAATATTGACCTGGAAATAATAGAATCAGTGACAAAATGTGGACATAAAATTTGTCCTCCAAGTTTTCCAAGTGGAGAGGCAAATTTGAAATGTACTTGCTCTCAGTTTCTGATGGGTCTATTTCACATGCCTCTGTGCTGGAGTGGGAATGTGTTGCTCCCAGCTGTACTGTGTGGTGTAAAAGCTTTAAAAAGAGCCTTATGTTGCTGCACACTCTGGAAGGACTGAGGTACCTGCTGGGGATGCCCAGCGTTGCCTGCACTGCCTCATGGTACAGTCTCTTTGGTCATGGAATGGTTCTTTATTCTCTCAGGAGCATTTGGGGTGACCTCTGAGGGCTGTCCTGTTGTCAAGCTATTCCTGAGAAGGGATGAGGTTTCCTTCCTAACAGAGGGTTGGGATTCCACTGGCCCTGCCCCAGCTGCACCCTGAATGCCGTCAGCTCAAGTACACCAGCGCGCTGACGGAGCTGGCAGGTGACGTGCAGCTGTGAAGCATTTGTTGTAGGAAGAGAGTCACAGATGGCAACATGGCCCGTCCTGCTGCATTGTTCTCTTTACACCATTTTCACAAGGGAGGGGTGGGCTGGGGAGGGGGTCATATTTATAGTTTGTGCTATAAATAAGCTAAGTCCTGGGAAGCTGCTGTCCAACTTACTGACCTTATAGTTTTGAGTGTGAACACACACTGAGAGGGTGGACAGGATCTCTCCCTGAAGAGCTGAGGCCCTTTTCTTCTGGCCCTGGGGTCTGGAGGCCCCAGTGGGCATGAGGCACATCGAGCACAGCTACCTGCAATTCCAGTACTCCTCTGTTCCATCTGATCTTTCAGATTATTATTAAGCTGATAATAATTATCTTTCAGATCATTATTGATGTTACATTGTTACTAATCATCTCCCAACTCAGAGATAGATCCTCAAAGCCTGTTGACTCCAGGCAGCCTTGGATGGCAGTAGTTTAGCAATGCCCCTGTAATCTAGGTGTCTCCACCTCAGGGCCCTTCCCAACCCGCCACTGTGTGATTCTGTGATTCTCCCTCTTCTCAGAGTGTTCCCTAGATACTGGCCACTCTGGAGGTGGTTGTGGGCCACACTTTATGGGCAGTGCATGAAGCAGCAGCAGGTGGCGGGAGAGGCTGGTATTAAGAGAGGCCTCAGCTACAACCCCCATGGAAAGGAATTTGGCAATATCTAACAGAATTACGTATGTATTGACCCTTTGGCAATCCCACAGCTAGTAATCCATCCAAAAGATTTGATGGCACAAATATTAAGAAGATGACACTCCAAGTCATTCACTGGATTATTGTTTAGCAGTAAAAGATTAGAAAGTAATGAAATGTTCATCAACAGGGAAATAGTTGAATAAACAATGGTATATCCACATAATGGAATATTATGCAGCTATAAAAAGAAATGAGGAATAATTATATATACTGCTATAAGCTATCTAGAGGCTATATTAACTCAAGTTGGAAAACAAGTATAGTATTTTATTTTTATTTAAGAAAAGGGGGATATAAATACATATAGTTGCTTGTTTTTGATGAAAGCATAAATAATAAAATTTAAGGATTACTGATGAGGGAGGAAGTGCACAGGGTAGAGGCGAACTGACTGTGAAAGTGATAGTCTAAACTTCAGGGCCCCTTACTCATATAGATCTTTTTCAAGGCCCTAAGAAAAGCCCCTAGTAAATTTTGTGTAATTTTTCTTAGAGGCATCGCAATTTAGATAAGATTTCTTCTTTAGACACCTTCAATTGTGCCTCACTTGCAGGAGGTGCCCCCCAAAAATCTGTTGAATGAATGCCTGAAATCAAATATGTTCATGATAGATCAGCCCCACCACATTTTCACTTTTTGATCCTACTCCTTTTTTTATTTTTTAAAATAATTTTTAAAAAATAGAGTCAGGGTCTTACTCACTATGTTGCCCAGGCTGATCTTGAACTGCTGTGTTCAAGGGATCCTCCAGCCTCAGCTTCCCAAAGTGTTGGGATTACAGATGTGAGCCACCCCGCCTGGCCTGATCCTAGTTCTCATGGAGAGAACAGGAATTAGAACCTCTTCCTCTTCCACACACCCTTACCCAGCTTTCAAATATTTGGACACAGAATGTTCTGTTCTCTAACAGTATCAACAATAATTCTTCCTGATATATCAATGTGGGCTCCTTTTAATGCTGATATTTTCCTCTGAACAGGCTTCAGTTTGTTGTTTTTTGGTTTATTTTTAAAGAGACAAGATCTTGCTCTGTTGCCCAGGCTGGTGTGCAGTGGCACGATCACCGCTCACTGCAACCTCAACCTCCTGGGCTCAAGTGATCCTCCCACCTCAGCCTCTCAAGTAGCTGGGACTAAAGGCACATACCACCATGCCTGGTTAATTAAAAAAATTTTTTTTTGTAGAGGTGGAATCTCACTATATTGCCCAGGCTATTCTCGAACGCCTAGGCTCAAGCAATCCTCCCAGCTTGGCCTCCCAAAGTGCTGGGATTACAGGCATGAGCCACTGTACCCAGCCCAAGCCCACTTTTTAAGAACTGGTAAGGAAGACACAAACTAAAATAGGACCATTGCTTCAGAATTGTCCTTAGCATACAAATACATAAGGATGTTATCTGAGAAGACTAACATCTTCATTTATCATCATCAAGGTTCATTTCAACATATGCATTGTCTCTTATTCATTCATTTATTCATCTATTCGTTAATTCAACATTGAGGTTCTACCTCTTACCTACTGAGCAGTAGGCCAGCTCTAGGGCATACAAAGTTGAATAAAGTCCATCCCCGTCTAACTTAGTTTAGACTTCAGAAAAATGTTAAAAATTGGACTAGCTGAGTGAAAAAAAAATACTTTGAGATATTGGCACTGGTGCTTTTTGCTGTGTGATCTTGGGTGTAGTATTTAACCTCTCTGAGCTTTAGGTTCCTCCTGACACAACTCCCCAAAGAGCTGCTGTAAGGACTGAAGATAGAACACTTGTAAAGCTATTCCAATGTCCGGAGTCTAGTGGGAGCTCAGCTAGTTAATATTATTTCCCCTCTGGAAACTCCCAGTTGGGCTCAGGGAAGCTTGGGTTAATTTTGGTGGGAATGGTTAGGGGCTTGAAAAGGTTGGCGCCCATGGGAGGCAGTGTGGGGTGGAGGGATCTCAGGCAGCCAGGTCCCCATGTGGGTTTCGGACCCACGCCAGCATGCCAGCACACCAGCACGGAGGTGGAGAGGGAGGGTGTATCTGTATGCTGAGGGTGGGCGGGAGGGAAGGAGGCCTTCTCAAGACCAGGCCTTGTCCTGTGGGTAGTAAACAAGGATTGTTTGTTTTGATGAAAATAACTAGCTCCTGGAGCTCTGAGTGCTGTTCTGTACGTGTTCCCATCACTTCAGGAACTTACTGTGTCTCTGTTTGATTGAGCCTGGGCATGAGATAAAACACGAGGTCATCTGCAATGGCACTGGTGCTGTGGCTGTATCAGCATGGCTCTGATGTCCCTTCGGGGCAGGCAACAGTTCAGGGAGGACTTACAAGCAAGCTCTGGTAAGTGGTAAGTGGGGCTGCACCCAGGAAGGCACCTCTGCATGCATTCCTGCAGAATGGATAAGGAGGGCTAAAGCATCCTTCTCATTCAGCACAGGGAGGAAGGAATCAGGTGCCCACTTGTGACTCTGCTTTTGAGCTGGCCCAGGTGGACTGCTCTGAGGAGGGAAGGGGGCAGGAACAGGAAGGGACAGTGAGACAACCTGCTCCGTCCCACTCAGGATACAGGCCTGTCCAGCCCCAGGTTCCACTGGAGGAGTCTCTCAGGGAAAGTTTCTGTCTCAACCTCCTTCTGCCTCTCCACCCTCCCCTCACCCAGGCTGCTGCATGTCATCCCCCTACCCACTGCCTTGAATCTTGGCTTGAGCCTCGTGTCCTTCCCTGTCTACACCTGGTGCTTTGGTCCAGGCCTTCTAGTTTCAGTTCTGACTGTATTAACATCTCACCCCTCTGGAACTGCGGGAGTTTCCACCCCAAGACCAGGCCTACGTGTCCTCATGTCCAGCTTGGGCCTCAGAGATACATGGCGGGGGCCTGTTCTCTTGCCCTGTCTGGGCAGGGAGACTGGACATCAACATGTGGCTTCTGTTTTTTCTGCCTGACCTCCCTTCCCTTCTGCACCCCTTCCAAAGTCCTTTCCTTCCCTCCTTCCCTTTCTTCTTCTTCCCCTTCCTTCCGCTTCTTCTTTTCTCCCTCTCTCACCCTCCATATCTCCTACACTGTTTGACCACACTGAGGCTTTAGCCCTAGCAAGCAGCCAAGCAGAGTGAGCTCAGAGGCCTTGACTGAGACAGGGCTCCTTCTGGGAGTGGTGGGTGGTTGCCCCTGGGCAGCCTGGGCTGAGAGGTCAGCAGGATAAGGCCTCACCATAGAGCCATGTGGAATCTCAGGAATCTGCTGCGGAGTGAGTCTGTCCTGAGGGAAGAGAGCCTGCTCTGGCCTGAAAGCACTGCGTGGGGCTCCTCAGTCTGCACTGCTGTGGTGCACCCCACTCCTAGGTGGGAGGAAACTGTTCAGCCTTCCTTCTCTTCCATTCCGATCTCCCACTACCATCACCACACCAGGGGGAGGGGTCCGAATTCAGCTCATCTCAAAGCAATTTGGAAAGACAGGTGCAGGCTGCCTGTGGTGAGTTTCCAGAAACCAGCTTCCTTCCACTGGCTGTTAGCGTTGGCATCGAGTGGGCTGCATAAGCAACATTTACAGAATTAATGGGCTCTGAGTCTCAAGTGAATACAGCAGAAACAAGAGGGGCCATGCCACTTTACATTATAAGACTCAGAACGTGGAATTTCAATCTCTCTTGATCTGATCTGTTTACTCACTTGTAAAGTAGGGGAAGTTCTAGAGCAGGACAAACAGGTTAAATGAGATGAGGGTTGAATGCTGAGCATAGCTAGCAACTGCTCAATAAATGTGGCTCCTGGAATGACAATTACTATTATTGCCTGCTGCCAGGGTAGCAGCGGGCAATGGCATCAGTGAAGGGCTGGAACCTGTAAGCTTCAAGCTTTGGTTTTTCTCTGTTCTTACTCTGGTAAAAGTCCCAGGAAGAGGGTAAGGAAATGAGAGACTTCAGGACTCTGTTCTTTATGGCCTAGGAAAGTGACACTGGTTCAGAATGGGCCATCTTCTTGCCTCTGTTTTTAAAATCAAAACTAGCCCAGAAGAAGATTTAGCTCTGGGTCCAAATCTGGCCTCTGCCTCTAATTGTGTAACTTTGGGAAAATTACTTACCTCTCTAACTCTTTATTTATCTGTGAAATTCCTATCTCATAGGAATGTTGTGAGGATTACATGAGTTAATACCTATGGAGAAGTTAACACAGGGCTTGTGGGGCACAGAGCATGCACTCAATAAATGGTCATTATAATTATACTTAATTGCCATTTTAGGAACTTGAAGTCTCAAGAGATGACAAATAGTCAATTCTCAAAAAATGAAGAAAAGAAAAACTTGTTTCTTCATGTTTGCTAACCCTATCTATATCTATGGTTTTGGCCAATAAATTCACTGTGTTTAAATCCTCATTGCGCTGATTTCTGTCTTTTGGAAAATGACTTCACAGTGTTTACATCTCTGAACCATCCTGTCAGAGATCTTATTACTCCTATTTTTTTTTTCTTTTAAGATGGAGTCTCGCTCTGTCGCCCAGGCTGGAGTGCAGTGGTGTGATCTCGGCTCACTGAACTTCCCCTCCCCAGTTCAAGCGATTCTCCTGCCTCAGCCTCCCTAGTAGCTGGGATTACAGGCCCCCACCACCATGCCTGGCTAATTTTTAAATATTTTTAGTGGAGATGGGGTTTCACCATGTTGGCCAGGATGGTCTTGAGCTCCTGACCTCAAGGGATCCACCCGCCTCGGCCTCCCAAAGCACTGGGATTACAGGTATAAGCCACCGCGTCCGGCCTACTCCCACTTTGTTTCCAAGGATAGTCAAGTGAAGGAGTGGGAGTGGAGAAGGAACAAATAAATCTGTAACTGCTTGTGATCAATTAGTTGTTAATGTCAATACCACTGCACTGAGAAGGCTGAGGTTCACAAAGGTGAAGTGATTTATCTAAGGTTTTATGTCTGGTTTGTAGAGAGCCAGGACCCAAATCCAGACCTTCCCCTACAGACCCTGACCCTTCCTCTGCCTTGTGCCGATGCCTTGAGGGGACCCTTCCCAAGGTCCCCTGGGCCACACCCTGCTCCCCTGACCCACAGGGCTGCTGAGGTCACCTCTTTCAAAGGGTCTGCTTTGGTTCCACTTTGCCATTAGAATAAAGCTTTGCAAATCTCAAAACTGCAAGTCCCAGACATGATTATGAAACATCACAGAGTGCCCCTGGGATTTTATTGTATTAAGTCAACAGGCTGCTTCTATTTGTACAACAGAGAAACTGTCAACTGCTGGGCACTTCTATGTCTCTTGACAAAATTCCCGATGCTGCTATGTGTTTCACTCCTTCCCCTTTTTGCTGTCTTGTACTTCTCTCTATTCAATTTCCTATGCAGAGCAAAAGAAGCCCCCAGATTGATAAGATCCTCATTTAATAGAAGGTAGAAAATATTAGTCACAACAGGGCTCAGAACTGAACCAATTTTTCTGCAACCTGAGCCTCCTGCCTAAGATCCCTTGGGGGTTATTAGCTTAGCCTGTAAGATGCAGGTTTTGCAAAGTGATGTGGCATGTTGATGATGCTGGAAGATCAATGCTTGGCCTGCATTCAATAGAGAGAGGAAGAGCTCAGAATGCTGCAAGGAATCAGGCCAGCTCTGCTAAGGTCAGAGCCCATCACAGGGCCTCAGGTGGGGGTCTGTGGTGGGCAGAGGTGGTGCAGAAGTGGAGTGGGCCAAGATGAGGCTGCTTTGCAGAGCATGTCTGGGAGCCAGTATTTCACCAGTAGCCAAGCGCTCACCAGCTCCATCAGCCTTCATTTACCAGCATCTTATTGAGTGTTTTCTCTATGCCGGGAAACTGCTCCTCCCGCTGAGCTTTCACAGCAATTCACTTGCAGCTCATCTGGAGTATGTATTTTGTTCTTCCTAATATTATTGTCAGCTTTTTTATACTCTTCCATTAGATTTTGAGTTTCTTTAGATCAGGGACTGTCTCTTAATCATCTCTGGCCTTTGAGCCTTGCAGAAGTAAGTGCCCAGTATGCATTTGTTGAATAACTACATTTATGAATCAATGAATCAGTCAACTGCTCAATAAACATTTATGAACTATATGCTCTAGTAGGGTCTTGGCAGGATGACTGCTTTTCTGAGACAGAAGCTCCATAATGGAGGCCTTCTTATAAAGAAACTCTCCTTCTTTGTTACTTGACTGTCCCCTAAAGTAATTGAAACTTACAGGCCACAAGTATGGAAATGGCTGATGCAAAATGATTATAATTTGGTAGGTGGGATTAGGTGCCTATGCTGTGGTTGAAATATAAGAGTTCAGTTCTCTTTTAGCGAGATGATTTTAGAAGTTTGGGGGGTTACCTATGCATGGGGAGCCCAGTCCCTGAATGACCGGTCATTCTCATTAAGAATCAAGATGATACCAGGTGGCCCCATAAGAGATAGCCAATGTGGCTATTTCTCAGGATTGGCTGCAACTTTAGAATGTCTCTTTACTTGGTGTGGGTGGCTTAGACTGGGACCATCTTTGGAAGTTCTGTTCTTCCCCCACTTGGGAGGATCTGATTTGCTTAGGTGAGAATGACAGGCTATCAGAATGCACCCCTATAGATACTTTTTACCTTCAGCTTGTACCATGACCTAAATGAAGTGATAAGAAACGACATTCTTTAATCCACGTTTTGCCTAGATGTCCCCGCTTCCTTTGCTAACAGATATTTGGAGGATGAAAATGGAATTTAACTTATGCTTATGTTCATTTGGGTCCTTATGTAAAGGGCCACTTACTAGAAAGTTAGTTCTGAAGCACAATATTAAAACAGCTACCATTTAGTGAGTTTTTACCTGCCAGTCACTGGTAAGCACTCTGCATGCATCATCTTTCTTTCATTCACGAAGTACCACTATGAGGTGGGCATTTTAATTACTATTGTATAATTGAGGAAACTGAGTTGGTGGCACCTGACTCTAACTTTTCCAAGGGTCACCAGGTCCCATGCTGAGTAAATGACAGAGCCAGGATTCCATCCCAAGCCCATCAAACAGCAATGCCATTCTCATTGCCACCATGTTGCTGGGTGCTTTGTCAGTGGCTGTGAGCATCTGAGGATGAATATCTTCTGCTTCCCCTTTAGACGCTCTGGGAACAAACTTGCTAACATCACAGGAATGTGTTTCAGCCCTCTCTCCGTCAGATATTCCTATGCAATTGCACTACAGTTTCACCTAGGATTCCTTGGGCATATACACCCTTAAAGGTTAACTCAAAGGGAAGCTCAAAATAGCCTGTGTTAAGACTTAGATTAGATACTAGGAATTTTTGTTTTTTCCCTTTGATGAGCTGAAGGCCCTTAGCTGTCAATGGCCTCCCCAAACTCACTTTTACCATTTGAATCCAATGACATGGCATGTTGACAGATGAAGGTGTGTTTTACTACCCATCTGATTTGGCTTCTGCACCTGTGTGTGTGAAGGTGTGTGCAGGGAATTTTAGCAGTTCTTTAGAGGAGCAGCAGGCATGGGTGGGCCATCAGTGTTGGCCACTGAGGCTGGAGCTTCAACTATGTCTTGGAGAATAGCCACTACATAGTGAAGGGCTCCTCTGACCTTAGGGACAGGCTTGTTGAAAACCAGTGAGACAGGATGCTCAGGATGTGGAAATACAGCTCCCTAAAGGAGGTGAATGACCTTCCACATACTTCTATTTCCTTTTGTCTTGGAGTGCTCTTATCAGAAAGTCATCTGACCCACAATTTCTCCCCACCTCAGTCAATGATGTTGGAAATTCCTTCAGGATGTGAGATTTAAAGTGCAACTACCCCTTGAAAAGGTGCCCTTCCATCCATGTGACCTGTAATACTATTCATATTTGCATGGAAGTTTACAGCAGTATGGAAGTATTTGCGCTTCCCCATCTCACTGTGAATGCTCCTAGCAATCCATAGGCGATATACCCTGTTTATGTCTTGGTTTATATAAAAGGAGAGCAAGGTCAAGAGAGTTGGAGTGACTTGCTCCAAGGCAGTAGGTGACAGTGATAGAACTGAGACCTGGAGTTTATGGTTCCAAGCCCAGAGCTCTTTTCACCACACCAGAGCTACTTCAGACTTAGTTATATTCGTGTACACTGAGTTATAGGTGGCCATTGTCCCAGCAGCTGGTCTTGCTAGTTAGAAAGAGAGGGAAAAAGCCTGGGGTACCTGCAGGAAGTGGGACCTGAGGCGACACAGGGAGGACTGAAGGTAGAGGAGGATGCAGGTAGGGAGTGGCATTCCAGTTGCCAAGTGGTGAGTCTGCTTTTAGCTCTGAAGTGGCCACAGGAACCCCTCCTAGTCCTATAAGCCCTTAAAAAATTTTTTTGTTATTGTTATGATTCGCCTGGAGCAGTGAAATGTTTTCTCCAGCTAAGCAATAATAGAAGACAGTGAGGAGATGCCAACTCGGTGATCCCATGGGAAGCCTTCTGGACTGTGGCGTTTACACAAGAGATGAGATCAGAGGAGCGGCTACCGGCTTGGTGGACTGAGAGCCCAGCTGAGCACCCCAGGAGCTGCAGAGGCCAGATCCCCAGCTGTGGGGGCACAGGCAATCCTTCTCAGGCACAAGAGGGACAGTAAGGGAGACTGTTTACATTTCTTGCCCTGGTTGGTTAAAAACAGCTCAGTAGCACCATATCGTGTATTCTTGATAAGAAGAAAGATAAAAGGAGCAAGTGCCATTGCACCCAAGCTCATGCTTTCTTCCTCTCTTTGCTCCTTCATTCAGTCCTTCTCATCTATTGAGCATGTGGGAGAATGCTGGCAGGTGCTGGGGATTCTCAGATCCTGTACTCAAGTAGCTCCCAGTTTAGATGGAGAGGCAGACATGTCAATAAAGGAATTGTAATTCAGAGTGTTAAATACCCGAAAAGAAGATAGAACTAGGCAGAGCAGCAACAGGAAAGGAGCAGAATTAACTCTAAGGGAGGTATCCACAAAGGCTTCCTGGAGGAAGTGTCATCTGAACTGGTTGTACAAAAACTGCACATGTCATGAGTGCACAGTTGATCAATTTTCAAAAACTGGAGTAAAACTGTGTAACTAGCACCCAGATCAAGAAACATGACTAGCACCTGCCACCCTCATCAAGGGGTAACCATTCTCCTGACTACTAAAGCATAGGTTAGTTTTGCCTGTTTTGAACTTTATATAAGTGGAAAAATTCTGCAAAAACTCTTTGGTGTCTGAGCTGGAGCTGAAAGGACAAATGGGAATTTTTCAGGGGATAAGTTAGAAGAGGCCATTGTGGGAAGAAGGGGAAGTATAGTTACATGTTGCTTAATGATGGGACACATTCTGAGAAATACGTCATTAGGCGATTTTATCATTGTGTGAACATCATAGAATACACTTAGACAAACTTCGACGGTATAGCCTTCTACACACCTAGGCTACCCACAAATACTTAACCACTGTGCTACAATTGCCTACAGTATTTGGTATCATAACACAACAGTATTCTGAAAGGTACAACTTGAGTCTGTGAGCATTGCCATGCTGAATACTGTAGGCAATTGTAATGCAATGGGATTTGTGTAGCTAAACATACCTAAACAAAGAAAATGTACAGTAAGAATATGGTATAAAAGATAAAAAATGGTGCCCTTACATAGAGCACTTACCATGAATGGAGCTTGCAGGACTGGAAGTTGCCGTGGGCAGGTCAGTGAGTGTGTGGTGTGTGAATGTGAAGACCTAGGACATTACAGTACTGTAGACTTTATAAACACTGTACACTTAGGCTCCACTACATTTATTTAAGAAATATTTTTTCTTCAATAATAAATTAACCTTAGCTTACTGTTATGTTTTACTTTATAAACTTTTACATTTTTAAAAAACCTTGACTCTTTTGTAGTAACACTTAGCCTTAAAACACGAATACATTGTACAGCTATATAAAAATATTTTCTTTCTTTATATCCTTATTGCATAAGTTTTTCTATTAATTTTTTTAACTTTTTAAACCCTTTTATCAAAAGTATAGACGCAGCACACATATTAGCCTAGGCCTAGACAGGGTCAGGATCATCAATATCACTCTCTCCCACCTCCACATCTTGTCCCACTGGAAGGTATTCAGGGGCAATAACAGGCCTGGAGCCGTCATCTCCTATAAGGCAATGCCTTCTTCTGCAATCCCTCCTGAAGGACCTGCCTGGGGCTGTTTTACAGTTAACCTTCTTTTTTTTAAATAAATAGAAGGAATACACTCTAACAATAAAACATACAGTATTGTAAATACATAAACTAGTAACATAATCATTTTTATCATTATCAAGTATTATGCACTCTATGTAGTTATATGGACTATTCTTCTATACAACTGGCAATGTGGTATGCTTGTTTATACCCTATAAAGGTTAACTCAAAGGGAAGCTCAAAATATCCTGTGTTAAGACTTAGATACTAGGAATTTTTGTTTTTTCCCTTTGATGAGCTGACGGCCCTTAGCTGTCAATGGCCTCCCCAAACTCACTTTTACCATTTGAACCCAATGACATGGCATGTTGTGTCATGCATCATGCATCACCACAAACATATGAGTAATGCATTGAACTTAGCATGGCTATGTCATCGCTAGGGGATAGGAATTTTTCTATCTATTATAATCTTATGGGACCCCCATCGTATATATGTTCCATCATTGACCCAAACATCATGTGATGCATGACTGTATCTTAAAGCAGAGAGGTGAAATAACATCATGTGTGTGAACACTGTTGGCTTTCAGCACTGTTGGGCCACAAAATTCCATAAACTGTTAGGAAAGAGGCATGAAATGAAATAGGATTGGAAGGCAGGGGGAGCAGGATCACGGAGAGCCTTCTATGCCAGGTAAAGGAGTTGGGCTGTGAGCCTGGAAACCTGTGATTTCCAAACCTGGCCGGCCATTGAAGTCACCTGGGCATCTGTTAAGGCCTACAGGTCCCAGGACCTACTGTCCGCAATTTGAGATTTCCAAAGTTCCTCCAAGTTTATGCCCAAGAACCCAAAAGCAAATGCAACAAAAACAAAAATAAATAGATGGGACCCAATTAAACTAAAAAGCTTCTTCACAGCAAAAGAAATAACCAGCAGAGTAAACAGACAACCCACAGAGTGGGAGAAATTATTTGTAAACTATGCATCCAACAAAGGACTAATATCCAGAATCTATAAGGAACTCAAACAAATCAGCAAGAAAAAAACAGATAATCCCATCAAAAAGTGGGCAAAAGATGTGAATAGACAGTTCTCAAAAGATGTACAAATGGCCAAAAAGCATATAAAAAATGCTCAACATCACTAATTATCAGGGAAATGCAAATTAAAACCACAATGAGAGGGCAATCTTAAGGATAAATAAAAAGTAAAAATCAGGCACACAACTAATTAATAAGATTCAAACTGGATCATGTGTCTCACTGCAAACCAAAATTTAGAGAGATAAGTTTCCTCATCTTCATATGAAGAAACTGAGGCTATGAGTAGTTTGGACCCAAGATTGAATAGCAATCAAATGTCAAAATTCAGATGGATAGAAATTGGCCTTTTTCTGCAGCTCTGTTCTGTGACTATGCACAGCCAGCCACTGAAGGAAGCCCAGCATGTTTTGACTATGACCTGTGGCTCCATATGTACTTGTTGGGATTGGGCTGGAGGTCACGCCCAGGGTCAGGTGCAGCTAGGGGTATTGCTTTGATGAAGAGTCTTCTACAGGTCACAACAGGGCAGGGGAGGACTGGCTATTCTTTCTAGAACTTTTGCCCACATACACATCAGGCTGTTAGGGGTGCAGCCTTGAGCTTGGATACTGGCTTAATCTTCTCATGTGTTGAGTTGGTCTGGGGAAAAAAAATCTAGAAATGGAGTAAGAAAAAGCTAGCACAGATTCCTTTAGCAATGTGTGGCCAGCAAGTTAAGCAGATGTGCTTTGAGACAGAAGAGATGTCAAAGAAGAAACTAGATCCGCCTGACACTCAGAGGAATCTTTAGCCTGCCCCTCTCTCAGTTTGCTCGTTTTATGGCCCTCAGAACACTGAAAGAATTACTTGGGCATCTGGAACACAAGGTTTCCCAAAGGAACTTATTACAGGGTTTTTGGAGCATGTATTAAAGATGAGACAAGTGACTGGATTAACCAAAGCAAAGGGATTGAGGTCAGGTAGGATGGCAGGCACACAGGGCAACTTTTAATAACCATAGTGCCAACCTCCCGCTTCCAAAAGGGCCAGGTCTCCTAGTCCAAACTCAAAGGCTGGGGCCACCTTGTAGAGGAACAGGAGGGCATGATGGCCCCACATGCCCCGTCCCAGGGTGCCCTTTCTTGCCTCTGCCTGCTTCTGGGTAAGGCCTTCTCTTGGTCACATTACAGCAGGTCACGGAGGACACACTGAACCCTCTTGCTCTCCAACCCTCATCTCAACTGACTCCTGAAAAAATGATTTCTCTCAGCACACTCTGAGCAGTTAGGATGTGTAAAGGGAGTGTAAGTCCTGAAGAAAAGCCCAATCGAATGACTTGAAGCCAAAAGGATGGCAGTCCAAATGTCTACATCATCTGAACTGGACAAGTCTGACATCAAGCCCAGAGTTGGGACCGCTGTAGCTTCCGCTTTGAAGTGGTTATTGCTGAGCAGTGACTCAGGGAGGCAACGGAGAGTGGAGGGAGAAAGAGGCAAGGCAGCCAGGATCTGGTCTCCCTTGTCCTCACAAATCCAGCACCAAAGTGACATCAGTGGGGCTGGGGCTGGGCTGGGCCTGGGTTGGGCCTAAGACTGTGGCTGACTGCACACCCCTACGCACTAGGGATGAGCTTCCACTCACATTCTCCGGCTGTGCATTGGCCAAATGGGTCTCATCCACATGAGTTGCATCCTCTGGCTCCATCACTTCCCTCCTAGTACTTTCTGGTAGAAGCCCCAGGTTCTTCTGAGCAAGGCTGCCCTTGTTCTATCTGGACTGAGGTGTGAGGAGGCGGTAGGGGAACCCAGTTTGAGTCTCATCTTGGACTTCCACATCCCCTGGTCCTTCCGGGGGACCCACGTCAAACTATGTCCCCAACTTCATCACATGGAGGTGAGTGGCAGGGGAAGGTCTTCATGTGTTTCCTAGTTCATCAACATCATTTTTACTATAAGCACAAGGCATCTTTTTATACTCTCCATCCATCTTGTTATTGGACAAATAGGACCAGTGGATGAAGCTCTTGTGGGAGCTTTCACTCTGAGATGCACAAAGCTGATGTGCATCTCAAGAAAGAAATGACAAAATAAACATTGAATTCTACATGTATCTCATAAAGAATAAAAATAATTCACCGACATTCTGCACATTTTTCAAAGCAAAGGGCTACCCTGAGGACACACATGACCTGCACTGTCGGGTTGCTCCTGTGTGCACTGAGTGGCTTTCCGCAGAGAAAAGCAGAGGGCCCTTGTGTGTGGGCTTCTAGTGGCATGTGAGAAACTGTCCAGAATTCACAGAGAAGAAAGAGAATGGGCAGCGGGATACATCAATAATATAATAGCTGAGAATTGTTCAGTACTGAACAAAAATAAGTAAAGTGATTGAGAAAAAGAATAGTTGTTTTTGTCTATTTCTCGTTGCAATTAAATAGAGAAAATAATAATAATAATAATAAAAGGATGGGTAGACTGAGGTATAAAGGACAATTATGAGTGCTAAATGGCTGAGGGCTTCCTTGCTTGGAAGAAAATGGGCAGAGAATGGTGCGCCTGCTGTAGTAAGTAACCTCCGAGATGTGGCTGGCAACAGGACATCCACTTCCAGGAGTCTCATAAGCAGAGCTCCAGCTGGAACACAAGTACAACAGAAGGTACCTTTGGAGACAGGGAAATATGAATGCCATTGAAACACAATCAAGCCCATGAGCATGGGTGACATTCCTGTGTCCCTGGGAGTCCAGTGGCACTGGGTTTGCCTCAGAACTAGCAGGAGACATTTTTCTCCCCAGGAGCCAGGAGCAGAAAAAGCTGGTGCTAAAAGGAATACTACCAAGCATGTGAATTTTCTTGGGGAGCTTTTTTATTCATCAGTTGTTCCCTCTCTAGACCCTCATCCCCTGGCTCTTCTACACATCTGATGGGGGCCAAATTCATGCTGGACTTCATTCCTCCTGGTTACCTGTCAGAGTTGTACATCAATCTGATAAATGAAAACCTCCAGGAGTCAGCTGATCATGGTCCTTGAGCATACTGCAGTAGAGGGAGAGAGACAGAACTGGTTCTAAGTGCAGAGAAGTGGAAGAAATGGATACAATACAGCAAACAGGGCCAGGTGTGGTGGCTCATGACTATAATCCCCGGACTTTGGGAGACTGAAGAGGGCAGATCCCTTGAGGATCAAGAATCAGAAAGTTGGCTGGGCGTGGTAGCTCACGCCTGTAATCCCAGCACTTTGAGAGGCCAAGGTGGGCAGATCACTTGAGGTCAGGAGTTTGAGAAAAGCCTGGTCGACATGGTGAAACCCTGTCTGTACTAAAAATACAAAAATTAACCGGGTGTGGTAATGCGCCCCTGTAATCCCAGCTACTGGGGAGGCTGAGGCAGGAGAATCCCTTGAACCTAGGAGGCAGAGGTTACTGTGAGATCCCTCCACTGCACTCCAGCCTGGGCAACAGAGTGAGAACTCTGTCTCAAAAAAAAAAAAAAAAAAAAAGAAAAAGAAAAGAAAAAAGAAAGAAAAGAAAAAAAAGGGCAAAAGACTCAAATGGACACTTCCCCAAAGAGGACATATAGATGGCAATTAAGCACATGAAAAGCTGTTAAACGGAATTAGCTATTAGGGAAATGCAAATTAAACCACAATGAAATACTATTACACATTTGTTAATACGGATAAAATAAAAATAAAATGAAAATACGAAATATAAGCAAGGATGTGGAGTAACAGAAAATGTCATATGCTGCTAGTGGGAATGAAAAATGATGTAGCCATTCTGGAAAACAGTTTAGCAGTTTCTTATAAAGTTTAAGCATAAATTTATTGTACAAGTCAGTAATTCTGCTGCTGGGTATTTACTTTAGAGAAATGAAAATTTGTGTTCCTACAAAAACCTGTACAAAAATATTTATAGCAGTTCTATTCATAGTCTCCCAAACTGGAAACAACCAAAATTTCCTTCAACAGATGCACATATAAACAAACTGGAATATACAGTGGACTACTCAGCAGTAAAAAGGAATAAACTATTAATACATGCAACAACATAGATGAATCTCAAATGCATTATGCTGAGTGCAAGAAACCAGTCTCAAAGGCTGCATAGTGACTCTGTTTCCAGGAAGAAAAAGATATGCTTTTCTCCACTCCTCAAGATAAGTAGCCTAGAAATCATATATAAAACAAGCATAAGAAAACTGAGGGGTTCAAAGAGCTAAAAGCAGAACTACCATTCAACCCAGCAATCCCATTACTGGGTATATACCCAGAGAAATATAAAGCATTCTACCATAAAAACTCATGCTCGCAAATGTTCATTGCAGTAATATTCATAATAGCAGAGACATGGAATCAACCTAAATGCCCGTCAATGACAGATTGGATAAAGCAAATGTGATACATATCCACCATGGAATACTGTGCAGCCATAAAAAAGAACAAGATGATGTCTTTTGTGGGAACATGGACGGAGTTGGAGGCCATTATCCTTAGCAAACTAATGCAGGAACAGAAAAACAGAAAACCAAATGCCACATGTTCTCATTTATAAGTGAAAGCTAAATGATTAGAACTCATGAACGCAAACAAGGGAACAGCAAACACTGGGGTCTATTTGAGGGTAGAAGGTGGGAGGAGCAGAAATGATAACTATTGGGTATTGGGCTTAATACCTCAATGATAAAGTAATCTGTACAACAAACCCCTGTGACACTAGTTCACCTATGTAACAAACCTTCGCATGTAACCCCAAACCTAAAACAAAAGTTAAGAAAAAAGAAAGAAAAGAAAATCGAGGGTTGAGAGAAGAAGGCAGACCAGCTAGCGACCTTAGGATTTGAGGAACAACAAGGGGTTGAACTTCCTGTGGTATTTTTTTGTTTTATGTTGTTGTTGTTGTTTGCCTTATATACCCAAAAATGGGTGCTCAAGAAACTGGCAATCTGGAAATGCTGATGAATGCAGACAAAAAAAAGCTCCAACAAAAGTCTTTTCTCTCTAGCCAGACAACTAAGGAAAGGGCATCTTGACCAAACAGAAACATTTTAGAAATTAACTGCTTTACTGGTGACAACCATTGTGAAAAAAAAAAACAAAAAAGCAAAAAACTTGTAACCTCCATACCAGCAATGATCAAATGTGGAACCTAAACATTTAACAGGCTGCAAGAAGTTGCCTGTCCTGCTCCCCATTGGGGTAGCGTCAGGACTCACAGAGAGTCAGGGCTTTTCATCATTACACAGAGTAAAGAGCCATTCACCCCCATGGTGCCTGTGGTGGCCATGTGGAGATCAGTAAGAAGCAACCCTACCTCACCGAGCCAGGAGGTTGTCAGTGGAGGCACAGTGGAGACTTAGAACTCCCATCCCGGCCCAGCAGTGATAAGGAGCCCCAATCTCAGGTGTCAGTGGAGGCCAAGTGAAGAGCCTGGTCTTCCATCTCCACCTCGCTGTAATAAAATAGTGTCTCTCTCCCATTTTCCTGCCCCAGCAGTGTCAGAGAAAGTCTGTTAAAATAGAAGACTTAAGTAAGATCCTGAATCTCATAACTTATACCCCAAATGTCCGGGTTTCAATAGAAAATTATTTATCATACCAAGAACCATGAAGATCTCAAACTGAATAAAAAGAAAATGATCATCGGATGCCAACACCAAGATGACAGAAATGTTAGAATTATCTAACCAGGATTTTAAAGGAGCCATCATTAAAAAGCAATTATGAACATTCTTAAAACAAATGAAAACAGAAAGTAGTAAAGAAATAGAAAGTATAAAGAAGAACCAAATGAAAATTTGAGAATGAAAAAATACAATAATGAAAGTAACAAGCTCAATGGGCTCAATAAGAAAATGAAGGAAAAAGAGGAAAAAATCATCGAATCTGAAGATAGAGCAATTACCCAAATTACCATCAATGTGAACAACAGAGAGAAAAAACACTGAGAAAAAAATGAATAGTCTCTGCACTTGTGGGGCCATAACAAAAAAAAAACACATTTTGTCATTGGAGTGAAGAAGAGATAAAGGGCAGAGCTGAAAAAGCACTGAAAAAACAATAGTTGAAAATTTCCCAAATTTGGCAAAATACCAAAAAAACCCTATAGATTTTTAAAGCAGATTCTAAAAGTTTTATCCAAATAGGATAAAACCAGAGAAACTTATGTCAAGACATATGTTGAGCAAACTTCAGAAAATTAAAAACAAAGAAAAAAGTCTTCAATGCAAAGAGAAAAATAATACTTTACTCATAAGAGAAAATAATTCAAATAACAGTGGATTTCTTATCGGAAACCATGGAGGCAAAAGGAAGTGGCACAACATTTTTCAAGTGTTGAAACATGTTAACTCAGAATCCTATATCCAAGGAAAACATCCTCAGGAATGAAGGGGAAATGAAAACATGCTCAGTGAACATGAAGTCAAACTAAGAAAAGTTATCACTAGCAGACCTACTCTAACAGAATGGCTAGACAAAGTTTTCTAACAGAAGGAAATGATAAAAGACAGAATCTTGGAATGGCAGGAAGAACAAAAAAAACATGGTAATCAAAAATATGGGTAAAGATTCCTCGAGTATTTTAGATTTTGTTTGATAATTGAAGTAAAAATTATAATACTGTCTTAGGTGGTTCTAAATGTGAAAAGGAAATATTTAAGAAAATTATAATAAGGAGAGGATAAAAAGGCATAAAGGGAGGCTAAGGTTTCTACACCTCATATGTACTGATAAAATGATGGTGTGTCACAGGAGTAGAATTTTTAAAAAGTGATGGCAGCAGTAGACTATGATGTGGACATATAACACAATACCAAAAGAAACTATTGAAAAAGCTATATAAGGAGATATAGACTGGGCACGGTGCCTCATGCCTATAATCCCAGCACTTTGGGAGGCCGAGGAGGGTGGATCACTTGAGGTCAGGAGTTTGAGACCAGCCTGGCCAACATGATGAAACCCTGCCTCTACTAAAAATACAAAAATTAGCCAGGTGTGGTGGACTCCTGTAATCCCAGCTACTCAGGAGCCTAAGACAGGAGAATCACTTGAACCCAAGAGGTGGAGGCTGCAGTGAGCCGAGATCATGCTACTGTACTCCAGCCTGGGTGACAAAGCAACACTCCATCTAAAAAACAAACACACAAACAAACAAAACAAAACAAAAACACAAAGATCTAATCAGCATTTATAGAATACTGTGCCTAACAACAGCAGAATATGCATACGTTTTTTCAATTTTCAGTGTAACATATCCCAAAATAGATCAGATCCAGGGCCATAAAATAAACTTCAACAAATTTAAAAGAAATCATACAGAGTGTGTTCTCCTGACCACAATAAACTCAAGTTAGTGATCAATAACAGAAAGAAAATGGAAAAAATGACCAAACACTTAGAAACTAAATAACTTCTAAATAATACATAAATCAAAGAGAAAGTCTCAGAGAAATTAAAAATTACATTGAACTAAATGTAAATGAAAATGCAACAAAATTTTTGTGGGACACAGCTAAAGCAGTGCTGAGAGTAAAATGTATAGCACTAAATGCATACTCTAGAAAAAGGAGGAAAGTGTCAAAACAATAATCTAAACTCCCGTCTCAGGAACATAGAGAAGAAGAAAAAAATTAGCCCAAAGCAAGCAGAAGGAAGAAAATCATAAAATTAACCACAGAAATAATGAAATTTAAAACAGAAAAACAGTAGAGGAAATCAATGAAACAAAAAGTTGATCCTTTGAAAGATCAATAAAATCAACAAACCTCTCTAGCAAGACTGACAAAAAAGGAGTGAAGACACAAATTATTAATATCAGGTATGAAACAGGGCATATCACTACAGACCATGGAGGCATCAAATGGTTAATAAAAAAAGATAGTATGAACAACTCTACACACACAAATTTGACAAGTTACATGAAATGGACAAATCTATTCAAAAATACAAACTACTACAACTCACCCAATATGAAATAGATCATTTGCATAGCCCAAAGCTACTAAATAAATGGAATTAATTGGTAGTGAAAAAACGCCTAACAAAGAAATCTTCAGGCTTAAATGGTGTCTTTGGAGAATAAAAAAGAATAAAGAAGAATTTACTTCAATTCTACAAAATATTTTCCAGAAAATAAAATAGGAAGGAACCCACCCCAATTTATTTCATCAAGCTGGTATTACCTGCATACCAAAACCAGACAAAGACAGTACAAAAAAAGAATATTACAGAACAATATCTTTCATGAATACAGATGCAAAATTTCTAAGAAAATAGGAAATAGAACTTAGCAATATATAAAAAGAAGTATTCTGTTGCTAAATAGAATTTAGCAATATATAAAAAGTCACCAATTAGAGTTCATTCCCGAAATATAAGGCTGGCGCAATCAATGTAATTCACTATGTTAACAGACTAAAAAAGAAGGAGAAAAATTAGATGATCATATCAACTGATGTAAAAGAAAAAGCATTCAACAAAATTAAATGCCTATTCATGATAAAAAGTTTTTTTGAAAAACAATAATAGAAAGAAACTTCAACTTGATAAAAAGCATCTACGAAAAACTTGCAGCTAACATTATACCTAATTGTAAAGACTGAATACTTTGTTCCTAATATCAGCAACAAAACAAGGATGTGTGCTCTCATCACTCTTATTCAACATAGTGCTGGAAGTTCTGGCCAGTTTAATCAGGCAAGAAAAGAGAATAAAAGGCATATAGATCAGAAAGGAATAAATAAAACTGTTTCTATTTCAGATGAAATGCTTATTTGCCTAGAAATGACATGGCATCCACAAAAAAACATCCAAAACTAATCAATTAATTCAGCAATGTAACGGTACGAGACAAACATACAAAAATCAGTCATACATCTATATACTAGCAGTGAAGACTTGAACACTACAATTAAAAATACAATATCATGTACAATAGCCTTAAAAAAATAAATACTTAGGTAAGTCTAACAAAATGTACAAAACTTAAATTCAGAAAATCACATGACGTTGATGAAAGAAATCATCTAAATAAATGCAGAGACATGCCATGTTCATGAATTGGAAATTTTGTATATATATATATATATATATATATATATATATATATATATATATAAATATAAAATATACATTTCCTATATATATGTATTTCCTATATATATTTCTAATATATATATATTTCCTATATATATATTTCTAATATATATATATTTCCTATATATATATTTCTAATATATATATATTTCCTATATATATATTTCTAATATATATATATTTCCTATATATATTTCTAATATATATATATTTCCTATATATATTTCCTACATATATATTCAGAAAACCCATCTCCTGCACAACATGAATTGGAAAATTTAACAAAGATGTCAATTTCTCCCAAATTGATATACACTTATTGCGATACAATTATCTCTCGATATTTTCAGGAAATTGGCTCCAGGACACCCTCCTCCATACCAAAATCCTTGGATGCTCAAGTCCCTCAATAAAAAGGCATGGTATTTGCATAAAACCTAAGCACAGCCTCCCATATACTTTAAATCATCTTTAGATTACTTATAATACCTAATACAATTAAATGTATGTAAATAGTTGATATGTTGTATTGTTATTTGTATTTTTTATTGTTGCATTGTTATTTTTTATTTAAAAAATATTTTGATCCTTGGTTGGTTGAATCTACAGATGTGAAACCAATTGATACAGAGGATCGGCAGTACCTATCCAAACCCTGATAAGATTTTTGCAGACATGGATAGAATCATTCTAAGATCTATGTGAAAAGGCAAAGGAACTAGACTAGCTAAAATATTTTGGAAAAAATAAATAAAGTGAAAGGAAACCATCTGCCACATTTTAAGACTTACTGTACTGCTACAGTGATCAAGTCTTTGTGGTATTGGCAAAGTAATAGACACATAGACCGATTGAATGGAATACAGAAACCAGAAATAGACCCACACAAATATGCCAAACTGATTTCTTTTGGTCACAGCTTTACTGGGATATAGTTCACACACCATACAACTCACCTACTTAAAATGTAAAACCCAGTGGTTTTTAATATATTCAGAGTCATGCTACCATCACCACAATCAATATTAGACCACTTTTATTACCCCCCAAAGAACTTTGTACCCTTTATCAGTGACCCATACTTTTCTGCAACTTCCCCCATAGCCCTAGACCAACCACTAGTCTATTTTCTGCCTCAATAAATGTGCCTATTCTGGACATTTTATGCCCAACTGACTTTAACAAGAGTCAAGAGCAACTGCATAGAGAAAGGAAAGCCTTTCAACAAATGATGCTGTCACCAATGGACACCTATAGGCACCTATAATCAATCAATCAACCAACCAACCAACCAACCAACTAAATAACCAATATTGGCCTAAGTCTCACACCCTTAAGCAAAAGTTAACTCAAAATAGATCATGGACTTAAATGTAAAACACAAAAATATAAAACTTTTACCCCAAAACTAGGAGAAAATCTTTGAGGTCTACAGCTAGGCAAAGAGTTTTCAGACTTAATACCAAAAACATAATCATGAAAGAAAAAATGATAAGTTGGACTTAATGAAAATTTAAAATTTTTGTTCTATAAAAGCTCCTGTTAAAACGATGAAAAGACAAGCTACAGAATGGAGGAAAATATTTACAAATCACATATGCAGCAAATGATTAGTATCTAGAATATATAAAGAACTCTCAAAACTCAACAATAAAAAAGCAAATAATCCAATTAGATCATGGGCAAAAGACATAAACAGACATTTCACTGAAAAAGATATACAAATGGTAAATAGCACATCAAAAGTTGTTCAACATCATCAGCCATTAGGGAAAAGAAAATTAAGATGACAATTTTATCACCACACACCTATCAGAATGGCTAAAAACAAATCGTGGTAACATTAAATGCTGATGATGATGTAGAGAAACTGGACTACTCACATATTGCTGGCAGGAAAGTAAAAAATGTTACAACCAATCTGAAAATGATTTGTCAGTTTCTTTAAAAACTAAACATGTAACTACCGTATGACCCAGCAATTACACTCCTGGGCAATTATCCCAGAGAAATGAAGACAAATGTTCATACAAAATCCTGTAGACTAATGTTTACAATAGCTTTATTCATGGTAGCCAAAACCTGGAAACAGCCCAGATATCCTTCAATGGGTGAATGGTTAAACAAACTCTGGTACATCCACACTGCAGAATAATACTCAGCAGGAAAAAGGAATGACCGATAATACAGACAATAATCTAGATGCATTTCCAGAGAATTATGCTGAGTGAAAAAATCCTATCACAAAAGGTTACATACAGTATGATTCCTTAAATATGGCATTCTCGAAATGACAAGACTTTAGAAATGGAGACTAGATTAGTGATTGCCAGGGATTAAGGAGTCGGTGGGGGTGGAAAGGAAGTGAGTGTGGGAATAAAAGGACAATGAGGAATCCTTGTGCTGTTGGAAATATTCTATATCTCAACCTTATAGTTTTGCAATATCATTAAGGGAAATTGGGTAAAGTGCGCATAGAATCTCTGTATTATTCTTTACCACTGCATAACCTACATTTATCTCAAAATTAAAAGTTGAAGGTAAAAAAAGATTACATACTGAATTATTCCATTTATAGGACATTCTTGAAAAAAATAAAACTATGGAGATGGAGAACAGATCAGTGGTTATTAGGGGTTAGGAGAGCTTCTTTTCTATGATTTTGCAGTCTGAAGTTGCCATACCTGGAAGCAGAACCCAAGTCTTCTAATTTCTGAGAGCATGATCTCAAAAAGCCAGGGAAGATGGCCGTTTTAGTATCCAAGGGACATTTTTGTCCATCTAGAGAAAGAAGCATTTCACAAGGTAACTGATCATTCGGGAGTCCCACAGTGTGGTTAAGCAGGACAGCAATAAACATCCTTGGGTGTTTCCTGTCTCCTGCTTTTGGCTTGGGCAAGGAAAGCCATTTGCTTTGGAAACCAGTCAGAATCAAGCCTAGTGAGAATTAAGTCTACCTTCATCAAGAACCCATCTCCCTCAGGCTTCTCCAGGAGGTGATCTAGGTCCTTTGGTGGGGGCTGATGTAACTGCCAGACTGTGGGGCAGCTTAACGCTCCTACCAGATGACACTGCTGTCAGGGGCAGGAGCCCTGGGTCCCAGTGATGGCCCTATCGCTTACTCCATCACCTCTCCAATAAAAAGCAGGGGACAGACTTGCTCTTGGGCCCTTTCAGCTCCTGTGTTCTGAGATTCTGACAGCTGAGATCTCTGAGGCCTGCAGCTACCTGGGGCCCACTGTAAGCACCCCAAGGGCAGGGCTGGGGCTGGCCCCCCACTCTGTGCTCAGAGACAAGTGAAGGCACAGCTACAGCAAAGAGTGGGTAACAGGGAATGCCGTGTCATCTGATCCTTAGCTGATTAATCCTTTGAAAACGCACTCTGAGGACATGTTCGTGAAGGACGTCACTGAGGTGGGGGAAGAATGCAGCCTGTTGTCTGGGCCCAGGACACAAAGGCCTGTCTGTTTGCACGTGGGCACTCCTGATCCAGGCCGGATCAGCTGCTCTTGTTTCCTCCTTCGCCATCACAATACAACTACAGAGTTACAGTCTGCCCTTCAACCCCCGCCCCAGGAGAACTGGGCAATGGGATTTCTGCCCACTGGGTGCCCGCTGAGCACAGCCAGTAATACCAGCCTCCCGGCCCACTTGGCTCCTAGTGAGTGTAGAATTTCAATAGCCTGCTGCTCCCTGCCCTCATTTACTGCCCTCTCTTATCTTCCCTTTCTCTCACCCTCCCAGACACACGTGTGAGTGGCAGATCCAGGGTGATCTGGACCCTGCTGATCATCAGTGAGCCAAGCCTGGAAGCCTGAGCCATCACCAGCTGGGTGGTAGCCAGCTGTGGCTCAGGGCCACTCTAGAAACACTTGCCTTGGGCTGCAGCTGCCCTGGGCTACTACCCTGATCCCTAGGAAACGGGGCATGGGGCATTTTCCTGAACAGAGCCCTTGCCAATGCCCAGCAAGAAACCAGTGTGGCACTGGGATTGGAAAGCCTGGAGTGTGAATATGGACTCTGATGTGCCAACTTACAGAAGAAGCATAGGCAAGATTCTTAGTCTCTGTGAGTCTTGGTTTCCTTGTTTACGTAAGATGAAGATAATCATTATTGCCCCATAGGATTGTTAAGAGGTTTCCATGGGCATTCAAGCAGTGCTTAGCATGGGGTAGACATAGAGTAAGCACTGAAATCACACACACACACACACACCTCACACACACATCAGCCACTCAAGACCATTCATTTGTTCATCAGTTGAGTGCCTTTTAAGTGTCAAACACTGTGCAAGACACTTGAGAGGAATCAGTGATCAAAACAGACAAAAATTCCTAGCATCATGTCATGCAACTTCCAATGCAGTGAGACAGACAAGAAACAATAAACGTGACAAACAAGGAGAGTATAATAGTATAGTATGTCAGAGGGGCTGGGGCTGTCAGGAAAAAGAACAGAGCAGGGTAAGAGGAACCAGAAGGTGGGAGTAGGGGAAGGTCCAATGTTTAACAAAGTGGTCAAGAAAAGCCTTATTAAGAACGTGACATTGATGTAAAGATCTGAAGGAGGTGTAGGAGGGAGTCAGGCAGGTTTGGGGAGAAGGAAGTTCCAGGCAGAGGGAACAGCCCTGAAAAGTGCCCAAAGTGGAGGTGTGCCTAGTGTCTCCATACACTAGGAGGAGGTCGGCTGTGCTAGGAGAGTGAATGAGGGGCAATACTGAGAGCTGAGGAGAGGGATGAAAGCAGGCTAGATGCAGGAGGACCTTTGCATTGTCTGCTGGGGCCGCCTACCGAAGTTCCACAAACTGAGTGGCTTAAACAACAGAAAAGTACCAAGTTCCGGTGACCAGAAGTCCTTATAAGGTATCGTGTCCCTGGATTTCCCAACAGGTTTCTTCTTCTTATTCCTCTGCAGAAAGGTGTAATTTGGGGACCCTTCCTTTTATCACCTCTCCTGCCAGGCAACACGGGCTGGGCTTCTGTGAGCTTTTCTTGCCTGCCACTGGTCCTTTCTTTCTTCCTTGAACAAACTATTCAGGCCTCAGAAGTCTCTCATTCTTATCTGGGTTTATCTGCAGCATTCCTGATGCGGGGTCAGTGTGCATCTTATGGCTCCACTCCTTCCTGCTGTGAGCACCTGAGAATGGTCATATCCTTGCTAGTTTTCTTATCAGTCTTCCCTGACCTGAGAGGCCCTTTCCTGCCTTCAGTTCCATTCTAGTTGGGTTGGTTGGCCCTACCCTGTATCCAGCTAAACTCAGCCCACTGCTTCTCTGGATAGGTATTTGTAGAAGGATCAACCCTAAAAATCAATCCAATTATTATAAATAAAAATCAATAATAATACCCAGTGTGGCCGGGCATGATGGCTCATGCCTGTAATCCTAGCACTTTGGGAGGCTGAGTTGGGTGGATCACCTGAGGCCAGGAGTTCGAGACCAGCCTAGCTAACATGGTGAAACCCTATCTTTACTAAAAATATAAAAATTTGTTGGGCGTGGCGGCATACACCTGTAATCCCAGCTACTCGGGGCGTTGAGGCAGGAGAATCGCTTGAACCCGGGGTGTGAAGGGTTGCAGTCATTGCACTCCAGCCTGGGTGACAGAGCAAGACTCTATCTCAAAAAAGAAAAAAAAAAAAAAGAACCAGTGCTAGTGATGGTTCCCTTGTGGCTGGTCATGGCATATATCATTATAATGATTTAGGAAAGTAATTTGATAATATGTGTGAACTATCATGAGATCTAAGGGTGCTTGTACCCTTTCATTCAGGTATCTCACTTTTGCAAATTTAGCTAAAGAAAATAAACCTGAAGAGGAAAATACTTCATGTAAATAAAAATATACATCACAGAAATTTATAACATGGAAGACTTGGAAAAAACAGCAATGACTAATATTTATTAAGTATTTATTATATACCAGGCATCATTAAGTTCTTAATATATTATTTCACCTAATCCTCACTACATCTTCATAAGATGGGAACAACGAGATAGAACCTGCAATGACCATGTAACTCCTGTAATTTCCTCAGGCACCTACCAAGTGCTGTAGTTTAGTCTACTGGCCTTGAGGACTGCCCTACAGCTACATTAATCTTGATCTTGTACCCAATCCTTTCCTGCCCCTGCCCCCTCCCTCTAATAATTAGACTACCACAGGGTAAGTGCTGTGACATAGCCAATTAATGACAAGAATCACTACTGATTCTTGCAAGCTCTCCTCCCCCCTCTGTATAAAGTTAGATTAATGACTCTGACAGGACGTTAAGTGAATTGGTTTGATTTTTGTAATTGAAAAAATTGGGGGTAGGGCATTACTTTAATTCCAGCTCCTCCTTCAAACCTTCAAGATCTTCTGGATCCCAACTCTTTTGTTTAATATAGTAACTATCTCTCTCAAATTTTTCACTGTAGATCCCATAGCACATGCGCAGTGCCAAGAGACCCTCTCTAGGTTCAGATAATAGTGCTGAAACTCTTCCTTTCCTACCACCTTTAAAAAAAAAAAATTAGGCTGTGTGCAGTGGCTCATGCCTGTAATCCCAGCACTTTGGGAGGCTGAGATGGGAGGATTGCTTGAGCCCAGGAGTTTGAGACCAGGCTGGGCAGCATGGTGAGACCCCCATCTCTACAAAAAAACAAATTAGTTGGGAGTGGTGGTGTACACCACGCCTATAGTTCTAGCTACTTGGGAGGCTGAGGTGGAAGGACTGCCTGGGCCTGGAAGGTCGAGGCTGCAGTGAGCCATGATCACACCAGTGCACTCCAGCTTGGGTGACAGAGGAAGACTCCATCTCAAAAGAAAGAGGAAGAAGGAAGGAAGGAAGGGGAAAGAAAGAAGGAAGGAAGGAAGGAAAGAAAGAAGGAGAAAGAAAGAGAGAGAAAGAAAAAGAAAGAGGAAGGAAGGAAAGAAGGAAAGAAGGAAGGAAGGAAGGGAAAGAAAGAGAGATTAAAGTACTTATGAACTCCTCACATAGTAAGCCCAAAATAGAGCTTTTATCAGCTATCTGGTAGGTCCAAACCATGGGTTGAGTACTGGGTTAGTTCTTTGGCAAACTGCCTGAGTTCTCTGACCTTGAATAGGCATGACCATCCACTTCACAGAATTGCTGTGCAGATGATGAAGAAGTAGGTGACAGTGCCTGCTACAGTACTTGGTACATCACACACATCCTCAACACACATCCATTCATTCATTCACTCACTCATTAATTCAAGCTGGCTTCTCCTCCATCGTTCACTCAACATATGTTGCTAGGAATGTAGATGCAGAGCAGAACTGGTCCTGAGCAGGTCCCTACGCCTGACAGCTGCTGGTGAGTGTAAGGTCCTGGCCCGGAGGCAGAGCCCAGGTCTGATTCAGCGCTTGTAGCCCCACCATTTCTATTAGGAGAGGCTGGCTTCCTTGCACCCTGTCCCACCGCAGCTGGCTGCCTTTTCTCCAGAGGTGCAGAGAGGAAGGGAGGCATGAAGTGGGAAGTGCTGTCTTGGCAGAAAGACTGCTTTGGCCTGTATGGGGCCATATACACTTGAAGAATTAAGCTTTTCTGGTTTGGAGTCAGTCTATTCATCTTTTTTTTTTTTGAGTGGAAACATTATGTTTATTGAGTATATGTTCTTCAAAAGCAAGGAGTGTTTTTCAATCTAAAATTAACACTCCCTTTTAGGAATGCTTATTGCCCACAGAGATTCCATGCTAAAATCTCAATCCCTTTAGTGGTTATATTTTTTGAAAAAAGGAGTGGGTCAAGTTTCCTAAAGGAAGTTGCTGTTGAGTTCATGCAAGTTAATTATTTTTCCACTGGCATCCCCTCCTTGCCCATCCTCTTGTCACCCACTGACAACCCTAACTTGTCACCCTTATTCCAGACATCAAGCTGAGTCCTTGAAGTGGTCGGAGGGACAAAACAGAATTCCTGGAGACAGTGTCCTAAGGGAGTGCCAGAGGCACTCATTTGTTTGACAACTAATTTTGGAGGCAGGTGCTCTTCCTTGTCTTAGGATCTTCCAGTCAACAAGGCTGAAAATCTCCCTGCCTCCTGGAGCTTGCTTCTGTGGAAGAAGGCAGTCAGCAAACACATGAACAAAGACAAGTTCAGGGAGCTGAAGGTGCTGGAAAGAGGAGGAAACAAGGGTTTGTGGGTAAAATAATGTGCCCAATGTCGTGCACTTTGTAGGGGACAGAGGACTCAATACGACTTGGATCTGACACTGGAATTCACCTGACTGTGCTACACAGGCTCTCCTGCATAGCTAGTGCTTCCACCAGCAGGGGTGACAATTAGACCTTACCTTTGCCTAGTATTTTATACACTTCCAAGCGATTTCCAGCACATCACCTCATTTCACCTTGGAACATGATTATTTCCACCTTTTCCTCTGAGGCCTGCCACGAATGTAAAGGAAAATGGTAGGAGCCGATCCTCTAGCAACGGAGCCAATTAAGCTTCCTGCAAATGTAGAGCAGTTAAATCCCCATGACATGAAGGACCAATAAAAGCTTTGAATTGGCCATGTCTAGAGCAGAACCTTGTGGGCCGGAATTTAAATAGGCAAAGGTCTTTGCTTTCTCCTCCTGTGACTTACAGAAACTAGTTCTTATTCAGCCTCTGCAATGTGGAAAAGAGTCGCTGATAGCAGCTCCTGTATTCTTAGGTGCTGTGGGGATACTGCAGCAGCTCTCTGTCCTTCCAGTGTCTCCAGGGAAGAACATCTTCCTCTCAAGTGAACAGTGCTTACCGCTTCAAGCATCCAGTCTCAGCAATAAGGTCAGCGTTTGACTGTTGACAAAGTATTTTGGCATACTTGATCATGTTTGATGCTCACATAATCCCACTGTGTAGCTTCTCATAATCTTTGTAACTTTTGGATGGGGAAACTGAGGGTCAGGCTGAAGGCACCCGATGGGTATGTTTCTGTGGGAATGGCAGACCAGCTGGGCCTTGAGACTCAGGATTCCTGACACCAAGATTCCTCCTCGCTCTGCCACTGAAAGGACGCTTGCTTTTGTGCTGGCTTTGGAAGGAACACTTTCTAAAATGTGTTATATATTTGCCTGCCTCTTACAGCAGAGGACACTGGGGGTAGGGAGTGTGTGGGACGGTGTAACATTTTCTTGACAAATATAGGTATTTTTATGAACACATGGCTCTCCATTCTGCATAGCATTGTGCCTGGGTATTACTTTTTCTTACTCCACCTTTTGATACCACTGGGCCTGCTCAGCCCTTGTCCTCTCTTAATTTTGAGGATTCCAATCAGAAGATGCTTATTACAAATTGTTGTAGGCAAATTCAGTAAGAGCGTAGATCGCTATAACTCATCTGAGGGGCAATTAGGCAATGAGTTTAAGAAGCTTTAAAAATATTTGGCCAGGTACAGTGGCTCACGCCTATAGTCCTAGAAGTTTGGGAGGCTGAGGTGGGAGGATTGCTTGAGGCCAGGAGATTGAGACCAGCCTGGGTAACATAAAGAGACCCTGTCTCTATTTTAAAGGAAATTAAAAAAATATTTAAAGAAGTTTATAATTTTTGATCCCATAATATCCTAAAAGAATATTCAGAAGTGTGCAAAATTATTTCTGTATAAGATTATTCATCATGGCATTATTTATAAATTTTGAAATGGAAAGCAATCAATATAAGGAACAATTAAACACTGATTAAATAAAACACATGACATCCACGTGATAGAATATTACATAGCCATTAAAATTGCAAAAAAAATCCAATCAAATAGAAGTATGATCTATTCATAATGTTTGTTGTAAAACAGCACGCACATTTGAATCACAGTTTTGAAAAAAGTAATAAATAAACACAAATAGAAAAATAATAGGAGCATACACGCCAACATTTTATAGGAGGTGCTTCTGCATGTGGGGTGTTGGGTAGTGTTTTTTTTTAATGCTTTTGTATTTTCTATGTTGAACACGTGCTCCTTTTGACATTTTAAAAAAATGACTGAAATATTATTTAGGCACGAAATATTGGCTACATGCTACATGAACCACCGAGGCACTGAGTAAGGGCCAGGTCAATGGGTATGACTATCAGACATGAAAGTGGCTTGATGAGGCTGAGAAAATGTTTTTGCTGATTTCTGAACTTGGGGCTCTGTTCTGAAGGTCTCAAAAAAGCTGTTATGGAAGGAGAACTATTATTTGCCTTAAGGATTTTAGTCTTGCTGGAGAGAAAATAGCCCATCAAACTATGAGAGAGCACAGGAAGGAGGGGGTGTCCATGTGGGCCCCACAATGACAAGAGGCAGGAGCTGTGTGTGGGCAGCTGGGCCTCGAAGGGCAGATGGAAAGTCAATAGGGGGAGGAAAGGGGGCGGCAGAGCCCTGCCTCGGTGGCAGGAGGGGTTTCCTTCTGCTCCTTCCCTAGAAATCCAAGTCGCTTGTTGTAGCTCTGCTTGGACCAATGAATCCCAGAAGCTGTGTGCTGGGTCAGAGCATGTGTTGCCAGACCATCTGTGAGGAGCCTGACCCAGCCTGGCATGCCATAGGGATGCCCGTGGAAGGGCATGGCCCTACCCAGCACCAGCTGGGAGGGAACCTGCCTAGCCGCCCATTGCCCTGAATAAATCTGGGTTACAGCTGCCAAAGCAGTTTGCCCGGTGCTTGTGCTGTCCTGCCGAGCAGCCCGGTGCCAGCCGGGCAGGAGTGTGGAGGGTGCACGAGGTATGGGCTGAGGCCTCACCATGGCATCTGCTGTCTGAATAAGAATTCCAAGTCTCCATGTGGCCCTTTATTACTGATAATATGCCTTGGGTTGTGGGTAGCAGCATATTCATAGGAATACTAAGTGTATACAGGTGCATGTGCCCCAGGCCACCACCCCTACCTCCCCACATACACACACACCAGGCCCTGAGCATCTTTAGATTGGTGGGTCGGTGGGAATGCAGCCCCTGTCCCTTCTTGTCCTCATCCCACAGCCCAGCATGGAGGTGCCATCCTTGTGAAGCCCCATCGCGGCTGACTGGGCTCCTGGCAGCTCCATCTTCTGGAGTGAGTCAGCCAGATTCTGGGGCCTTCGCTGCTCTGAGAACCTGCCAGAGTTGGGACAAGCCTCTGTCTTCCTGGGTGATTTGGGGAGGTCCACGCTCACTCTGCTCACCCACCCCAGCTTCCTCAGCTTCACAAGAAGGATCAGGCAGGTGAGAGGAGTCCCTGGCTTACCTCAACCTAAATAAGCCACAAAGGGAAGTGTGACAAGGCTTAACTGCCAATTGTAGTTGTTAATGCTGGTGTGTGTTGTAGTTAACTGCCAAAAAATCTTCTAAGAAGATGAGATGCCTTTTATTCATTCATTCAACAGATATTTATTCATTTAATAGATATGCATGTTAAGTGCTAGAAGAAATGGGAATGGAGAAGAAAAGACCCAGCAATTCCACTTTCATATATATGCACCCAAGATAATTAAAAATATATGTCCACACAAAACTTGTACACAACTGGTCATAGCAGAATTATTCATAATGGCCAAAAAGCAAAACAACCCAAATATCCATCAACTGATGAATGGATTAATAAAATGTGATGTATCCATAGTGAAATATTATTTGGCCATAAAAAAGGAATAAAATACTGATAGATGCTGCAGCATGGATAAACCTTGAAAGCATTCTGTTAAGTGAAACAAACCAGATGCAAAAGGTGTTATTGCATGATCCCACTTACATGGGATGCTCAGAATAGACAAATCTCTATAGATTTTTATAGACAGAAAGTAGATTAGTGGTTGCCTAGGTTTGAGGAGGTGGTAGATAGAACCGAGGGGCCAAGAGGAATAGGATTTCTTTTTGGGGTGTTGAAAATGTTCTAACTGTAGTGTGGGGCTTACCTCTGTGAATTCAACTCCAGGTTGAGGGGTGGATGAGCATCACTCAGTTGGCTGGGCTCTGCCCTCATTGCTCCCTTTGGCTGGTATCCCTGGGGGTGTCTTGATTCCAAGTGGGCTTGTTGCAGTGGCTGCTAGACTACAATAAAGCCTTGGTTTCTGTAGATGAAGGCTAAGGCATGAGGTCAGACTGTGTGCAGGGCAGTGATTCCTGTAACTGCTAGAAAATCAGGCTATCATAGGCATTTACTCCTCCCTCTTCTGAGCCCGTGAAGGGTGGATTGGTGGCAAAGACATATGGTGTGACCTGATAGGATACCCCCCTGATCCACAGCCTCCCAGTTTCCTCAGTCCTGCCAGACAACATTTGGGCAAACCAGCACAATCCAGCCTCTTTTTTATCCACCACTATCACCCCAAGTAACTCACTCTTGCTCTAAACACCCCTGCATTTTCCTGCCATCATCTCTTCTGTTCATACAGTGTCTTCTGCCCTAAATGAACTTTCTTCATCATTCCCTGTTAAAATTCTACTCTTCTGTTAAGATGTGGACCGAACACCGTCTCCATTCCTCCCACCATCCAGCATCAGGATGCATCTCTCCCTCTTCTGTGACTCCCATCACACCCATTACCCTTTGTGACTGGGTGACAACACTGTTGCTCTGCTCATCTTCCTATTGTGGATATTTCTGTCCCTCCCATGGACGGTGAGCTCCCTGGGGGCAGGTATGCTCTACAATATCAATATGTATCCTCCATGGTGCCCCATTCAATGCCGTGCACGTGGTATATTTTCAGAAAATGTCTGCTGAATTATGGTGTAGGCATTTTTCTAACCAGATGGGCTATGTTCTGCAGAAACTCAGCATACAGGAATACACCATTAATGAGTTTGAAACAAGGGGAACTGATTTTACAAATGGTACCTGTTTGCAAGATTTTTAGCTCTCTCAGTCCATTTGCTCACTTAGGGCTGCATTCAGTGGTCAACTTCTACATCTCTATATCTCCCTGTACCTTCCCTCAGATCAGCTAGCGCATTGCTAAATGCCAGTAGCTTCTGCAAGATAACCTAAGTACAGGGTTTGCACCACTACTGGGAGTGCTTTAAGGGCTGAAGAGGGATCTGCTAAAATTGAGAGATTTTTCAGTTCATTATGTTCTGTTCAGTTAAGCCATCAGTGATGTTTCTTCTTTAGACCTTTATCTTTTCTGCCAAACATAAAAATATTCCAACCATTTGCACCCATATTGGTGAATTGCAGGCAGTGACATGATGAATTTTTTAGCAGAAAACTGTTGTTTTTCCTCTGTGTGATTTGTAAGGGCTGTTGTCCTTTTGCAGAGAATTTTATTATATGTTAGTGCCAATTTGTTTTCCAGAGGAGCACATCTCCAAATTTATAATGAAAGACAAGCAAAGTGGGACTTCATGGCCTTGGCTGGACACCAAGTGATAGCTAATTTTTGCAGCAGGGAAGACGAAATAACAAGTCCCTGGATTGCAATTTTGGTTTCTCCTTCTGTTCTCAAACAAAAAATTGTTTAAATAATAAACTCTTGTCTTCATCATAATTATTAGTTAATGAATGCATGTCTGTATTTCAAAAGTATATTTTATTTTTTAGATCTTAAATGTCATCCTAGGATTGGCAAATACCTTTGGGCTGCTGACCTTTGATTAAGGCAGAAGATGCTGGTGAAATGAATTAATAGTTCATTTAGCTAAATGGACTGGAAGGACAAACAAAAGTCTAGTTGACCAACTGTTACTCGCGAAGTCTCATGTTAGCTACCATCTGATCTTTAGCCAGTACAGAGAAATGATGAGTATGTCCATTTGGTAGAATGAATGAGTTACATTTAAAACTGTATATTTTATATTTACTTGATTAACTTGATTTGCTTGATTATAGACTCTGAAATAAGGAATGTCATTGTAACATAACTCTAGCAACCATTTTGGAATCTCATTTGCTGCCAAGAACAAATGAGGATCTTAATTTATTCAATTTCTTATGTCAGAATATAAACTTTACACAATCCAAAAAACCTTTGCCATGTATCCAAATGAGGATCTTAATTTATTCAATCTCTATGTCAGAATATAAGCTCCACACAGCCCAAGAAAGCTTTCCCATGTCTCCCTCCCTTCCCTGTCATGCTTGTTCTTGTCTGCTGAGATCCCTGCTAGTGCGGAGACTCTACCTTGCACACATGCACACTCACACATGCACACACACTCCTATCTCCATTTTTTGAGGACTCTGATCTGCTTCAGCCTTCAAAGGTGCTAATAGGTTAATTTATTTCTCATCCACCCAAGTCACATACCGTATTTCTTCAAATCTAAAATGACATCGATTGCAAGATGCTACATTTATTTATGTACCATTAAAAAAATTATAACTGCAAGAGTCCAGAGATTTGTTAGGCCCTGATTTTAAAGATGTTTAGAAATGATACAGTGTGAGCCTTGCAATCAATGAAATGTATTTAAATTTTGAAGGGAGCCTTTTGTAGGCAATTCCTTAGAGACTCCAATGGTAGAGTGTCAGGCATCTTGGCGGACTGCTGGGGGAGAGGTTTGGAGTCAGATGATGACTGTGTTGTCACACAGTCACATCATGTAGTAAGCTGTTTATTTCACATCTCCAGTGGGACTGGCTCTAGGTGTGAAGATCCAGTGTATAACAAAGTGCAACATACACAAGAAACATGTAAGAAGAGGTGTAGATCTGTCTATAGGAAATTCACAGATGTCCCGTGATGCTGCATAAATCTCATTGACCACAGAAGGCTGTCCCACAAGTGTTCTGAGAACAGCCTATAGTCAATCTTTTTGCCTAGGCACCAGGCTGAGGTAGAGACTTGAGTTCTAACTTTTGTTTTGCTGTTCTCCAGTCCAGGGGCCAAGTGTCCTAGGTGGATGGTTTTTGTCCTTCGTCCTCAGTTCCTCAGGGGAGGCGAAAGACCATGGGCCTTGGGCTTCAATCAGGATAGCTCCACTTTTATGTCTTGGATATTGTTTGTCTGTGATTCTCTATTTTTAAAAAATGTTCCTCTGCTAAATGAAAGCTTGAAAGCCATTGATACAGATGAACTTTATCCTTTTGTCCACTGCTAAAATTCTCAGATTTATTATTTCACTTTAAAGAGGTAGATTATGGAGAAATATTAGATGCTTTCTTCTTTCATGGTAGCATCAAGACAGGAGGGCCAAGAGTTATTCATGTGAGAGGTTGTTCTGTTCCAACTGCTTCCTCCTCACTGTTTCTGCTGCGGCCTCGCCTATAAGTGAGCCCTTGGGAAGGAAGCAGATTTGCCCAGTGTCTTGGTCTCCTATTGCTGCCGTAACAAATCACTACAAACTAAATGGCTTAAAACAACATAAATGTATTATTTTACAGTTTTTTAGGCTAGAAATCTGACATGGGCTAGAATAAAGGTGTTGGCAGGGCCGCACTTTTTTCTGGAGGCTCTAGGGAAGAATCCATTTTCTTGCCTTTCACACTTTCTGGAGGCCACATTTATTCCTTGGTTTGTGACCCCCTTCTTCCATCTCCTCCAGCAATGGCGAGTGAGTAATTTTCACATCTCCCTGATTCTCTTCCATAGTCACATCTCACTCTCTTCTGCCTCCCTCTTCCACGTCTAAGGATCCTTGTGATTACATCGAGCCTGTTAAATTCAGTACAATCTTCCTATTTTAAGATCACTTGATTATCAACCTTAATTCCATCTGCAATCCTGATTTCCCTATGCCATGTAAGTCGTCTTCGGGGCCATTATTCTGTCTTCCACACCTAGAAATAGGAGTTGTAGTGTGACAGAGCTCGTGAGAATCAGAAAAAAAAGTGACACAAAACAAGCTGCAAAGCTATAAGCTAGTCTATTTTGAGTTGTGACCTTATCCCCATGTTATTGCTAGATAATGTTTATTAAACAAGGGACTCATGGAGTAGCACATAAATATTTCATGTGGGATTGGTGTCACAGGTTGAGCTTCCCAGAAGCTGACCCAGAGATGGAAACTTCCATGAGGGACATTTATTAGGAATACTCTTGGGATTAACACCTTTGGAATAGAAGGAAAATGAGAAACAATTTGTGCAGAGAGATAAGTTAGGCTGCAAAGCAGTCTCAACAAAGGTCTCTGCTGACCCCATAGGGAACTTTGAAGGTGGGGTGAGGGTGCCAGACAAGTATACCTCATTGGATGTGGGCTGCTCCAGGAAGGGGGGTGGGGTGTGACCTTGAGTGAGGATCTCTCTTCAGCTAAGGCACTTCCTGGAGAGGTCTGTCTGCCAGCAAATCCCCAGCAGCTTGAGGGAATAAGTTCACCAGTTCTAAAGAGAAATCTGGGTGGTGCACCCCAATGCCCACTACAAAAGGACTCTAGTGTAGGGAGCTTGTCAATGAACTGGGGGCAACTCTCCAAGGCTTAGGTCCTAGAGCAGAGAAAGTGTGGATAGGAAACGTAGGGGTTTGCCCAGACAGGCAAAGAGCTGATTCAGAAAGGATATTTTTTTCATCTTCTACCTATACCCCAGTCCCTGCAGAACTCTGAGGCTCCCTACCCATAGGGAGACAGTCTGCCTGCTGGTCACCTCCTACTCATCACTGGGAATCACAGACAGAACAAGTGGTGGCAACACCGGCCTGAAGATTCTGGACAGTGAGTAGATTTACACAGAGTAAACAAGAAGCTGGACTGAGTTTGGTTTAATCTGTCACTCCAGAAACCCACAAGCTGACAGCAGAGTCAATTCCACAGTATTTATGTGCCTTGGTGGCTGCTGCTCATGGTGGCTATTTCCCATGATCACATCTCATTATTCTTTATTACCTTGTCATCTGGAGGAGGAAGGATATCATCATCAATATTCTGTGAATTCCTAAATTATTTCACTTCTTCCAAATGAACTCTGTCTCACTAGCCTTGTGACCCTGGTGTCCCTCAGAACTCTACGCAGGGCCGGGAGTCTAGTTTAGCCTTAAGTGAAGGCAGAATAAGTGGCTCCCCCACTCAGGGTCACCAGAAAAATCCTAACCCGTGAGAATCTTCCTACCCTGTTTTCTGATGTCTGAAGTCCCAGGGCACAAAATTTTCAACTTCAAGCTCTGATCCCAATTAAATGTAGACACTCTCAGAAAGGGTCACTATCTCTTAATGAAACTGCATTTTAGCCGGGCGCGGTGGCTCACGCCTGTAATCCCAGCACTTTGGGAGGCCGAGGCGGGCGGATCACAAGGTCAGAGATCCAGACCATCCTGGCTAACACGGTGAAACCCCGTCTCTACTAAAAACACAAAAATTAGCCGGGCGTGGTGGCGGGCGCCTGTAGTCCCAGCTACTCAGGAGGCTGAGGCAGGAGAATGGCGTGAACCTGGGAGGCGGAGCTTGCAGTGAACGGAGATCGCGCCACTGCACTCCAGCCTGGGCGACAGAGCGAGATACCGTCTCACAAAAAAAAAAAAAAAAAAAAAAAAAGTGCACTTTAGATGTTTTCCTGGTGGGGGGGGGGGGGAGTGGGATATAAGTAGCAGTGTTCCAAGTACCAAAACCTCCCTGAGTCATCTGTGAAAAGCCATTTGGCAATAATACTGAAAGCTTTTAAATGCTCACATTCTGACTTAGCAGTTTCACTCCTGTGAATATAACCTAAGGAAACTGATCTCAATACTGAAAGGACTTTATACACAAGAATGGGCTGGGCAGCAAAGTGCTGTAATCCCAGCACTTTGGGAGGCCGAGGCCGGGTCGAGGGAGAAGCACCTGAGGTCAGAAGTTCGAGACCAGCCTGGCCAACATGATGAAACCCCGTCTCTACTGAAAGTACAAAAATTAGGTGGGCGTGGTGGCAGATGCCCGTAATCTCAGCTACTCAGGAGGCTGAGGCAGGAGAATCTCTTGAACCTGGAAGGCGAAGGTTGCAGTGAGCTGAGATCGCGCCACTGCACTCCAGCCTGGGCGACAAGAGCGAGACATCGTCTCAAAAAACAAACAAACAAACAAACAAACAACCAAACAAAACAAAAAAGAATGAATAATTTATAATCGTGAAGCTTTGGAAGCCACTTGAATGTTGAACATTTGCGAGATGCTCAGAGAAGTGACAGCGTATCAACCCAATTTTTTAAAGTCCTGCCATTAAAAATTATAGGTAGGAAGCGTCAGTACTAACACGGTGAAAATGTTCATGTTACAAAGTGGAAAACAACCCTGGATTCAGTTTAGTATGTGCGTTTTACCACAGCTATGTAGAAACAAATCCATACACATGGAAATCGAATGAAGTGAAACGCATGCAAATGGTAATGATGCTGTGCTTGGAGGCAGAATTGGAAGCAGTGTTAAAGTTATTTATCATCATTCGTGTTTTTAAAATGCCGTGTGATGGCCGCAATACTTCTGTAACGAATGATGTTTAAGCACGGAGCCCTTCACTGGCCGACGCGCGGGTGGGAGATAGGAGCCGCGCCCAAGCTCAGGTGGCGGCTGCGGGCAGGGCCGCCTGGGGCCGCAGCCGGGCGCGCTCCCGGCGGGGACCCTCTGCTCTCCTTGCAGACGGAGGCCGCGCCGGGTTTGGAGGCATCCCACAGCCTCAGGCCGAGGACCCGCCGCGAAGCGCCGCCTCCGCGGGTTGACCCTCTGCAGCCGCCGTAGCGCAGAGACGAATCCGCGCTCCCCCAGGCTGTCGCGCGAGCTCCCCGGAAGCTCCCACCTGAGCGGCGCATCCTCAGGGCCTGGGCCTGGCCTCCTTGCCTGTGAGATGGCACTGTGACGGTGCCCACCTCGTGGGGTGTGTGAGGGCCGAGTGAAATCGTGCATTTGCGGTAAGAAAGTGCTTATCACGGTGCCCAGTCCTAATATGGGCTGCCAGCCTAAGTACAGAGTCCCAATCCCAGCCCAAAGGCCAGTTTCCAGGTGAACCCTTGTCGGGGAGACCACCAGACGGAACAGTCCCAGTCTACACTCCTGCACCGAGCAGGGGACAGTGTGGACCGCAGAGAGGTCCGAAGTCCCTTTAGAATAAGGATGGTGCTTCAGGGTTGTTAAAAGGATTAAATGAGATGATATCTAAAGGGATTAGCACAGTGGCTGGTGCTAAAATAAATCATTTTCTCTACTGCCACTGCTCTTACAACCAGACGCCTGGAACAGCCTGCTGGTTCGTCTCCTCATTTGTAAGCTGGAGTTAGTAGGTGTGTTGTGAAGGTTGAGAGAATATGCATAGGCAGAACCTGGCGTTTAATATTTGGGAAGTGGCAGCAATTCTTTCTTCATTAATCTACAAGCTGCACTGTGGTAGGCACATACCCTTAGCACCGATTCTTATAAGTGCAGGTAAGAGAGAGAGAAGATATATTGTGTAAGTCGAAGGAGCCAGCCGTGTCCAGGCCACCGCAAAACCTCGACAGTACTGTACCAGGGCCCTCTTCAGTGAATGAATCTCCTCTTTGGCCTGTTTGCTGTCTGTTTGCATTTGCTGCACCCATCAGTTCCCAAACCTGGTCTCTAAAGTCAGGAGCTCAAGGAAGCTTGTCCCAATCCTAGAAAACAAGTACAGCACACACCAACAGCAGCATCCCTAAAAGCCAGCCCTACTGGCAATGCGGGCCCTGCAACCCGTAGGTAAGTGGGACACTCTAAGCTTCTTGGAAACAGCTAACTCAGGGCCTGATTAGCTTACTCCCGCCTCCTGTCTTCAGGAAATCAGACTGTGTAAAATAAGAGAGAAAAGAAAATTGACATAAGTCTATTCCACTGTCTAATGAAATGTGTTTCACTTGTGTTTAAAGTGAATTGTGGGCTGGCGTGGTGGCTCATTTGCCTATAATCCCAACACTTTAGGAGGCCAAGGCAGGCAGATGGCTTGAGCTCAGAAGTTTGAAATCAGCCTGGCAACATGCAAAAACCCCATCTCTACAAAAAATATAAAAATTAGCAGGATGTGGTGGCGCATGCCTGTAGTCCCAGTTACTCTGGAGGCTGAGGTGGGAGGATGGCTTGAGCCTGGCAGGTCGAGGCTGCAGTGAGCTGTAATCATGCCAGTGCACTCCAGCCTGGGTGACAGTCAGGTCCTGTCTCAAAAAAAAAAAAGTGAATTGTAGTACCAGCTACATTTGTAGAGCCCTTTCTCTTTACAGTCATGGTGCTAAATTCTCTGATCTCATTTAATCCTCCCAACCACCCTCACAATGCTGTGTCCATTTTACATATTGGAAAGCTAAGACTCAGGTTAAGAGAGACTTGTTGAAGGTCACAGCTAGTAAGCTGCAGAGAACCAGAAAGTGAATCTGGGTTGATCTTGACTCTAAACAGTTTGCTTTTAACAACTATACTCCTTTGAACATATTTACCCTATTTTCTTCATTAAGTAAAATGTTTTCTGTATCTTAATTTTCAGAACCTCTAATACAACATTTTGCAGAACGTATTTTCTAAGTATCCCCGATCCCCGCAATCCAGGCTGCCTTCTGTAACCTTTTAGTCATTGCAAACACATAGTAGATGCATGCTGAATTTGTGAGCTTGGCACCACACATGACAGGCTTTGGTTAGGGAATTCAGCTGCAAGCAACCAAACCCTCAGAGCCAAAGCCAGGGGTGCTAGGACCTCTGGCCCTGCAGTGGCCCTGATATGGCCTTTGTGTCCTGCCTCAGAGGCCTTTCTATCCCCACAGTTACTGGGACAAAATGTCCTATGCTTTCACCCTTATGTGGCTCCAGATGTAGGATTTAATTTTTTAGAAATCTGCAATACTGCAGCAGAAATGTAGTTATGAGTCAGGGATGTGTATGTGTGTGTGTCTGTGTGTGAAAGCCAGTCTCTCAGCACCAGCTAAAAATGTGAAGCAGCAAGTCTGTGCTGGGAATTGAGGACACCATATGCTTGCATTTCTAGGTCTTCCTAAGAGTTATATAACTGCCCCTAAAGCCAGGGGGCAGGAGCAGGGCCAGCCGTGGGAGACGTTTCCAAAGAGGAATGCTGAGGAAGGACTGACCTTGAGGAGACAGGGAGTTTGCCAGGCTGTGGAATGTTCCCAGCCTTGGGGCTTAAACAAAAACTGTATTCAGAGGGTGAGTGCTCTGTTGAGAACAAACCCTATCTGTCTCCTGCTTTGTCTCCGGAGCTTATCAAGGTGAGCCCTTTCTCTGCAGGTTCTGGATATTGAATTTAGAGGTGGGCACAGCTGCCAGAGCAAGGCCCTAGTAATCCTCCCAGCCATCTCTAATTAGCCGACTTCAGGGCCCTCCCCCCCCCCAACCCTTCTGTGTCCTGAGGGTCAGGCAGAGGGGAGATAAGAGCTCTCATCTATTCATAGAATAAGGTTGCAGAAAGGCACCCTGGGAGGAGAGCTGTGGGAGGGAACACAACCAATCAACAAAGGTTTATCAAGGGCTCACTCTGTGGTCACACTTGGGGGAGGGAGGTATCTGATTGGCCCCATCCTGCTGAGGGCCTCTGTACAGTATTCTTTCCTAGAAAACACCCTCCCCACCATCCTCGCTCCCCACTGCAGATCTTACTTGACTAAAGCCCATTATTCTTACAGGCCTCAGTTCAGAGGCCTGAGACCTAGAGCAATGTTTTTCAAACTGTGGGTCATGACCCATTAGTAGCTTGTGTAATTAATTTAGTAGGTTACATTGAGCATTACCGTCCCCCACACCCTCCAGAAAAACAAAGACAAAAAGATTAAAGGAAATAGAAAAGAGGCTATCTGAGCACATTAGACACCATGAAGTTAAGTGCTGTTTGTTATGTGGATGCGGGATCATGATATAAAAAGCCAAATTCTTACTGGTGATTGCGATTAAAAAAAAAAAAAAGATTCAAAAACCCCTGGCTTAGAGGCTGCATCTGTCCATATCCTTCTCACTGCAAGTGTCAGAAATCCTGGCTCAATCTAACTTAGATGAGGAGGACATTTATTATCTCACTTAAAGGGAAGACTAGAGGTGATGCAGGCCCCAAGGTGGTTAATACAGTGGCTTAACTCTGCCACCAACAGTACCATGCCTTCATGGTGGGTTTTATCCTCAAACTGGTAGTAAGATGGTTACAGAAGCTCCATGTCATATCCAGAGAACACTCAGCGGGAGGAGAGACAGAGACTAGATCTTCTTGTGTCTCTGAGGAGTGAAGAAATTTTTCTTGGAAGCCCTCTGGCTGAATTCACTATGTTGTAGAGAATTGGTCACAACTGTATTCCTAAATCCATCACTGGCAAGGGGGTATAGGAGTCTCATGAGTAGATGAGACTGAGCAGGAGATCCCCCTGGAGCTGAAGGTGGGAGAGAAAGGCGGATACAAAAGTGATCAAAAAGTAGGACCAAATGACAGAATGGGAAAAGATGCTTGCAGTGTCTAAAACTGACTAATATCTAGAATACACAAGGAATTCCTACAAATCAGGAAAAAGACAGCAACCCCATAGAAAAATGAGTAAAAGATATGAACATGCCATTTATGGAAGAATTAACCCTAAAATCTTACAAAATATGATAAAATGCTCAAAATCATTGTTAATCATCAAAAATATGAATTTAAATGAGACTTTACATAGACTGAAAACAATTATTAATAGAAACCTGCGAGGTCTGAGAAAATTAAAAAAAAAGAAAAAAAGCCAGCTGGACAATTCCAGTGATTGGCAGGGTGTGCAGACATGGGAACCTCACGCTGCTGGTGAGACTGTGGACTGGTGCAGCCATTCTGGAGGGCAGTCTGGTCTTCTTGGTGAAATTATGTAAATGAATATATCATGTGACCCACAGTTCTGTCCCAGGAGAAATTCTCACAAAGGCCAGGAGAAGACCTGTGTGAGGATGCTCCTGCAGTCTTATTAGTGGTGGAAGGGAGTTGCCCACCAACTGAGTGTCAATTATTGTGAAAAATAATAGGTCACATGTGGGGCGTGCACACAAAAAGCACTGTGTAGCAGTTAGAAGCAACTGGAGTATCATAGGAAGGATCAGGAGTACTCATAGCAAAAAAAAAAAAAAAAGAAAAAAAGAATCTACTTGGTGGTTATGAGTTTTTTGGAAAAGTCATTTTCTGTTGAACATGCATACTGAGATGTATAATGGGTGAAACCATGTCTGGGATTGTCTTAAAATACTTCTGAAAGAAAGAAGTAGGGATGGAGAGGAGAGACTAGATAAAACACAATTGGCAAAATGTTGGTAAAATTGTTCAAACTACATGATGGCTACATGGAAGTTTGTGATATTATCTTCTCTACTTTTGTGTACCTTAGAGAATTTTCATGATAAAAGTTTAAAAGTACATACACACACACAAAACAATACCCATGTTGCAAGAACACATTGAAATAAGAAGATAAACATTAAAATGGTTGGTTACCTTTTAGGAGAAGAAAGGAAGGAGAGCTGAGTGTGGTGAAAAAAGTGAAGAGTGCTGGCTTTGGAAGCATGTATGCTAAAATTGGAACCACACAGAGATGACCATGACCCCTGTGCAAGGATGCTGTGCAAATTCATGAAGCATTCCGTATTTTTATAAGTAAATAAATGGAAAAAAGTGTAAAGAAAAAAGATCCAGAAAAATTGGGATACCCCAGTGGAGCATGGGATGGGTAAAGACCAAGGGGAGGGCATGTACATTTGGCAGGCAACCAGCAGGGCCTGCCCGGAGCCCATCCTTATTTTCCCCAGGAGCCTCCTCCCAACCCCTGAGGCTTGGTTAGGCTCCACCTGTGGTTTTCTGTGGTACCAGGGGATTTTCCTCTTCTGGCACTTACCACACATCCTCTTAAGACCTGCTCATTGCACTGTCTTCCCCACCAGACTGTAACAGGGAGTGGGCCTATGTGTTTGTTTTGCTCAATTCCATTCCCCCAGCATGTGGCACATGGTCCACCATTCTGGGTGTGCTCTAAAATCCGTTGAGTGAAAAACAGTAGCCAGTGTTTGTTGAGTATTATCTCACTTTATTCTCAGAACTCTATGAAGTAGGAAATAGTATTTTCACCCGTTTGATTAACAAGGAAATGGAGGAGGCTCAGAGAGGTTAAGTGACTTGCCTAAAGTCAGAGCTAAAGTATGGCAGAGCAAGATCCAGGCAGACCAGCTGCCATTAGAACCAGTGTTCTCAATCCCTGCACCATACTATCTTGAAGAGGGATGGAGGCCAGTGGTGTCGAGGAGAGAAGCTAACACACTTGAAATATTTTTCAGTCAACATCAGACACTCCCAAACCAAGAGCTAATGTGGTACAGACTCTGGGAGCTGTGTGGTAGAGAACGGAGTGGAGTGATCAGAGAGATAGGGAACATTGGAAAAGAGATTAATAGAATGTGATAGAAAGTGATTACAGTTGAATCCAAAAGCATCTTCCCTAAATTGTCATGGGGTTGAGATGGTAGGCTGAGGCCCAGCCCACCCCTATGGGGGTGTCTCTTGCCTTCTAGGTAGTTCTTAATTAGTGGTTCTCAACTGGGGGTGATTTTGCCTCCAGCGGACGGACATTTGATAGTATCTGAAGACACTTTTCCTTGTCACAACTGGAGGGAGAAGGGTGGCTAATGACATCTAGTGGGTAGAGCCCAGGGAGGCTGCTAAACCTACTAAAATGCACAAGGTACAGGATACCGTCCCCCAAAAAGATTCATCTGATCAAAAGCTTAACAGTGCCACAGTTGAGAAACCCCACCAGTTCTTAACCTGAATGATAGTTTTGACCATTCACCCACTCTGCTTCCACAGTCTTTCTCTCTCAGCTTCCAGAATCTCTAAATACAAGGACATGGCAAAGACACAGTGTTGTCAAGAGAAGCCTGCGTGTGGGCTGGGCCTAGAGAGCCTCACATGATGGCATTTCCTTTGATGGTTCATTACAGCCCAGGGCCACTGTACCATCATCCCACCTTTCTACTCTCTGATGCTTAGTCCCAGTGGTGTGCTGGTTAATGTTTAACAACCAGCTCTCTGGGAAAACAAGTCCTGGTTTGTAGCATTTGACAATTTCCATGGTGTAACTATTCCAACCTTGGCCAATTTAATGTTGCCAATGAGAAGTCACCTTGTTTGCAAAATTCCTGAAAATTTAACAAATGAGCTGGTGTGAGCCAGCTCCTGCACACCACTGCTTAGACCCCACCTTCCAATCTTCCATGTTCTCTCATAAGCCACATAAATGCGTACCCACTGAGTCAATGGCTTAACACAATGAAAGTGGGTTTCTCACACAATAGTCTGATATGGGTGTTCCTGATTGAGTTGTTCTCTCACATGGCCCTCCTCCAAGCAGCGACTCAGGGCCAGGCTCCTTCTGTCTTGTGGCTTACTTCCTCTAGAAGTTCTCAAACTTCAGTATGCATCAGAGTCATCTGGAGAGCTTAAAATGCAATTCCCCAGAGTTTCTGACTCAGTAGGTCTGGGATGGGGCTTGTGGATGTGCATTTTATAAACAGTTCCCAGGCATTGCTGGTCTTGCTGGTCTTGCTGGTTGGGGGACACATTTTGAGAATCATTGCTCTGAGGCAATGATTTGATTTTTTTTTTCTTTTTTCTCTTTTTTTTTTTTGAGACGGAGTCTCGCTCTTTTTGCCCAGCCTGGAATGCAATGATGCGATCTCGGCTCACTGCACTGCAACCTCTGCCTCCTGGGTTCAAGCAATTCTCCTGCCTCAGCCTCCTGAGTAGGTAGGATTACAGGTGCCCGCCACCACGCCCAGCTAATTTTTTGTATTTTTAGTAGAGATGGGGTTTCACTATGTTGGCCAGGCTGGTCTTGAGCTCCTGACCTCAGGCGATCCATCTGCCTTGGCCTCCCAAAGTGCCCAGCCTGAGGCAATGATTTTCTACCTTGGCAGCACACTGGAATCACCTGGGAAGCTTTGTTAAATCCTGATGCCTGGTTCCACTTCCAGAGTGTCTGTTTTAATTGGTCTAGGATGCAGCCTGACAATGGCGATATTTAAAGCTCTCATGTGATTTCAATCAACAGCTAACGATGAGAACCACTGCTTGAGGGCCTTCCTATTTCTTCCACCATGCATCTGGTAGGTATAGAAAGAGAATGCTTTTTTGTGGAAGGGCTTATGGGCCAGGCCTGCAAGTGATAGGTACATCAGGTGAACTCCTGTTCCGTTGCCTAGAACAGTCACATGGCTGTACCTCCACAAGGTGGGGTGAGAAATGTGTTCAAGGTGGGTGCTTAGGAAGAAGAAGGGGTATGGTTTGTTGAACAACTAATAAGTTTCTGCCATGCCTACCTACTAGCTACTTCTTTGGAATAAGTATACCTAGCTAGCTGCTCAAGTATATGGACCCACAAGAATCTGATGAGTCCACCTTAGTATATGGGAGTCTCTGGCTTTAGGGTATGTTGAGGTAAAAACCACCAGTGGCAACACAGGATTCTTTTATGTCCCTAATGGGAAGCAGCTTGATCTAATGGAAAGATTAAGGCTTATAGATATGTGTTCAAACACATTCTTAACCACTTCTTACAGGCTACTAACCTCTCAATTTCCCCTCTGCAAAGTGGGGATTATATTTACCTCTAGCTACTTCATAGGATGAAATGAAATAAAAAGCCCCCAAAATAGTGCTGTAGGCAGTAGTACATGTTCGATAAATGTTGGTTTCCCTTCCCTTAGAAAACATTGCCTTGTTGGCACCAGTGATAAGGGAGCTGGATTGGGTGACCTGCAAGGACTCTGGGCTTCTCTCCTGGCACATGCACATGGGGTGAAGAGCTGGCTGTGAGCATTTTGCTGTCCCTTCTTTGGGAGAGAACCCATACGCAGAAGACTTTTATAGTAAAGGATGAATGTTTGTTTCTGGGACAATATATAGTTGGCAATAATGTCTTCATATGCCTGTCATTTTAGCAAAACTTTAAAAACTTGCAACCAGGTGGGCGCTGTGGCTTATACCTATAATCCCAGCACTTTGGGAGGCCAAGTCAGGAGGATCTCTTGAGCCCAGCCTGGGCAACATAGTGAGTGAGACCACATCTCTAAAACAAACAAACAAACAAAAAAACACCACCAACAAAAACTTACAAGCAGTTTTATATAGAGCAATAATTTATACTACAAAGACATTCTCTGCATTTACCGAATAACCTCTTCAAACAGCTCTTCTTTCCTGTGCACAGATTAACTGTACTGCGTCAGAGTCCTAAATGGGGAAGGGAAGAGATGAGAAGGGATGAGATCACTGCTTATACAAGACAGGGCCAGGAGGGACAGTATTAAAACTTCTGTCAGCTGAAGGACAATCATGAACGCAGAGGAGGCCTCTCTGCAGCCCACAGGAGGCAAGGGACACATCCCCGTACGCAGACAGCCGCAGCCTGGGAAGCAGATCTGCCCATTCACCTAACAGGAGAGGCAGTGCCGAGCTTGCCGAGGATTAGAGCCTCCCACCTTCTTGCTCCCGTTATGCAAGTTGCAGCTTGATCACCCAGCAGCTCCTGGGGGCAAATCCATTTGAGTAACTGTTCAACAGCATGTGCTTAATTTCCAAGAAACTTTCCATGATCTTATGTTTTAACACCAACTCTAACCTTCCCTGTTCTTTGTTTTTCATAAAAACACTGCCCTTCTCCTGTTCTTGGTCCCTGCTAGTGCTTTCTGCCACCACAGCCAACACTTCCCTAGCATGTTGGGAGCCCAGGATTCGAGCCCGTCTGGGTTCAAGGCAGATTCACCCAACTCTGCCACTTTGTGGCTGTGTGACTTCAGGCAAGTTACTTCACTTCTCTGAGGCTCTGTTGTTTCACTTTTGAAATGTTGATAGTTTAGGACATTGCCTGGCATGTAACAACCACTATACAGTAAGTAGCTACTTCCATTAGGTGGGAACAGCAATGCGTTCCCCTGTGTTTATCTTCAGGAGACACCTGGAGCACAGTTTGGGGTGGAGATGTGTGTGTGGGCGGGTGTAGGAGGTGAGTGACCTTTTATTGAACTATGATGAAGGGCCAGTCACTGTACTAAACCCTTTCCACATTTTCCTTCACTTAGTCTTCACGATAGCCTCATGAGGTAGGAACGGGGGTCACCTCCCATTTTACAGACAGAGGCTTGGAGAGACCACATGACTTGCCCACATTGTCCACCTAAAATGCCCAGGATCCAGGCTTCCCAACCCACTGCTGAGACTTACACTGTCTCCGGGCACATGGGTGAGGTGGTGGGGCTGAAAAGGAAACCCAGCACTTGAAAGTCTGTGGGCACAAATCCCGTGCAGTCCCACCGGCAAGCCTGAGCCCAGCCAGGAGATGCCTCCCACTGTGAGCGCCCGAACATCTGTGCAGTCAGGTTTGCATCTAGGAGGACGGCACACAGCGTAGCTGGTGGGAAGTGTGAGACCCACCCATTCCAGTCTTGTTCCAGCCTTGCCTCCTTTTCTTAAACACAGGACACCATGGACAAGTCCCTTTGCCTCTATGCCCTCCTCCTTCAGTAGGGAGTGTTGACCCCCTGTGCTAAGTGTTCAGTTTTCTTTGTGAGGCACTGAGCTGAGCACCAGGGATAAAATGGAAAGAACAGATTGGCTTTATGACCTCATAAAGCTTAGCAGGAAAAAAAGGGATATTAAATTAATAATTACATAACTGAGTAATATAGATAATTAATTAGAATTGTGAGTTCTTTGAAGAAATAGAGAGTACTCATCAACTATCTGATGGGAGATTTCAATCTAGTTTGGGGAAGGGAGGGGTTTGTGAGAGCATTAGAGGCCCAGGACAGGGACTAAAAAGCTCTGGAACCAGGCAGGTCCAGGGCTGATGTTCCTTTTGGTGTCTCTGTCTTTGTGGATCTCTTCTTTACCTAGTACCTTTGCTTGCCATGGGTCCCCACTCAACTTTCTAACACCCTAATTCCATGCATGACTCATTCTTACACTCTCTAACTTCAAAGTCTTGAGAGAGGAGAGGCCTTAACTCACAGACAGGTGGCAAGCCGGGACATGGATTTCCCTTGGGTAAGGTGTCAGCCCTAAGCCAAGAAGCGGACTCAAAGTGACAGTGAAATGTTAAAATGATGGCTGTTTGGGCAACAGAAAAATGTGCATGCATCCATTCATTCAATAAACATCCATAGCATTAGATGCTGGGGAGGGTATAGCCTGGTCCATGTCATCTAGGAACTCATAATCTATCCGGGAACAGGCAAATCAACAGAAGTGGAAGTGCTACACTAAGGTGTGCAAAAGTGAGGATCCAGACCTAATGGGTATTCACAGGGTGAGTGGATTTGCCAAGTGAATGAAGGTCGGGGGGAAGGTGGGTGGGTTGGGAGAATGCCAAAGGGACTTATAGGATGGCAGAAGAAAGGGTGTATGGCACATTAGGGGACTGCACAGGAGTTTGAATGGCTGAGCAGAGATGGGTTTATGTGTTGGGGTCCAGTGTGAAGATGGATGGTGGAGAGGGGCAGCCATATGGGCTTGGAGGATGGATTAGAGCATTAGTTCTTAGATTTTGCTGTGCATCAGAATCACCTGGAAAGCTACTTCTAACAGATTGCTGGGTTTCACCTCCAGTTTCTGATTCAATAGGTCTGCATCAGAATTTGCATTTCTAACAAGCTCCCAGGTGATACTGATGCTGCTGGTCCAGAAACACTTTGAGAACTACCGGAATAGAGAAAGGCAAAAATTAGGGATACCACCAAAAAGCCGCTTCCAGCACCCAGATGTAAAGGACACCGGCAGTAGAGAGAATGAACTATTGAACAGCAGCCACTATGAGACTCCCTTTTATGCATAATTTCACTTAATCCTTTTAACAGCTCTGAAATATTCTAGAGTAAAGGAAGCACAAAGAGGCTAAATTATGTGCCCTTCATCAGCCAGTGATGGGACACTGTCTGTGTCTGTTAAAAGACGCAAAGTCCATGTTCTCTACCACAACATTGGAATCCACAGTAATTGGGTGGGGGGCAGAGCAGGAAAAGAGAGGGCTCACCCACCTTTCCGGTTTCTCGCTTGGGCAGTAGGGTGCCAAATGTCATCACTGCCTAAAGCATATTTATTTGTGGAACCTCAAACTTAGGCTCGCCATTGGTACTAAGACTCAAGTGTGCCATGCTCTTTCTGAACAAATGCAGATGTCTAGGACACACTGGATTTGTACATCTGGGGCTCAGGAGAGGACCAGATCAGAGCTGGAAATCATGCCAGGAAGAGTATGAAGCAGGGAGAGAAGGTGTGGAGGCCTCCCTGAGGAAACGAGGGGTCGAGCAGGTGAAGAGGGGGCTGAGAGCTAAGGAGTGCACAGAGACAATGACAGAAAGACGGGAGGTCTGGTTTCAGGAAGGGTGTGATGGACAGAAGAGATGCAGCAGAGGTCAAGGAAGGACCAAGATGCATCAGGAGGTCAGTATGGCCTCAACCAGGCAATTTTGGTGGACTGGTGTTCATGGGAGCTGGAAGAGGCAGAGGGATGACTGGGAGGTGAACAATTAGGAGGAGTGGCAGTGACTCTTCTACAAGTTTGTCCATGAGGGAGGGTGACAGCTAGAGAAAGGGGTAGGGGTCAGGATGTGAGAGGGATAAGACCGCAATTTAAATGCTGAGAAGGACCTTAAGAAGTTGAACATATCAGTGAGGACCCATATACTGAAAAAGGTATGTGGTCAGAAGTGTTTGTTAGGAAGGCATTTGAAAGGGGGGTCAGAGACAGAGATCTGTAGGGAATCGACAGTGCTGAGGGCCATTGTGAGAAGCTGCTTGTGATGGCTCTGGAGTGATTTTAGCTCCTAGTGACAGGGCCAGCAGGAGAGTTTGAGCGTAGAGGTAGAAATGAGAGCCCAAGCACTCCTGCTTTTAGAAAGTTGGGAAAGCTCTAACCCACAGCAGGCCTGACTTTGGTGCCAGCTTTACCCATGAAGAGCAGCTCACTTACCTGCTCTTCCTAAATCAAATGTTTGGCTGTAGAACTTTCTATTCAAAGGATTGTCACACAGAAAAGGGCAGAAATGTTCTGGTGGAAAATCAGGTGTGAAGTTCAGAGCCTTCCTTTTGCCTTGCTCCCTCCAGGGTTTCCCAGAAGACCAGGGCTTCTTAGAGCTGTCAGAGAAACACTGGCTTAACGTTCTCTGGGGTCCCCTTGTCAAAAGCTAAAGTCTCAGAGTGTTTCAAATCTTTTGCATCAGGAAATGCCCATGACCTTCATCGCAGCAGCGTATGTGCGTTGGTCTTCTCCAGGGATGCCGAAAGTAGACATACAGGGAGTCGCAGTACGGATACCACCAGTGCCAGCCTGACCTCACAAGAGACGTCTTGTGTGACTGGCCCTGCCGTCACAGCTGGGCCAGTAAAGTACCTTCCAGGAGGCTCCAGTTGCTACCTGACTCACAACCTTCTAATCCCATGATCTTTTAGTTCTAGTTTCCTTATCTTGGTCTGAGCAAATGGCTCATTTTAAAGATGACTTGCAGACAAATGTAGAGATCATCCCAGGGGAAAGTGCCCCAAGAAAGGAGAGTCCAAGACCACCTGCCCCTCCCAGTTCTGCGGCTGGAGTGGGTGGGTGCAGCAACCACAGCCCCAGTGTACAGGAGTCACCACTGTCTCCTCCCGCATTGGCCCAGCTTGGAAGTGCACAGCAACCAAGCATGAGGACTGAGTTAAGCTTTTCGGAGAAAAAAGACACTATGATCATCTGGCAGATCACGATCACTGTTTGGTGCCAGAGGTAAGGAGTTTGCTTGTTGTGTTTGCTTGGAGGCGACAGTTGGCAATGACAGCCTGGGAGAAGCACCGGCAGTTAACAGCACTCTGCACCACTCATGGCTGAGACTGAGGGGAGCCTTTTACAGCAGCTCTGAAAGCAGGAGGTGTTCTCAGACTTGACCCTGAAGTAAACACATCTCTTTCACCTTTTTCTTAAGTGCTTGCTGGCACATAACCACTTGCTGAAATTGTGTCATTGATGCTAAATTAGGAACACATTATATGGAAGGAAGGGAACCACTTCTCAGCACACATGCCCAGGCAGACTGTGTGGGATAGATTTCTGCTTCTCAGATAAGCCCTGGGCTAGAGACACTTGAGATGTGGTGGTGATCTCTGGAGGGAAAGCAGGAAGGCTTCAGGTCTCTTTTAGACTGAAAGAGAAGGGCCTCATCTGCAGTTTAGTATACTCTGAGGGTCTGGAAATCCTTTAGGCGAGGTGCTCTTCCATCAAAAAGCCAGATGCTAAGGCAGCAGGTGGAGTTACAGCCCTATCACCCCAGGCAGCAGCCAGAAAAAATGGGTCAGGTAAACTCACCTACTCCAACTAAAAGAGCACGGGCAGAATGCTTCCTCTTAGCCAGTGGTTTCCAAACTTGAATGTAAATCAAAATCACCTGAGGGCTTATTAAGCCACATTGCTGATGCATTTCTGACTCAGTGGGTCTGGGCCCGCCTTCCTAGCAAGCAACCAGGTGATGCTGATAAACTGCTGGTCAGGGACTCATGTTGAAAACCACAGCTCCAGATCACATAGACATCTGTACCAAAGAAGCGACGAGGGCACAGACAAATTCCATTATAATAGCCATCTTTATTTGTAAAAATCCAGATATAAAATGTATTCTTTCAGTCTTTCCGGGTGTTCCTTTTTTACAAAAACAAAAAGGCACATAAAAACCTTCCCCGCTGTCATTTCCACAGATGGATGGTTTTCAGGCAGCCCTCCCCCCTCCCCCCATAGAGCTACATGCTTCATTCCAGGACGTCTTGCTTCCCCACATGCTGCGGTGCTTTCCTACCAGGGTAGAGTTCCAAACTCCAAGACTGAAGTACACAAAGAGGGGGTGGGTGTCGGATGCAGAGTGTGTGGCCTGATGCTCCACGGCGTGCAGGACGGGGGGCTAATAGTAGGTTTCCTTCTCCACCCAGCCTGTGGGTGGCAAAGAGACAGACAAGACACACTACAGTGAGTCTTCCTCGCTCCAGCATTACAGAGGGAAACAGGGATGAAAACCAACCGGAGGATGATGGGGGTCGGGTGTGTTAAAATCCAAACATGGGACCTCAACTGTACTTATTTACATGTTTTTAGGAATACCAAGTTACCTGGAAAGATGGTTTAGATTCTGACAAGTTTTCACTAAATCATACTTGGTTTGTATTTTAAAGTCTAAAACATGACCAGTCCTCAAACTGTAACTGAGATCTACATTCTGAAGATGTGACTATGGTCAGTTTGCTGGTCCAGTCACCTTAGCTAATCAGACTGACCACTGAGGGAGCCTAGACACCTTGAGGGAAACAAAAAACCAATAGAACTATAGCCCCTCCCACTCCTCCTCCAACCAAAGTCAGAATGCCCATAATTACCGCCAGGGCGTCGCCTGATGATGAGTTTTCTGACTTCGTCATATACGAAGATGAGAAGAGAGTAGGGGAAGGCACAGAACCACCAGGTAGGTCTGGAAATAGAGTAAGGTACCAATTTATATGCACACGAACACAGTTCAAATAAAGAAAGAGAAATTGCACATCACCAGTGACAATGAAATAATCAGCCTGAAAGGAGAAGCCAAGTACAGTCACAGTTAACTACTGAGTCATTAACAGAACAAATAAAAATGTCTTAAAACAGATTGCTACTCCATGTGCCCAGGGCCTAGAGACGCAGAGGAAATCAGTCTGCAGACTTTGTAATGGAATCCCTACTCATCTTCAGTTTGGATTTCATAAGACTTGGTTTATAGGATGAGCAGAGTACTTTTCTGTTAACCATCCCAGAGCAACTGAACATTTTCTTTCTTTCATTTCTAAAGTGTTTAAGAAGCTTTTTAAGACCATCTGCCTAATATCCCAGCATTTTGAAGATAAAGACCTGCCAGTGTGGGTCAAAACCAGTTTATGCATTCCCCAAATTTGATCTCTGACAACAGCATTTGGGATATCAGCTCTGTGTTCTGAGGCCTGGTCCTGGGGACTGAAAAAAGCTGAGCCCGAAGGCTTCCAAGGGGCCTGGAGGCTGAGCCACACAGTCTCTAGCCTGCTGACAGGCTCCAGGCAGCCTCCGTGATCACCAGCTCCCTGCTATGGTGTGAGAAAGGCTGTCCCTGGGCAGGACTCCGGTGGTCTCCTCTTCTTCCTGTGTGTCTGACAAGGCAGCTAAGAGAGATGATCTCATTTGACTCAGTCACCGAATAACTGAACCACCTTCCAAAATTGGGCAGAACCTGTCAGAACAATCTCTTTGGTGGTGGCAAAAAAACCAGGGAAGGACCCAGAAGATGGAAATGCCCCCTTTTCAGTGTAATTTTCCACCAGCCTTTTTGGAAAGCTCTGTGACCTCTCCAAGCCCCATCTTGATACATAATGGCCCAAGCTGACAGAATTCAATTTGGAGATGGCTGGCCCCTGCTGTACACCAGCTTTGTGTAGGGAGCTGGGGATGCACAGAGAAGAAAGACACTGTGGCCCATGCCTTCTAGATTAAAACCTAGCAGGGAGGTGAAATGACAAGCAACAAGTAATGCCAGAGAAGAGGTGCAAGTGCACAGGCCCTGGAGGGACAAGCTCCAAGGAAACCGGCCCTGAAGGGACTATCAGGATTGGCAGGGTAAGAGGGAACAGAAGGAGGGATGTGGGGAGGAAGGATCTTACCAAACACAAAGGCAGAGGAAGAAAGCCGAATTCACCTAACATGAGCTTGGATGGGTAAGGGGTACAAGAGAAAGCTATAAAGACAGGTTGGGACAATGAGACTGACTCTGGATGCCAGTCTCATCTTGCACCACAGACGATGTCTGCACATAACCCACAGGAAGTGAATGAGGCTGATGGGTTTTGGTTACTTTAGGGATAAGATGAGCTGAAGGAAGTGCTGGCAACAGGGGATTGAGAGATGGTCCAGACGGGTCTGAGCAAGGATGAGGACAGCAGGAATTCAAAGGAGACTAATGCTTTAAATCAAAAGCTTCAAAGGAACTTGTAAATGGGTCCCACAATCTGTGGCTTTGCACGTTTTAATCAAGTTGCAGTTGCTTAACCTCAACCAGGTATCACCAAACATACTCAATGTTGCAAAAAACTAACGGAGTTTGTGATAAACCCTCTTTGAAAATTCAAGTTTATCTGAAATGCAGAGTCATTCACTGTGTTTAAGGCCAAAGACTAGCAGTATGCTTCCTTTGATCAACTCTACCCATGACTGATTATAAAGTAAAAGGGACCTCAGATCTGTTTCTCCAACCTTCTTTCTTTGAGAGCAGAGTATTCAGAGTCTCAGAAAGGTGGATGACTTGTAATGGGACAGTGACTAAGCAAGCAAATCAAGATTTGAGCCTGGGCGCCTACGCTCCAGCATACCCCCAGTTGGCCTCTAAAGACAACTGGACTACAGCTGTGGCAGACCTGAGTGCTCAATGCAGTTCGCTGTTGAGCAGTTCCATGGAGCTAGAGCCTGTGTGGCTTTATCTTATCTTGGGCCAAATCCTAAACACTAGCTGCTATCATGGAAGCCTCAGGATTTGTTAGTCTGATTTACTGACATGTCAAGCTTTCACAGTTTTCCAACCCATAGGAATTTTTGTACATACCACTCAAAATTCTGAAAATAACAACTATTACCACAAGTAATGGGGGGAAAAGCCACACATACTATTTCATACTTTTTGGAGCTACCAGAGGATCAACTTACTTGAGGGGATACATCCTAAGAGCAACACCCATTCCAGGGCAGTAGGAAAGGAAAGCAGCCAGGGCTGTCTCTTCAAAGAGGCCAAATATCAAGATCTTGTTCCTAAAATCAAAGTAGGGGAGAAAAAACTTAAAAGGTGCAAATAAAGGTTTATCTTCTAATGCTATGCATTAAAATGGCAGATCAACATCTTTATGTATTAGCTGTACTTGAAAACTTGGAGGTCAGATGAAAAAACTAGAAAGCTACATTTCTTGCTTCCTAAATTTGCTCTATAAACTAGAGATTCCAGAAACCTGGCTATATGTGTCATATGTTTAGTTTTTGGCAAAGGGTTTACAAATCACCAGTCCCCTTCTTTGAGCCAAGGCCTTGACATGTCCTTCATTACTTACTTCATCCCCTGCTGGAAGACCGAATTCCTCCTGGTCTTACAGATGACCAAGTCGGCCCACTGCACCACCACGATACTGACGAAGAAGGCTGTGTGGCAGGTGAACTCCACGATTTTCCTCTGCTCATAGGTCTGAAATGCAGAAGACAGAAGATGAGCTCTGGCTCTTCACCTGCATGGCTGGTGGCAGTGTGGCCTCAGTCTTCTGGGGCTTGAGGAGCTCTGACACTGGTCAGGTCAGAGGTGCCCACTCACCCACTGCTGCCCGTAGCTGTCTTCCACATCGTTGATCCAGCGGTCATCCCAGTCCACTCGGAGGCCCAACAGGTGAATTGGGAGGAAGCCGTTCTCAGCCAGAATCACAAAGTAAGTAAAGAAGCCTCCCAGGGCCTGGATCATTCCTAAGTTGGGAAAACAACCCAATTACTAGAACCTCACACACAAGGGTACCTGTATAGCCTTCAGCTGATTACTGCAGCAGGCCTGGGAGAGCACATATGGAGGAGTGTTTCCCCCTGGTTGATAAAAGCACAGGAAAGAATTGCCTGGTCACTCACAGGCTATGAGGGATGGGATGGAGGACCCCAGGCATACACTCCAATCTCAGGGCCCTCTGCTTTTTGAGTCACTTTTTGGAGCCTACACAAAGACACATGTGCCTTGCTCTCAAAATGCCCACCTGTTACTTGACCAGCTGCTTCTAAGGGTATGACCTTTAGGGGAAATCCACTTCCCTACTTTTTAATCTCTGACAAATGATAACTTCTTTTCCATCTTTCAAAATTCCTACATGCTGCCATTTTTCTAGCCACTGTGGCACTTTCTGACTCTCCTCCCCACCTTCAGGACCCTCCTCCCCCTGGCATCCAATTTAACCACGCTGCTCCAAGTTCCTCAGGGCAGGGTTTCATCCTAAACCACCAGAGACCTAGTCTTCCTTCCTCTCAAAAGCAGGCCTCCTTGGAGAAGGTCAGGATGGGCCACCAGCCAATTACTTTGTTGCCAACAACTGTCTAATGAATCTTTGCCATAATTTCCACAATATTCTATCTAATCTGTTCTTCTTTATCCAAGCGTTCACAGTTATGTGACCCATTAATCCAGGAGAATAAGACATCCATGGTGGCTTTGCCAGGTTCTCTTGAAGGAACCCTAGGCAGAGGATTTAAAAACAAATGGCATGCTGATTGCCCACCACCTGGATCACCTGTTAGCTAGTCATGCTGCACTGTGGGGGCAGAAGTCCAGTGTGAGGTGGATGGAGGATCACCCTTTGGTGGTGACCTACCAGCCAAACTCTCAAACACATATACTTTCTCCAATGCCTAACTCCATCCAAGTGAGTGACAGATAAGTGTGTATCTCCAGGGAAAGCAGCCTGTGCGTCAGTACACACAATTCCTTAGAACCATGCCTCCTGTTCCGCAAGGCTCAGTGAGGAAGGACATCCTCATTTCTCAGGCAGAGTTGAGCCCAGTTCCAAGGTGCTCAGTATAGAAAACCAGTTTCCACAAAAGGTAACTGGGCAAACAGCAACAGATGTATTCTCACATGGAAGAGAGTTCAGAGAAACTCCACAGGCTCACTCCGTTAGGGCTCATCCTAGACCTGAAAGTCGCCTGGATTTGCAGTCTCTGAAATCAACCTCAACCTGAGGTGGACACCATCACCTCAGATGCCTTAGATGTGCCAGCTTCCCACTCCAGGCTGCAGCTTACCAATCTGCCCATAGGCCATGCTGATCAGCCGCTCATTCACAAGTTTGTCTGTTTTGGGATTTCTGGGCTGTCTCTTCATGATGTCACTCTCAGCCTGCTCATAAGCCAGGGAGATGGCAGGAACCTGGGAAGGGGTGGGGAGAAGGAATTTAGTTACTAAAAATAAGGAAGCTAATATTGTGAACCTTTTGTTATAAAATTCTTGCCCTCCCATTTAAAAATCTTTTAGGTGAAGTATACAAAAATAAAGATTCCCATCTGATAAACAAATGTTAACTGCTGCCTTGAAGAGTGGTAATACTGATTCTGTGAAGCCGGGATTGGGACACACACTGGATACTGGTCCTGAGAATTTCTTTTCCCAACGCCAGCCTCATGGATGCTGGGAGCATAGTGCCAGTGAATGAAGACACAGCTCACACCTCACTACTATCGATCTGTGACTGTTGTGACACTCACCATGTCAGTGCCCAAGTCAATGCAGAGGATGGTGACAGTCCCCAGTGGTAGTGGAATGTTTGCAATAATAAATATCAGGAACGGGGTGATCTCGGGAATGTTACTGGTTAAGGTATAAGCAATGGATTTCTTCAAGTTATCAAAGATCAGACGACCTATGAAAACCAAGATTTTTTACTGTTAGCTTATGAGACAAGCACACTGGAAACTGAACATATCCAAGAAGTATACAGAAATGGATGCTAATGGGCAGTATCTGAATAAGATCTTGGTGTACACCTTAAATAGCTCTCACCTTCCTCTACTCCAGTCACAATTGAGGCAAAGTTGTCATCCAGAAGAATCATGTCAGCAGCTTGCTTGGACACATCTGAGCCAGCAATCCCCATAGCAACCCCAATGTCTGCTTTCTTCAAAGCTGGAGAGTCATTCACACCGTCACCAGTCACAGCCACGATAGCACCCTACCCCAGAAAAGGGAAAACGGGTTAATACCAATCACTTTTCCTAGCGATGGAAATAGTGCGATGCATGCCCCCACTGAGCACTCATTACAGACACTGCTCCTTTCCTATTGAGACTATTTATGAAGCCTGAGAACCGTCACAGGCAAGTATTCACACAGGCCCTACACCAAATAACAGAACTGAGAAGTGACAACAAACATAGCCCCCAGCATTAACAAGAGCTACTCAAAGTAATGACTCTGGTGGGTGGCACTCCAGAAAATGCCATTCCTGTATGCACGCCCTGTAGTCTGACCACTCACATCTCTATTGCAAATACTAGGACCCCATATCAGATGACTCCACGGAGCGGTCAGGCTCTGGGACACAGTGGACACCTGGACTTTAAAGTGCTTCTGTCACTGCTAAACCATTAACAAGTCACCCTCTCTATGCCTATGAGCTTCCTACTGGCCTATTTATACTGAGTCTAATACAGCGAGGTATGCATCCATCCATCACCGTTGCTCTGTTTCCACTGGAACTCCAATCCCTAAAGCCAATAGTGCCCAAAGCAGCCTGATCCTTGTGCTGGCTGACCTGTCTTTGGCAGCCTTCCACAATGATGAGCTTCTGCTGAGGGGAGGTCCTGGCAAACACTATCTCAGTGTGGTACTTCAAAATGTCATCCAGCTGCTCGGAGGTCATGTCCTTTAGATCACTGCCGTGTACTACGCAGGCCTTGGCATCCCTAGAATTAGGACAAAAAAAAAAAAAAAGTCACGCATCACATCACCAGCATGTGTCCATCACCTCAAGAGGGGATATTCTTATGCAGATCACTTTGTAAACAAAACAAAGAAGGAATTTTCCCCAGCACATAAAAGCTATTAAGTGTTCAGTACTTTACAGGTTACAGAGCATTTTCATATATTTTATCTCATTTGAGGCTCATGATGATCTCTAAGGCAGGCCTGTCTGTATTCTTCCTTTCCCTATCTTTATTAGACATGCTGAAATATAACCAAGTTTTAGCTGGGTGTGTGGCTCATGCCTGTAATCCCAGCACTTTGGGAGGCTGAGGTGAGTGGATCACTTGAGGTCAGGAGTTCGAGACCAGCTTGCCAAAATGGTGGTCTAAAAATTCAAAAATTAGCCGGGCATGGTGGTTGGGGCCTGTAATCCCAGCTACTTGGGAGGCTGAGGCAGGAGAATCACTTGAACTCAGGAGGTGGAGGTTGCAGTGAGCCAAGATCATGACACTGCACTCCAACCGGGATGACAGAGCGAGACTCCATCAAAGAAAAAAAGAAATATAACCAAGTTTTAGAAAGTGGCAGAGCTGATACAAGACCAAACCCTCCTCTAACCGTAACATAGGGTGAAAGGGCCCTAAACCTTAAAACAAAACCAATTTGCTATTATCTGTTTTACTTCATTGCCAAATGTCTCCTGTGTTTGCCTGAATGGCCTAAGTAATTGTCCCTTCCTTATTTTATTTTGTTAGTGTGGACCTGGAAAGTGTCAAGATGCTAGGTGCTAGGCAGTAGAGCTCAGTGGTTAACAGCATGAAATCAGAAGCTAGACTGCTGAATTTACTGCATGATTTCACCAGTTCTGAGGTACTTCAAAAGCCTCTTGAATCCTTACCTTCCCTGCTCTGCAAATAATAGGTCACCATATCAAGCTCTTAGAACAGTAAATACCATCTAAGTGCTAATTATTATGACTTGCTCTTACTTAAAACCCTTCTTAGGAATGACAAGGTTGCTTTCTGGCAGTGCAGGTACATTTCCTACTCAGAGCAAGCCTAGATGCAAACCATTATAGAACCACGCTGAAGATTTTAAACCATCACTATTTGCTTGTTCACAGCAGACTGTGATTTGAGCTTCCTGCCTTACCTGGGGTTCACCTGGCTGACTGGGATGTTGAGGCGGGCAGCAATGTCTTCCACGGTCTCATTGCCTTCTGAGATGATGCCCACACCTTTGGCAATAGCTTTAGCTGTGATTGGATGGTCTCCTGTGACCATGATGACCTGTAATAAACAAGACAATGTGTTGAATGCAACTGCCAAGTAAATGACCTTAAAGTCTTATATCCAGTAGGCAAGAGTAAATACTAAGGATGATTCGGCTTAGACTATCAAAAGGAAAGGAATGCAAATATAAAACTAATAAACATCGATTAGCCAAAAATATAAACATATATATCCACAGAAAGGAAACACAAAGGCAATACTCAGGTTTTATCTTGGTATACAATCACTAGCATACACAATGTCTATTTTTCCTTCTACAGAGTTACATAAAAATACTTGAAAATTACTAAAACCAGCAAAAAAAAAAAAAAAAAAAAAGGATAAAAATCTGATGCTGGTGGGACTGTGAAGACACCACATGCTACTGGCTAGCATTCTCAAATTGGCACAACTTGGAGGAAAAGCAACATGTGACAAGAATTCAAAATTGTTATTTTTTGATGCAGTGATTATACTTAGAATATACTTTAAAAAGAAGCAGTCGGAATGGTGAGGAAATAACTTCTACAAAGCTTTTCAGGGCAGTATTAATCCTGAGAGTAGGCCGGGTGTGGTGGCTCACGCTTGTAACCCCAGCACTTTGGGAGGCTGAGGTGGGCAGATCACCTGAGGTCAGGAGTTTGAGACCAGCCTGGCCAACGTGGCGAAACCCTATCTTTACTTAAAAATACAAAAATTAGCTGGGCGTGGTAGCGGGTGCCTGTAATTCCAGCTACTTGGGAGGCTGGGGCAGGAGAATTGCTTGAACCTGGGAGGCGGAGGTTGCAGTGAGCCGAGATCGTGCTATGACATTCCAGCCTGGGCAATAGAGCAAGACTCTGTCTCAAAAAATAAATAAAATAAAATCCTGAGAGTAAAAAACAGAAACCAAATACCCAGCAACAGGATATTAGTGCACTTGAGTAATATTCAGCTACTTAAAAAAAGACAGATACACAGAGGACACCAAACACTCATTAACAAACAGTTAACTGAAAACACAGAAGATATGCCATTCATTGCATAAGGTACATTAACTTAGAATAATGCAAGTATTTTAAAACTTCAAGTCTTTTGCTGTTTTTACTTTGCTTACATTTCTTTTTTACACAATTGCTTTCCAAAAAATTTTTAATTCCTCGTGTGTTTACACCATCATATTTTAATACTATCTGGTCTTTTCTGGGTGGAAGTAAAGCTTTGGAGATGAGAAATTAATACTCCAGGTGAGATAGAACAGCTGGCCATCTGGACCTCAAAAGGCAACATTCACTGAGTAGGGTGTCCCAAGGCACTAAGAGATGAAGCCAAGGAGGCGCCTGGGCACTACCTTAATTCCAGCACTTCGACATTTGCCCACGGCATCAGGAACGGCCGCCCGTGGAGGGTCAATCATGGAGATGAGCCCAACAAAGCACAGATTATCGATAGGGAAATTCACATCGTCAGTGTCAAACTGGAACCCTTCAGGAAACTGTTCATCTGGCAGAAAGAGGTGGCAGAAACCTGCGAGGAGGACAGGAGCCTTTGAAAATTTCAGTGACGCTGGGCAGTAAGAAGGACAACAGCAGCCTATTCAGCCCGCCTACCTTTCTCTGGAGTGTTTACTTTGGAAAATTTTTAAAGTCTATATTTTTATAACAGAGTGAGGGTTTTATTTAACATTTATGAACGATAGAGTCACTGAAAGAAAAAAAGCATTTGAAAGACAGAATCCATCACACCAGGCCTCAAAGGAATTGGAAATTGTTTAATGTGGAGAAGACTGAATTGATAACACTAATTTTGAGCACCAGGATATTAGGGTTCTAGACTTGCCCACTGATGATGACATTAAGTTATTTGGATTTGGCAAATCATGGAATTATCTGCCTCAGCTGCCTTCTCTGGAAACATCAAGGCCATACCTCTGCTCTCTTGTTCATTTAACTGAAACATATTACTGAGCACCAATGTGGGACATCATGCTAGCTACTTTTGAGGATAAGTACAGATCAGATGCATTCTGCCCAGGGGGTTTATCATCTAGTATAGTAAATACAAGAATCAAGATAATGTAAGACATTCTTTTCAATGTTGTATGACGTTACAATGATCTTTAACGTGCCATGTGGACTCAAAAGAAGAGAGACTGCTTCCACTTTGGGGTGGTGGAAGTAGGGAAGTGAAAAACACTTAAAGAGAAGATAGCAATCCTTCGGTTGGATAGACACATACGAAAGATACCATGAGTTAGATTTACCCAAGTTAAGAAGAATAGGAAGCATTATATAAATAATGAATGTAGTATCTGTCAACCTACAAAGTATTATAAATGCCACTTTCCCAAATACATTAGACAATGGGTAAAGTGAACTTCTCAGCCTCAGTAGCTGTCAGGGTAGAAAAAAATAGGTAGCATCTTAGACTAAAAGTTTACCGTTAGTCTAGTTTCTAAGCTGAGCACATAAGTGCTCATGTAAATTCACACCCATTCCAAGGCAGTCAGGAAATAGTATGTCTAACTTAGACACACTAAGAATTAATTAACTTTAATTAGGCTTATAAGTCATGTCCACAGCAACAAAGGTTAGATAAGAAAGATATTCTTCCACCATTTTTTTTTTTAAACAAACAGAACTGACTAGCATGAGACCAAAGGTCTAAGTACAAGTCAGAAGCAAACCATCAGGACGTTGTTTCTCACAGCCCAATACGCTGAACATTTCTTCAGCACTTATTGTTTTCAAAATAATAGGGGGCAAATAAACAAATAGGAGGATTGCCCCTAAAAGATGTAGAGGAAGGTCAACAAGACATAGAGGTTCATAGGATCACTTGTTAACTGTCTACCAGACTAGGTTACTGGATAAAAACGTGCCCAGGCACTCTGTTACCAGGTTATCTGCATACCTAGGACTCGTTCTCCGAGGCCCCCCAGCTCCAAATAGGCGTTCTGAAAGGCGTCTTTCAGCTCCTCATCCAGGGGCTGCTCCTTGCCGTGGAGGAGGATAGAGCTGCAACGGTCTAGGATCCTTTCTGGGGCGCCCTTCATCACCAACAGGTGTTGGGGCTCCGATGTGTTGGGGTTCTTATGAATAGACAACTGTGAAGGATTGTTGAGACATAAACATTGGATGGTTGGATGTGTGGCAGTCCATGGTGGAAAACAAAGCTTCACTTACTATTTAGTATTTGCTATAAAAGACCCAAGATCCCTTCTTTCTGAACTCTGAAGTATCTTACACCTGTAACATACTTTGAATGCTACAGAAAAAAAAAAAAATGAGCACTATGATATATTCATAAATTCCTGACATTTGTTCACATTAAAAAAGAACATACGAAATTTCAGAACACAGGGATTGGGGAACACTTGTGTACACATACCTCCAGCCACCTCCCCACATGCCCACACCCACCCCAAACCACAAGTATTCAAAAGGGCTCAACAGTGTTTTGCAAGAGGCTTCATTTATCCTGCTGATATTCAACTAAATTATGGCATTCTATGGTAATCAAGGGCAAAATTTAAAGCTAAAGCTTATAAAACTCCAAAGGGAGAATATTTCCTCTTCCTGCTCATGTACCTCCCCTCTTTGTCCCCCAGCTTGCCCTCGCCCTCCGTGTACCCATCGATCTTCAGACCTGGTACTTGTTGGTGGAGTTGAAGGGTATCTCGACGATTTTGGCGTATCTTTCTCTCATCTCCTTCACGGAACCACAGCACAGCTCTATGCACTTTAAGAGTGCTGACTCAGAGGCATCTCCTGCAACTGCCCGCTGTGAACAGAGACATCATCTGTAAATTATCTCCAAAAAATTTCACTGAGGCATCACTAAAAAACAGGAAAAATAACTCAAGACACATTCCAATCTTGTCAGAGGTAGCAGAGGATGGGCAAGAAGGAAGCAGCGGTGTTAAGTGGGACAGGAGTCCCTCTAGCCCCGACCACTGCTGTTCACAGTGCTTCAGACTCAAACCCCAACGTCCTTCCCCACCCCACAGCAGCTTCTAGTGAAAGAAGGGTGTGGGAAGGTGTCACCTTCCCTAGAAGAGGTATTAACACACCCTTCCAACCTACTGCAGTCTATTTCTATCTTCCCCTGGCCTACTGAAAAGTCTCAAAGCCAATGCTATTCCCAACTACCTACTTCTGGTTACTTATCTGAAAATACCAAGTGAGAGATTAAACATTTATAGCACCTTTCATTACCGTAGAATTCGTAAGAAAATGCTTAAGGTCTCAGGACTGGGGACAAGCTGCCTGTGTCAAGGGCAAAGTAGAAGACTGTGCATTCTAATCATAACTGTGCAAAATTAACTGGGCCTGAAGGATGTGAACTGAAAGCTATTACCAACTCCAACAGTAATAAAATCGAACCACGTAACATTTTAGTTAAAGCCCATGCTTCAGTGACACACATATTTTCTATGATACATGATGACACACTTATATTTTGACATACTGAAAGCATTTTCAGTTGTAAACAAATTTTATATAGGTAAACCTTTTAGAACCTTAACATGTAAGGCTGCATATGCAGATGAACAGATCAATGCTCAGAAGTATAGCAGCTCCACAGAGCAAGAAAGTTGGCTGGGTTTGGAAAGAAACACAAAATAAGTGGGGGACATTTTAAATAAAAGCCACTTATTTTAATAAAAGCCATTTTTAATAAAAGCAGAATAGGGCTGCTTCTCCCTCCCCGCTTTTTAGTAATAATGCCATCAACATGGCCGAACTCCAGAAATACTTGGAATACAGCTTCTGCTACCTTTCTGGGGTTTTTTAATCAGGAAAGATTTGATACTTGTGGGACCTGATGCTCAAAGCCTAGAACATTTCCACTTTGAGGTAAAGAAAAACATGAAACATTTATCTCAAGTTTTATCCTCAAGATACACAACATTATCCTCAAATCAACATCAATTCAATGCCAAGAAAATCTCCTTTGCAGAATAAATGAACCCTATCCTCATCACAGAAGGCATCTGAGTTACATCCAAGCCATATTCCCTTTGGCAACTTAGTTTATACCCACAACTACTACAGGCAGCTTCACAGAGAATGTGGGACCCAGAGAGCCTCACATAGCTTTCTTCTCCTACAGGACTTTGTACAATTCATGATCCTTCTGAGACTGCATCTTCACTTGGGCAGCATAGTAAAATCTCAATCATTTCAAACTGCATCAGAATTCCACAGGCTAAGGCTGGGCTTATTTTGGCCTGGAGCTTATTTTTACATCATTAGTAAACAAGCTAAGAACCAATAAGATAAGATAAGCTGAGCTATTTCAGGAAAATAAATGGCTTAAAGGAGTTACTGGAATCTACTGTATCCTAATATGCAAATACGATTATGGAGTCACTGCAGCCCTCAGCTCTCACTGTCCACTAGGTTAGGTGATAACATATAAACTCAAGAGTAGTAAAAGCAGATGAATTAGGTTTTTCACCAATAAAGACTGTCTTCCGTCTCCTCCCCTCCCACTTTGGTCAGATTTTTACTGCATCTTCCCTTTTTAATCAACCTATATGGAGCAGGGGGTCCTATAATACATCAGGATCTACAGGCAACACAATGTAAGTTACACACAGCAAAGTACTGCACAGACCACTCCAGGTGTTCTACAGTGAACAGTCACACAGACCACAAAGGTAATTTGCTACTTTTAACACTCAAATGGCAGTTCTCATGTGCTGTCTACATCCCTCCATTAGTTAACTCTTGAGCATACCTTAAGAATAGGTAGGTTTTCCTGGTTAGCCTGAAACACTGCCCTGTTACAAAGACCTGCAATTCTGGACAGAGCAAGCCAGGTAGCTGAAGTCTTGTCAAAAGAGACACCTGATGGAGGCAAGAAAACACAACAGAACAACAATGCATTAACTTCAAAGGCTGTGTTCTCAGTTCTCCTATTAAAGTCCCATAGAAATCTGCAGTGATACATCTCATTTCCCAATTAATGAAACCAATCACATTTTAGGCATTCTTCAGTCACGTTTGTAGGGCAATTTAAAGTTTCTACTGACATGCAAAAAATCAATATCCCATACCCTTGACTCTTCACTAAATGATAAAAAAAAAAAAAACAAAAAAGAAAGAAAAAGCTGCCATGAGCTTAAAAAAAAAAAAGAAATTTCATGCAATTTCTTAAAAGAAAAAAAACCAAGCGAAGTCAGCAGGTGGCTGAGGTGTGTGGTAACCCTGGCCTTACCACTCTGATTCTCTGTCGTATCAGCTTCATGGATTTGATTGTCAAACCACATGTGGGCCACTGTCATCCGGTTCTGAGTCAGAGTTCCAGTTTTATCAGAGCAGATGGTGGACGTGGACCCCAAGGTCTCCACAGCTTCTAAGTTCTTCACTAAGCAGTTTTTCCTTGCCATGCGTTTGGCAGTAAGTGTCAGACAGACCTAAAAAATATTAGGAAGATTATTACTTCACTCAACCAGGCTGGAATTCTATACAGATTCTTGCTATATCCTAATGTGGAAGAAATTTGTCTAAAATTAAATCTCTCCAACCTTCTTCTGAAGTTTGAAGAAATAATAAGGGGAACCCATACATGAGGCTTCCCCTTCCTTCCAGAAAAGCAATCTATTAAGAAAAATAATAACAGGATTCTACCATATTCTATCCCCCTACTTGATCCCAAGTTCTTCTCCTTTCTCCACTGCACTGTTCAGGACCACGTGATAATTTAAAAGCAAAATGTATGCTTTGGGGTTATCTTACGTATAAACAAATGCTGAGGTTTTCTCACTGTCAAAATTCACCACGTGATGTGGCTCTCAAGAAGAACTATATCAAACATCCAGAATAAAACATAAGTTGGCAATACCTTAGAATAGGATAGCGGAAGAGTGTAACATTCGTGCAAGCTGATCTGAGTCAGGGTGACCATCACCTGCCTCTTACCGTGACAGTGGCCAGCAAACCTTCCGGCACATTGGCTACGATGATACCGATGAGGAAGATGACAGCCTCAAGCCAGGTGTACTCAAGGATGAGAGAAAGGATGAAGAAAGACACACCCAGGAACACAGCCACACCCGTGATGATGTGGATAAAATGTTCAATTTCTGCAGCAATGGGGGTCTGGCCTCCTTCCAGCCCAGAAGCAAGTGTGGCAATTCTTCCCATCACAGTGCGATCCCCAGTGTAGACAACAATACCACGTGCGGTGCCTTAAAAAGAAGGGGAGGGAGAACTGTACCTAATTGTATCTAACCTGAAGGAAGCCACGGATTTTACACAATTACATAGGATGACTAAAAAAACAAAAAGAGTTGATAAAAGCACTTTTTAAGGGCCAGCTCTTTGGCTGTACATGCTGTTTGGCAAAGGGACTTCTCTCCAGTAGCAGGACAGCAGCTCCAACACCCATGCCAGACTGGTGTTGTTGACAGAAGAGGCAGGGTGGAGGTGGAGGGAAGGGAAACTGCCACAAGGTTTCCTGCCAGCTAGGAAAACACCTCTGCTCTGTGCTTGACACAAGTTCTCAGAAATGGAGCCAATAAAACAAGAGATTGTGCCTATGGTTTTGATTTTGTTAATGCCCAAGAGAAATACCACGCCATGCTCAAAGTGCCCAAAAATGGCCTACCTTCAACACAATTGGTTGAAAAGAAGGCAATGTTCCTCGTCTCCAGGGGGTTTTCATTTGTGAAATCTGGAGACCTAGTCTGGGGTTCTGATTCACCAGTGAGCGAGGAGTTATCCACCTATATGTGAGGAAAAGAAGAAAAATGTCATGTGAATACACCAGCCTTATCATGGGCTACTGTACCCCTCAAATCAAGCTGCCCGAACAGCAGAGCTAGCTATGAGGTTTGTTAAAATAAAAGAGCTACCTTGCAGCCATTTGCAGATATGATTCTGAGGTCAGCAGGAATTCGGTCTCCTCCTTTTACTTCCACCAGATCCCCAACCACAACTTCCTCCGCATTTATGCTCATTTTCTCACCATTTCGAATCACAAGGGCTTGCTTTGGAAAAGAAACAATTTACACCGTTAGTATACCAACAAAGAGAAGGTAGTGTCCAAAACAAGAAAATAAAAATAGTCATAATCCTAATTACCTGAATACAAAACAAAGATATTATTCACTTTTTTATTTACACAAGTTACAAAAGCTTGCTCGCCAGTTTAAGAGATATTGCTGTTACATGGTGTGCCTGTATTCAGAGTTTACATTCAAAAGAAAGGCTACCACTTTTTGGATAGAAGGAAAATAGGTTGGTTTTGGGTGGGGTAGAAGACATCCATCTCTCTGATGAGTCATGTAATACTTGGAAAACCTTAACTTCACACTAATTCACAGGCTGACATGCTTGGGGCTGTCAAGTCATCCACTGGGGAAGGACAAAGCGTCTGGTACCTGAGGGACCATGTTTTTGAAGGATTCCATGATCTTTGAACTTTTAGCTTCTTGATAGTAGGAGAAGCAACCAGTTATGATTACAACGGCTGATAGCACCACACCCAGGTACAGCTGGAAGGGAAAAGACAAGTTAGGGCCCGTGGCTCTACACAATAATTAGGGACATTCAATTAATTTTTTGACTGAATAAAAAACAGATTTTTAATAGAGAAACCAAGATTTCAGAAATATAGAACTCATGTTTTCTTATTTATCCTTCTAAAGACCACACAGGAAGGGTCAGAAATGGAGTCAGGCACACCAACACTTGATCACTAACTGGACGTTTGGAAAGGTTCTAGATGCATCAGTTTCTCCTGCTTTATAAAACAAAGATTGTTTTTCAACCAACTTGTGGATTTTGAAGAATGGCCACCAAGCATTTCTGGACAGGTGGATGTGCCAACATGAATCGCTGTGCTCTGCCATCCAGTGGGTGGCGGCCGGGGCCTGAGCAGAGCTGCCTGCTCACAGCAGCACATGCAGGTGGGCATCCCACTTGTAAGAGCATCTACAACGTGGGTGGTAGAGAGAGGAAATGGAAACGAAGGAAGAATGGATGAGCCTTGAAGGCAACAGCTGTTCATAACCATTAAGTAATGAGTTCATAACCATTAAGTAATGAGTGGTAATTGAGAAGAAGTGGGAGACAAAGACGGAGAAGATATCTGATGTGTACTACAAATCCATATGCTGAATTACAGAACTCACATTATCGTTTTGAGGTTCCTCTTCTGTAGCAGCTTGGATGCTATAAGCCAAGAAACAAAGAATCGCTCCAATCCACAGTAACATTGAGAACCCCCCAAAGAGCTGCCGACAAAACTTGATCCATTCAGGAGTAGTGGGAGGGGGAGTGAGGGCGTTGGGACCATCTCGCGCCAGGATCTCAGCTGCACGAGCAGATGTTAATCCCTGAGAAGCAGTGGAATATAAATAAGGCAAACTGTACCAGCACTTACAAGGCAATATACCTACCTGGTAGCTGGACGGTTGCAATAAGGATTTAAGGAAGAAACAAAATGTCCCAAGCTAGAGAGCCAAGGTAAAACCTAGCAAATTCCTCCATGAATAATTCTGCTGATGAGCCAGTCCCCACAGGGTTCAGGCAAACAATAGGCCCAAGGAACTCATAACACCCAGATTAAAACTCTTTAAATTGATCCATCAATAAATTTGAATTCAGCCTGGTTTCTTCTAAGTTTTAGATCAAGGGATTAATGCCAAATTGCATTTCTGCCAAAAAGGTATCTATTTTCACAAATCCATTCAGTTTTGCAAATTAAGAGCTTTGGGTTTTCTGTGTATTGATTTTGTCGGGAGGGGAAAAAAAACCCCTCTACAAACATCAAAGGAGAAAAAAACTTCCTGTAGAAATCCTTTGGGTTAACAGCCAAGTTTTAAATATACAGCTTGATTCTTTGCTTGTCTGGCAGGGAAGGGCTCACCTCCATGTGCATTTTAGCCACCTCCCAATAAACCTGTTGACTGAAAAGTACTCACTGGAAAAAACCACTCTACTAAAGCCTGCTATTTTTCTAATGGGCCTTAAACCCAAGATTCACTGACAGCAGGCAATTACATATAAGCTCTCATTAAGAGAGGAAAATATGATCACTTTTATACTCTCAAAATAACAAGTCAAAAAAAAAATAAAATATTTTTGTCTAAAGTATCTATTTATCTGTGTTTTGTGCTCATGTTACCAAACATTTGAGTGCTATCTACATGCCAGGAACTGAATTCAGTGCTTTAATTAACTTGTTTAATTCTCATGACAATCCTTTTTTAGGCATTATTAACCTCATTTTATAAGTAAAGAAATAGACCCGCAGCATTTGAGTAATGGGCATAGGTCGGAGAGAGCACACTTCATTAAGACTCTAATAAAAACTTAAGTGAGATGTGAAGTGGCTAGAGACTGCCTGGCACAAAGTAAGCACAGAGTCACTGTTGGCATGTTGTTCTGAGCTGACTCGAGGCCTCCTCTTGGAGCTTAAAGTGCTTGTGTCAAGAAAAACGCTCTCAACCTTGTTCTTCTCTCCTTTTTTTTTTTTTTTTTTTTTTTTTTTTTTTGAGATGGAGTTTCACTCTTGTTGTCCAGGCTGGAGTGCAATGGCACAACCTTGGCTCACTGCAACCTCCACCTCCCAGGTTTAAGCAGTTCTCCTGCCTCAGCCTCCCGAGTAGCTGGGATTACAGGCATGCACCACCATGCCAGGCTAATTTTGTATTTTTAGTAGAGACGGGGTTTCTCCATGTTGGTCAGGCTGGTGTCGAACTCCTGACCTCAGGTGATCCACCAGTCTCAGCCTCCCAAAGTGCTGAGATTACAGGCATGAGCCACCGCACCCGGCCTCTTCTCTACTCTTACACCCCAACAATCAACACAGAAGATGACTTCTGTGAGCAAAGGTGTGGCGGTTTCTCCCCACCACCAAGGTTTCCTCCAATTCAATTCCAACACTATCTACCTGGAAAATCAGAAAAGTGGAACAAGATTAGAGTCCTGCCTTGCGACAGGTGAAAAGGAGGGCAGGAGAGAGATCCTGTTTCTTGAAGCCTGCCACTGAGGTCTAACACACCCAACATTATAACAAACGACTGTAATAAGGGCTATGGGAGTTATGAACCAGGAACTGTGGACAAAAACCAATATATATCAGAATACCACAGTACCCATGTCTCTTGATGCCTTACTGAAAAAATGCTACATATTGGCTTGCTATTCAAGTTATTCCCAGACATTTCAGTGATTATCTGGAAATAAGACATCCCTAGACTATTTACTTTTATAACATTTGTTACACATTTAATATCAAAATCCTCTACATAACAAGGATACATAACGCCTATTTTATGAAAAGGTTTCTTTAATTTTTGTACAAAACAATTTCCAACTAAATGATAGAATAACTAAACAAATGATAGTATAACCATAACACACTGCAATGGGCTAGCTGGGAAAAGTGCAAAAATGGGAATTGTTGAAGATTCAACTAGGTGAAAGATTCAACTCTATTTAACAAATGTAGAAAAATAAAGGGAAAATTTATCATCAAAAGGTCAAGGCATAAGCATGGCTTTGAAGCCAACTGCAAGTCCTGGTGTTCCCACTTACTGGCTCTCAACTGCTATAAAATAGGGAAAAGAAAATAACATCTACTTTCAAAAAGTTTCAGGGAAAAGAAACGGTAGCATATAAATGCCCAAATTCTGTGCATGTCACATGGTAGATACGCAGATGGTGTCTGTCATTTTCTTACTAGAGCCCCTGAGGTTAGACCTGTATGTAATACAGGGGAAAATATAATACGGAAAACTAGGATTTTGTACAACAGCTTTCAAACTAGAACATACCCGGCTCAAGTCTGTTCCATATTTACGATGAAGTTCATCAAGGCTAAGTTTATGATCATCCTAAGGGAAAACAGAAACAAAGAAAATAGTTAAACAGTGTAGTATAAAAAAATGACAGAAAAAATAGCATTATTCATTACTATCATTAAGCTTATTAAACAAAGTGCAGATGTTTTCTTCAGTGCATAAGTTGGTACAATTTTCACCATCGCTTTGTGGCTTTGCAACCACACAGTTATCATTGACAGCTCTTCACTGGAGAATGGCTAAAGCTGAGTGACCGTGGCCCATTACTATTTGCCATAACACTTCAGAGAAACCCAGCAGCTCTCAGGGATCTAGTAAAACCTTATCTGCCTTCTCTGATGACCAGGTCGATTCTAGACAGGTTAAGTCTATGGAAGCTTCCATCGCCTGGAGAGGCTGAATTTCCCAATGTTTGATATAATACAGAGAAAAGCAAAGACTCATGGTATCAACCTAAGTTCCTTCTGTTATCTCTGGTTATGCCAGAGTGACTGAATAACTTTTCCTACCCTCTAACAGCTTTTAAAAAGTATATGTTCAACATTAACCTCTACGACTAGATGAGATCTGTACAGCTGCTATGATCTCTTTTAATATATAGCAGTTCTTTGAAGAATACAGTGAGGCCTGGGGGATTAAAAATCATGGATTTTTAATAAGGATGGAATACAATATTCCTCCTAGTACTTACCATAGAAACTTCTTTCTTCAGTTCATCCATGTCCCTGTCTTTTTTGCCCTTTTTGCCCTTTTTATCACCTTGTTCTGAAACAGCTGCAGGCTCATACTTATCACGTCCAACCTGTAGGAGAATGTGGGAAAAGTGAGGCCATGAATTATGAACCTCATCTGAAACTGAAAATTCTGGAGCAGGGGATTTTGGTAGTTTTTAAGGTAGTCATAATTTGGAATAGTCATTAAGATAATAGTCAGGAAAATGTATACCCATATATTGCCTACTACATAAGCAAAGCAATCTACTATTAATACATTGGCTCAAGATACATTCTCTCCATCCAAGAGCATTAAGAACAATACTGAAGCTACCGGTAGGCTTCAGAATGGCCCTGCCAGTGCCACTTCCTTTTGGGGTTAATGAGGAGATTTTTGCTATCAAAATCCCTATTCTGCAGCCTTCCATCTTCCCTACTGAAAGAATGAAACTAACTTTACATTATTAACTTAGAGTGCAATATTGTGCTTATGAGTCCGCATTCTCAATCAGACAGCCTTGAGTTAAAATCCTGGGCTTTACCACTTACCAGCAGTGTATCCTTAGGCAAGTTACTAACTTCTACATTTCAATTTCCTCTTCCACAGCGTGGAGATAAAGAATAGTGCCAACCTCATTTCATGTTTTTAAGGATTAAATGATACAATACATCTAAATGCTAGTACTTTTATACTGTTTATATTCTTTGCTTTGCAAAGACATTATTACATATCAAATTTAAATATCTTTAGTGCTCACATAAGAACACTGACCTTTACCAGCTTCCCATATTAAAAAGTCAGCCTAAGACTCCTTAAAATTCTTTGCATAAGAGATAAAAAAGGGAGCGCCCAGCCCATTCTGTAGCCTGAAAATAAAACCTCCAAAATGAAAGTCTCTGGAAATGTTTTGACATAAGCAGGATGTAGGAAAAGCGTGTGCATTATCACATAATTCACAGGATCCACCTACGCCTCTTGAAAACTGGAACAATTTTTAAAGAAAATGTTGATTCTATAGTTTAAATTTAGATTGTTCCACTCCCCCACCCCTGTTGAAAAATCCTTGAGCTTATCTACACAAAGCCTGAACTTGGTGCTCCAAAGCTTAGCGGAGCAGAAGAGCCCCTTGTTCCAGACACCTCCCCCTGAAGCAGCCTCCCACAACTACAACTTAAGGCCAAAAAGTAGACATTAGCAATTTTCTTAAAATGCATGACATATGGTGCTATTACTATTATTTTGTGGTTCTCCTTTACTCATTTCTAACTTTCCTAAGTGCATTACCAGCTACTAAAGCAATAATTAGGAACTCGTGTCCAGATTATAATTTCACTGTGCTGAAATGAAAAAAGAAAATCAAAACGTATTATGTGTGTTTCAGTCATAACTAATAGTTGCAAATAAAATACATTGTTCACTTAAATTTAAAAATATCCTCTTAAGACTCCAAGGAGAAATCCTTCTCCAAATTCACTGGAGTGGGCCACATGTAGAGACACATTATTTACCTTTTTAACTTCTGTGGTCACGTGTGCAGCACTACTTGACTAATAACTTCTTCCAACTGGGTGGGTTCTTTAGTTTCTATCTTATCTATTAATGAAGCAGGTCTAAAGATAGTCAACATTCTTGACATTCTCTCCATTATGGAGCAACCACATTTGTTGGTGCCTCTTTCGGTACAGCTCTTGGTGCCAGAGTTTAAATGAAAAATAGTAACACATACAAGTGGACAAATAAAACAAAAAGGAAAAGGCAGGTCATCTACCAGAAAGGAACCACAGCTAAAGTGGTATATCTTTAGCTTTAATTAAAGGTATATCATACCTTTAATGAGAAAGCACAACACTTAAAAAACATTTTAAAGACATTGACTAAGGATCTCTAAAAGATTTATGTGACCACTTTGTATTAATTTTCTTTTTTTTGGGGATGGAGTCTCACTCTGTCGCCCAGGCTGGAGTGCAGTGGCGCAATCTAAGCTCACTGCAACCTCCGCCCAAGGGTTCAAGCAATTCCCTGCTTCAGCCTCCTGAGTAGCTGGGATTATAGGCGCTCGCCACCACGCCTGGCTAATTTTTGTATTTTTAGTAGAGACGGGGTTTCACCATCTTGGCCAGGCTGGTCTTGAACTCCTTACCTCATGATCCACCCACCTCGGCCTCCCAAAGTGCTGGGATTACAGGCGTGAGCCACCGTGCCCAGCCTGTATTGATTTTTAAAATACAGCTCACGGATTCTCTCTGAGCAAGTTGAATATCATTGAAATATATTTCAATAAATGAAATAGTTATAACCCCTCAGCTTCATAATCTGCATGCTTTGCTTATTCTCAGACTTCCAATATCTTCCACTCCAGAAGAGGAGAGAGGATTACTAGAGCAGCTAGGCTTTGAACACGTTCCAAAGTTTTACCCCCACTTACAAAATAAATGTCTTGCCCATAGCTTCACCACTATCAGTGCTAAAGTTAGTTGGGAATTTAGATTCCCTAATAACTCTCCTTTTTCTTTATCCATTCATGCTAGGTAAGGCAAAGTTTTAAATGAGGCTATTTGTGGGTGAGACACATGGCAAGTATTAACAAGTAAAACTGCTTTTTCTTCAAAATTTTAATTTTTTCACTAGGCAATGTGTGTCTAGAAGAACCAGGCAGCTTATACAATTTAGTTCTTCTCCACAAGTAAAATAATAACTTAATATTAGCTTATTCTTGTGGGAACCAAATATCCTTAAATCCCTATCAGTCTCAATTACCTCAGTCTCAAAGCTGCAAAATTCAGAGTCAGGGAGTGCACACTGCGTGAGATGAACAGTGGTAGAATCAGGTAGGACAATGTTTCCTTATTATTTTTTAAGGCATTAGGGAAAAACAAAGGTCATGGGAAGGGTGAATGATAAATACGGCATTTCCTCAATCAACTACAGTAATCTTCCCACTCATCTGGGCATTGGGCACACACTTCCTACTTTTTCAATTAGAAAGTTCAGGTCACTTCCCCCCTCCCAGAGGACTGGGAGTGATTAATCCTCACTCTCATCATGTTCCATGTAAGGGCACCCCCGCCCCTTTGAGCATCTCTGAGGAAAGGTACAATGGAAACTCAACGGATTACACTATTTTCTAAAGGGCCACTCATAAAAATGAAGTTGGGTTATGGTTTTTTTTTTTCCCCCTTCCATTCTAATTTAGGAAGTGGAAAGTCACAGCAAGGGCAGGGGCTTACCCACGGTGACACAGCTTAGCACAGCGTCATCATTTCATCCTGTGCTTCCCATGGATTCTATCCTCTCAAAGATTAACTAAGCATTTTGCTATTTGATCTGGGTAGAGGGAAAAGGTGCCCAAGACATGAGAAGATAAAATTCTTGACAGGAGGAACCAAGGTTAAAACATGTAACAAGGTTCACTCACTTAAAAATATATACCGAATCCTCACAGTCCTCACAATGAGTGAGACATCCCCGAGACTTGCTAGAGCTGAAGATGTTGCTTCCTCTTTTTTGGCAATTAGCCATTTAATGGGGACAGGGTTGGGGATAGATATGACAGATTTAGAAATTATCCCAAAATAAGCAGGATCTTCCATCCCAGAGGTATATTGCTTCAGGTCTGCATAAGCTATAGCCACCGCCAAAGGCCTTCATACCCATCCCAAACACCAGCCTCCAACAGGGCAGGATGCGAAGGCTTTCTCAACCTGCATTTTTCCCACCATATCAGCACAATGTCCCATGGCCAGCAGGGAGCTCAGAATTCTTGAGACTTCTGAAATTCCTGCTGAAAAAGTTTAGAGGGTACTTGAAAGTTCAAGACCCACCATTCCCTCCAGACAGGTCTGCTAATGGTGTTGAGTCTGCCAATTTATTCTAGTGTTGCCACATGCTGGCTACATGACCTTTGCCTGTCAGCCTTAGTTTCTTCATTCCTAAAATGGGAATAACACTTGGTATAACTATTAAAGAACCTAGAGAAGGCATTTTCATAGTCTGATTAGTCAAGAAACCATTAACTCTGAAAAATAAAACACCTTAAAAACTGGACTATTTCCAAAGCCCACAGACAAAAGCTTTTGACGGGCAAGAAGGGCCAGAAGGATGGCAAAAGGAAGTGCCCCAAATGCAGCCCATTTCGGAGTTGCCAAGAAGATTGTAGAAACAACACCTCTGGACATGATTTGGCAAATACCACTTTAGCAGGAAAGTTGTGTGATGGACTCTGACCTTGCTGGTTCCCTAGAGGCTGCCAAGTCTGGGCTACCTTCAATGTAAAAGGTAAGGGGGAGGGGTGCTTTCTCATTTTCCTGGTCGATACATTATTAAATCATCCAACACAATTGTGTATGTAAAAGTATTCTCAAAGCACTACACAAAGGCTATTATTATAACTTGGTCTTAATTAACATATACATTACTGCCATTTTTCGCTTTCTATGAAAATTCTTTTCAAACCTTTGAAGAAAAAACTCCTTTGGCATTATTTTTCATTTGATCTTAACAGTGAAAACTTAAAGAAAATAACAGTCAAGAAATGATCTAGCCCAGTTTATTACATCTCCATTTGCTCCTAAATGACTAAGTAGTTTAGTTTATGTGCAAGGAATTGTCTAGCCAGGGACTGGAGGGCTAAGGGATGGCCGGGGTTGAGGGAGGACACTGTCATAGTACCATGGCTGCTATCCAGCCCCAGCAGCAGCACATCACTGCAGGAGCAGCAGTTCTCTGCAGAGGAGGTGAGCCTGAGGGGCCACCATGCCTTCATATTCCTTCTCTTGCCCACCCAAATATGCATCCTGGAGAATATAATTTACCAAGGCCAAAGCAGTAGATCCCTTTGTGAGCCCAGTTTAGTATATCCAAACTTGGGCAGCCCAGCAGCCAGCAAGGGTCAAAGAACAGCGACAGTTCTAGCCAGCAGGTTCCCTCAACCCAAAAGAACATGACTTAACCTTCCTCCCCAATCTGCCTGCATGTCAATTCTTAATGAGCCTGACAGCCTACCCTACCTGCAGTAGTGTACATCCATGATCATTCAAAAAATAAAAATTCTAAAAGGTGTAAAGAATCAGTGCACTTTAGATATATTTTTGCTTTTACAGTTATTAAGAACAATCAGACAAAAACTTCAGTTTCTTCAATGGAAAATTCTACCTCTACATTAGGTGCATGGGTTATGAAGGGTTAAAACTTTCTACTTATTCCTTAACTCCCCCTTTCTGCTGACCACCTTACCCTCCTTTTTTTCATTTTACCAGATTGCTCTGGTTAGAGACAACTGATTAATAATCAGCATATGCGTTATGAGAGGACCAGATCAACTCCCAGTAAGTCCTGATCACTCCTCAATTAGTACCCTGAAGCCTAGGCTAGGAAGGAAAATGACTGCCAGGCTGAAGAGGATAAAGGCTGTCCAAGGCCCTAAAGAAATGTCACATGAATTGAAATAATAAAACAAATATGGTGCCATGGAAGCATCATGTGGAAGATAAAAGAAACACACAAGAGGATAACCCCAAAGTGCATTAGGGACCTGCCCCTACATGGTAACAGACTAGAAAGAGCAATCACAGCTCACCGATCTACACAGCAAGGCCCACTGAGTCACAAAATCTTACACTGATTATCAGGCTCCCAAACAATACAAGTCCCAAGGACAAAGCACGAACTATCATGAATCAACTTATCAAATCACTGAGACAGCCAATAGTCATTACTAAATAGGGTTTGAATAAAACTGGAAAGAGATCACGTGCAGATATATTTCATCATAACTCACAAAGGAACTAGTAAGTGAGGTCTAAAACCAGATAAAGAGATTCACTGTAAAGTCACAAAGGAACAAAGGAATGAGGTCTATTGATCAAAAATCCCTTTGCTCAGGATGCAAATAAAAACCAAACCAAAGAGAAAGTGTAGGGTGAAGGGTACTTCTTTCGTAACAGAATCTGCTATCCGAAACACAAAATAAATATGAAGAACTTCTTGTGGATTCCTGACAACAGATTTCAGCACAACTAATGAGGTGAGTCATATGCTAAGAACAGTCTCTCTATGACTCCAGCCAAAGAATACACACTTCCTCTCATACACTCAATTCATAGCAACGTGAGAAAGTTCAGACCTGACTAGGTTCCACATCCCTCCCCCAAAATATATAAATGGAGAGTTTTAAAATGAGTGAGTAGGTTTTACAGTTCTCTCTACTGCACATTATCATGTACTGGACATGTACTTTCAGTGTAATCTAGAATTGGACAGCTCTGGCAGGGATGGGAAACATTTTGCCTGGTGCTTTGCCGTCCAAACCCAGCCACTCTGATTACTGTGAGCCCATCTGATCTGACACTCGGGTTTCTTCTTCTAGCCTGTTGGCTGGCAGAGAGCCCTCGGCAGCTAGAAGAAGTCAGCACAGCACAAATGTTCAGGCTCCCTCTCATCACAGAAGGCCGAAAAGCCCATTTTATTTTGCAAGACTTCAAAAACGTAAAAATGATCATCAACCGCGAACAAAGTCCTTCACCTGAGAAGTGAAAGTAGACAGAAAGATGCTATTAAACAGGAGATTTGCTTGTTGAGCGAAGATAACAGTTGCAATAATGTCAATTGACACCTCTACTTGACTTTCCTATGAAGGGCAATTAACAGTATTTCCCATTATTTTCAAACCTTAATATGTTCTCATGGTGAAAGAAAAACTGCTCTCTAATTTTGCAAGGGCTAATGACTTACTGACGAACAACAAACCCAGTCTGTAAAGATTTGATCTTCTCTTGGCTCTAATTACTGTACCTATGTAAGCCCAATAACAATAGCCACAACTCAGGCTGGCACAGCACTCCTTCCATAAACAGAACATAGATTACTTCACTTGATCCCCAGGATGAGCATTCTATCCAAAAGCCAGATGAGAAACTGAAGCTTCAGGGCTTTTATTTTATTTTACTTTTAAACCTGTTTGTTTTTAAGTGAAGAAACCAATTTTACTTTACCATACAAAATCCTTCAAAGCTATTTTAGTTAAAGCCTTTCTTATTCTTAAGTTTAGATATATTTAAAAGAACATAGCCTGATTTGAATGGAAAGTCACTTATCTGTTCATTTGTTGCTAAAATAATCCGAAAACAATGACTGAGGGTACTGGCATGGAGCATGGATGAGTGCCAAGCCTATTGTGCTATAAGATGTTGAGTTCACTTTTATTTTTGAATGCAATTTAGGAATAACATTCCCAGGAATCTGTATATTTTAAGTGTTAGCCCTCATCTGGGCAAACATCTAACTGAATTTTTAAAGGCATCTTTTTTTTTGTTTTTTTGTTTTGGTTTGTTTTTTGGGCTCTCAGGTTTACCACTCTCTCCCCATCTTCCCAGGTTTAGGAGGCAGGCCTCTCCCTTTCCTACCCTCCCACCCGAAGGTGAGTCACTAGAGTGTTACAAGCTTACTGGCAGGGAACACTACAAATTAACAAACAGTAAGTTACCAAAAGGGGATACACCCTTATAAAAGGGTACAGAAAGAACCTAAGAAGCAGGGAACTGTTACACGCTGAACAACTGACAGGCAAAGGGTGAGGCACAAGTGCTCTCTCCACCCCCCAGCTCTAGGCACTAGTTCTTCCTGTAACTTGCTCCACTAGCTCCCGGCCAGGCCCGGGCAACTTTCCACTCTGAGGCATCTGCCTTACAATGCTTTAAGTCTAAAGTACTAGCTTTATAGCAGCCAGAGGAGCTTTAGTCACACTTTCAAGCTGAGCTCCAAAAGGGCAGCTGATAACATTACCATACAACCAGGATTTCTGCTGACATGTGCATCCCCCCTGCCACCTTCACTGGAACCTTTTTTCCCTGCCCTTCCTTAAATCACTACTCATAAGCTATGATTTATTTTTTCGGTAAATAATATTCAAACTAAATCCGGAATGCAGTGAAAGACCTGGTGAGACCCCCCCTCCTCATCTTTTACACACTTGAGAAGACAAACTTTCCCACATTTCTAAACAGTTATGGCGTGTACCTTTGGTGAGTGAAACAGTTGCCGGTGGTAGGCCTAGCTGACGGTTTAAGCCAAGTCACTGGCAATAAAACCCAGAAAGAAAAAAAGGGACAAAATCCTATTTCATCCAGGAATGATTCAGCAAGAGCTGTTCTTTCATTTTCTTACCAAATGCTTAGGAACTAGACTTTTAAGGACATATAAAATCACCTGAAATATCATCAAAAGCTAGGCCACAAAGGGTACTGAGGAGAGGAGGGGAAGAAATTTACAATGACCTTAAAAATTAGCTGCCGGCACAGGCTTCCTTGTTAGCCAATTATCAGCAGGGCTTTAGTCACTCTCCACCCACATTTTAATCCCCATGTGGAAAAATCCCAACATGAAATATTCTTCTGAACATTTGGACGCTCACAATAAGTCACAGGACAAACACACACACAAACACACACACAAGTAAACTAATGTTTAATGTATCAGAATACTCAAAATGCTAACTACCACCCAGCAGCCAAGCAGCTCATCATCCCAGTGTTCGCAGCTGTAATTTAATCTTGTGTTTGCTAGCCACTATACATTTTGTTGTAAGACATCTGGGTTTAAGCTCTACTAACTATTCAGGTGGGTTACCACCGCATCACTACTGTGCATGTGTGCCTGTGTGTGGTTATAAAGGAGACATCTAGATAAATGGACATAACTTAGTTACCCAAACCATCTCCATGGCCTATTAATTCAACATCACAAATACCCCGTTTCATCCGAAGTTCTGAGTTCTGTATAAAGAACTCAATGTTAAAGAGTAAATGCATGTTCAGGCTTGAGGCCACAGGCTGTTCAAGAATCAGGGACGCCTAGTCTGTCACTAGCCAACCGTTTGACCTTGAGCAAGTCACTTCACCTTCCTAGGCTTGGGGCACACATCTGTGATGTCTAAACCCCCCAAAATTAGCTCAGGAAGTAAACTTTTTTCTTTTTCTTTTAAGGCAGGAGAGACAAAGAATGAGCTTTAAAGTGCATGTTTACAGAAATGATCAAGGGTTTGACGGTGTGGTAAAAGCACAGGCCACTAACCCAGACTCCATCAGGGGAATGGAGAGGCCCTGTACTCCGCTCTTTGATGCCACCTGACCTGGACCAGCCCTCCACGCTGCATGCTTTTAAAAGCGAGGCGAGTTGTGCATTTCCACTTGTGCCTGTTCTCCCCACCAGGTCCAAGCCTTTCAATTACCTCCTTTAAAACTCCCTTAGAGTCCCCAAGGAGTGCAGCCTCCCTCTGCTCCCGACACTCTGTCTACACCCAGAAGCCTCAGGGCCTTCAAAGACCTACTCAGTGTCTGCACTGTGCTAAACCCTGGAGACAACGAAGTGGATTCTCTCCCATTTGTATTCTCATGACATGGTCACTTTCACCCCATGAACTCCGAGGTTATTCTGTGTAAATTTTTCTCAACTAGACTTTGGCTCATTTGGGGTCCAGGGCCCAGTCTCCTGCACGGGTAATAGCTAGGGGTAATCAAGTCTTCGCTACAGAAATGTAGGACAGCGGCGTTGTGACGATATTCCCACCACGCTCCGCGCCGCTCTCCAGCCCCAAGACCCCTCGTTTCCTTCAGGGACCGCCCTTTGGTGCTTCCGCGACGCTGGAAACCGGCAGAGATTCCTACCACCGTATTGCCTGCAGCCTCCAGTCCTTTTTCGGGTTTCTTGTACCCTGAGGCCCTGGTGGGTCTGCCTATCCTCCTTCAGGGCTCGTCCCTTCAAAAAAAATCTGCACGCCTCTCCCCACCATCGGATGACAACTCCAGTTGCCATCGGTGCATCCTGTGTTTACGGAAAGTGGCCCAAGAAAGCCCTCAAAAGTATACCTTAAAGGCCATCTTAGGGCAGTGAAGACACACCCTTTCTGGCACCAGCCCGCCCAGCCGGCTTCGCACTTAGAAGCAGCCAGTTTTTTCTTTGGGGGAGGGCGGCCGCCTCTGCGCGGAGCAAGCTAAGCCCCAGCGTCCCCAGGAGAAGGAGCCCCGAACCCGGAGGCTGCCCCCGCCGGAACCGGGGCCGCGGCGGGAACGGAGGCCCGGGAGGAGGCCCCGGCGGAGCGCCCCAGGGGAAGGGGAGGAGCGCGCCTTTCCTCAGGGCACGGAGGGCGGAGGGAAAAGGAAGGAGAAGGAGGTGACGGCGGTCGCAGGGAGGGGAGCCAGGCTCAGGGATGCCGGCTCAGTCCCGGGGCCGCCCCCGCTGCTGCAAGCCCCCTCCTCCCGGCCCCGAGGCTTCCCAAGCACCGCCTCTCGGAGCCCCCGGCCCGCTCGGCCTCCGGGGCGCGCAGCCCCCGCCCAGGGTCCGCCCACCCCCCTAAGCAATGCCGCGCTCCAGCCCCTCGGCGCTCCCTTCCCCCGCCCCCCGTTACTGCGCTCCCTCCATTTCCAAACTGCGTCGTCTTTTAAGCCGCGCGGCTCTGCCAGCCCACTCCACGCGGCGCCGCTTCCTCCTCCGCCGCCTCCCGCTGGCCGCGGTCGCCCTCCCGACTTCCTCCTCTTCCCCTCGAGGGCTCCCCGAGCCCCCTCCCCGGGCGCGCCGGACACTCACCCCCTTCCCCATGGTGGCGGTGCTCAGTGCCCGGCGCCGGGTCCTGTCGCTGGAGAATCAGAGAGAAAAGCACAGAGCAGCTCCCGGCCGAGCGAGCGGGACCAGGGGAGCCAAGTGGAGGGAGCTAGGGCTGCCGCGGGGCGGGAGGGTGGGAGGGCGGCCGGCGGCTCGGGCCGATGCCGCCGCCGCTGTTGCTGCCGCCGCCCGGGCTGCTACCGCTGTTGCCACGTGTCCGCCTCCTCCCGCCGCTGCTCTGCGCCCCAGACCCCGCCGCAGCTCCAGCCCGCGCCTCCTCCTCACTTCCTAAAATATGCAACCTGCGTGCTGGCCCCGCCCACGCCGCGAAACGTCACCGTTACCGGAGCAACCTGACACCGGCCGTGGGCCTGGCTCCGCCCCCTCCCGAAACCCCGCCCACGGGCCCGGACAGCGCCTGCTGCGGCCAGTCCTGGCTCCCGGCAGGAGGGCGCCCAGGTCTGGGACAAGCGTGTCCACCGTGTCCCGGGAGGGCTGCGGGGCGCTCCTGCTGGCTGAACAGCGGGGACTCGGCGGCCTTGGCCCTCCCACGCCCCTCCTCCCGCTGCCCTGCATGACCCGCCTACTATGTAGGGCCCAGGAGGTCCGCAGTGGGTGCGGTACGGTCTCGGAACTGGGCTCCCCCAGTCGCCGCCGACCCGGCACCAGAAGTCGTGGGCGGAACGGCTTTTCCAGCGCTTCGGCGATCTCCTCTGGGACTCAGGGATGCTGGAGGGGGCTGGCGCTCGGGTGTGATTGCAGCCAGCGCCTGACTGAGGGACTCCGCCCCTCTGTGGAATCCAGGCCCCGCGCCCACCTGCGGATGGCCTCCCCGGGCGCTTGGTGCTCTCAGAGTGCCTCCTGTGACTTGGGGTCCTCTTTATCCACTTCCCGCTCCGTCATAGCTGGAATCGATCTGAACTGGCATCGCCAGAAGTTTCAAGCGCCCTCCTCCCACCACCTCTCTTTCTTCGAGATTCCAAAATGAGAATCTGAAGGGCGACCAGCGAATTCATTCACGCTATTGTGTGAATGTAACCTGCTTGTCCAGTTTGGGGATTCTCTTTTTAGGGAAGAAAAACCTGAAACCCAAAGGAATGCGTATCCTTAGCTAGAGGAGCTAAATCAAGGGGGAGGCGTTTGAGGACTTGCCAGGTGCCTCTCCACGCCTCCACCTGTCACGGCAGCATCTCCAGCACAGCCTTGGGTTCTCTGGGGGGGCCCAGGAAACCACCACTCTCCCCGGAGATCCCTGGTTCCACTGCACTTTGGGGCTTCTCTGTCATTATAGCTTTTGCTTCTTAGCAAGAGGCTGCAATGGCTGAAGTTCTCCAACATTTTAAAAAACAAAGTATTATTAACAAGGTTTGCAGGAAGTCAAGTACTCTGGGAAAGGCCAGGATATTGACTTTCTAAGCAAAGGTTCCTAAGTTAAAGCCAACTCTATCAACTTCAAGTATTCATGTAGCATGAACAAACAAGGATATGAAACTGGAAAAAATGGAGAAGGAAGGAAAGAAAGGAAAAACTAGAAACTGTGTTGTCAGTTACATCATTAGGGTAATTCTCATCCCTTCTTACAAGATAGTTTCTTACACGAGTCTCTTCTCCTCAAGAATGTATTGTTAAAGGTTGATGTCTCCTACAGTGATCTAGAGACTTGGTTCAATCATTCTAGGCCATAGAGAGCAGAGGAATTGTAAATAGAATTCAAAACCCTGACTGCCTGGAGAAGAGCCCCCAAATTCAGAACAGAATTCCTTAGACTGTTAACAGAGGGTTACAGAGTGTTCGGGGATCCATCTCTAAGCTTCTAGAAAATGCTTTCTTTACATGCTTGATAGCCTCAGTTACTGTACTTTGTAAGATGCTTTTGCTTGCTAAAGATAGCTTGTTTAAGATTAATTACTCCTGGGCCAGGCACTGTGGCTCACGCCTGTAATCCCAGCACTTTGGGAGGCCGAAGCGGGCGGATCATGAGGTCAGGAGATCAAGACCATCCTGGCCAACCTGGTGAAACCCCGTCTCCACTAAAAATACAAAAAAAAACTAGCTGGGCGTAGTGGCACATGCCTGTAATCCCAGCTACTCGGGAGACTGAGGCGGGAGATTCGCTTGAACCACAGAATCGGAGGTTGCAGTGAGCTGAGATGGCGCCACTGCACTCCAGCCTGGTGACAGAGTGAGGATCCATCTCAAAAAAATAAATAAATAAAAATAAAAACAAAGATTAATTACTCCTTGGGCCCTGGTCTGAATGGGAAAAGTGCCGCGGCAACAACTAAATATATAAAGCACGGGTCGGAACAACGTAGATTTCTCCTGCCAGCTGATCTCCTTTTTCTCCCCTCATAAGTAAAATTCTCATTCATTCACTCAACAAAATAACCCTGATAGATCAAGGCACTTCCCTTTGTATCTAGAGCTATTTATTTGGCAACTGAAAATTGCTGAAGGTCCTTTCAGGAGGATCCCAGAGTTCTAGCTGTGTTCCGGTGTGAAGAAAGGGCAAAAAATATAAGAAACATTATCTTAAATCTGTATTTTGCTTTTGATGCCACACAGTAATTTCAGATGCACAGTGCCCTTGAATTCTCACAAGTCTTTGAGGTAAAGAAAAAGGTAAGGCATGACCAAGTCTGAGGCGCAGAAGGAAATCTCAGATATGAGAGAGACACCTTGGAAAATGGGTAAGCAAAGGAGGAAAAGTCCTTTTTTTTTTTTTTTTTTAAGAAAAAGCCTTCTTTTCTTCCCTTGGAAGAGTGGCTTCTGAATGAAATGAAACCTTATAGATGAAACATCAAGCTCCCTCATTTTATGATGAAGAAACTGAGGCCCAGGGAGTAATTGGTATTGAATATTCCAAGAATAGTGGCAAGACTTTCAGGTAGCTTTTCTAACTCCAGTGCAGGGGACAAATTTGGATTCTAGAAGAGAGGGTGAAGAAAGCAAAGGCTCTCTATTCTGTCTGCTGCTTATCCTATCAACTCTTTTCAAGCTTCTAACTTGGGGCACAGTTAAACTGATTGGCCTGGAGACTCAGCATTTATAGACCTTAAGGCTGCCAAGTATGGATAGCTTCGAGGAGAATTTGATCACAACTGTGGATGGTTGCTCCAGTCATTGTGAATAGAGTCAGCAGATGTATGAAAAATATGATGCAAGTCAGTTTTTTGAGCCAAGAACGCTAGCACTTTGAGTATTTGCTGAATTGAATAAACACATCATTGCAATTAAAGGCTTTAAAATATGAGTTGGAGCCCACACCAACTTAGCATTTTCCATAGGACACAAAAATTTTGGGGATCTATGAGCTAGAGATCTGGAAGGACAGAATTTTCTTTGGCTTTGTGTGCTCCCGAGTTAGCATGGAAACAGTCATAAGCATGCATCTTTATCCTTTACCTATTTCCCACATTATCCAGAATTTTCCACGTTACCCAGAAAGCCACTCTTGCTGCTTTAAAGTCAACTGTCTTCATCATTCAAAGTTCCCCCTAGCCATTATCTGTGCCTCCATTGCAAATCTCTGTGCCTCCATTGCAAATCTATTTCCTTTTCTTCTGTTCAGCAGCAGACATATCACCTGTCTTTAAAAGCACAGTTCTGGGTGCATTGCTGACTATCAAAATCTGTCAGCAAATAATTCTGACTCCTATAACTTTTCCTCCCAGACTCTCCATTCTTACCTTTTTTTTGGTTTGTTTTTTTTGAGATGGAGTCTTACTCTTTTGTCCAGGCTGAAGTGCGGTGGTGTAATCTCGGCTCGCTACAACCTCTGCCTCTCGGGTTCAAGGAATTCTTGTACCTCAGCCTCCTGAGTAGCTTGGATTACAGGCACGCACCACCGTGCCAGGCTAATTTTTGTATTTTTAGTAGAGACAGGGTTTCACTATGTTGGCCAGGCTGTTCTCGAATTCCTGACATCAAGTGATCTGCCTGCCTCAGCCTCCCAAAGTGCTGGGATTACAGGTGTGAGCCACCACGCCGAGCCATTTCTTTCTTTCTTTTTTTTTTTCTTTGTTTTGAGACGGAGTCTCGCTCTATCGCCCCAGAATGGAGCGCAGCCGAGCCATTTCTTTCTTTCTTTTTTTTTTTCTTTGTTTTGAGACGGAGTCTCGCTCTATCGCCCCAGAATGGAGTGCAGTGGCGCGATCTCGGCTCACTGCAAACTCCGCCTCCTGGTTCAAGCGATTCTCCTGCCTCAGCTTCCTTAGTAGCTGGGACTACAGGCGCCTGCCACCACACCTGGCTAATTTTTTGTATTTTTAGTAGAGACTGGGTTTCACCGTGTTAGCCAGGATGGTCTCGATCTGCTGACCTCGTGACCTGCCCGCCTCTGCCTCCCAAAGTGCTGGGATTGCAGGTGTGAGCCACCGCGCCCGGCCCCCGAGCCATTTCTTAATCCTTTTGAAAGCTCCTTAGTATTCTTTTAAACATATTTTCTCCTGTTAGTGGTGGTTGAAGACTTCAGGTTGTGCCTCTGGGAAACTGGGAAATTTGAAAGAGTCTGCATTTACTTGGTAACTATTGTAGGTTATCACCAACCACAACAGAATCAAGTCCTTGGTGTTTTACTCAGCATCCTTTTAACCCAGCTGCCCTTTAAATAATTTGCTGTTATTAATAGCGGTCTTCGTAAATAAAGCAGTAATAAAGGATTCTTTAGTTGTTTCCTGTGTGTTTTATACCAGATCCTGAGCCAGGATTCTGCCTTCTCCTTTAGCACTCTCTGCCAATACAGTTCTACTCCCCTTACCCTAGTTCACAACACTATGTGATGTTACAATATCCTACATTTAAAAACTCACCAATTGTTTTCTGCAAATCAACAACTACCGAGGCATTGCAACAAAAAAAAAAAAAAAAAAAAAAGAAAATCAAATGGTAACAAAGAAGGGATCTGGACTGAAAAATATTCCACTGCCAGAGTCCCATCTTCATCCAACCAGCAGAGACACAGCTTCAGGCAGCCTTACAGCTCAGAAAGGGCAAGCCCAAAGCTGGGAAGAGGTGGCGGGAGGTAACTGGCATCTAACCCTTCCTGCTCTCCAGGGGGCACAACCACAAGCACTAAGGAAATAAGTGCCATCATCGTGGTGGATAGATTTGCTATTCTTGGCCTTAAACTCTTCCATGGAAAAACAATTGAGAGAGTTCTTTGGAAGTTGGTCCTACTGGGAATAATACTCTTCCATAGATGCCTTTGCATTAAAGCTGGGTTTCAGAGACTGTGCAGATTTTTGTTTCAGTAAAAAGCTACCTTAAGAGGAGAGAATACAAAACCATCAAAAAGTGGTTTGGTTCATTTATAAGAATGGAAGTTTTTGCAACAGCAGAAGTAACCAAAAAGTAGGTCAGGTGCAAAAATAGTAACCAGCTCAATTCATTTTTAACAGCTTATGTTTTACTCTGGAGGCTTCCATTTTGGCGATGGTGACCTCTACATGTGGACTCTTACAAATAAGCCCCTAAGAAGGGTTCCCCCTTTTTTCCCCCTCTTATAAAGAGCATACTCCAATCCTTAACTCTGGTAGTGTATAGTATTTAACAGAAGTAAGAACTAGTTCATGCAAAAAATCAGAATAAACATTATTGAATATCTACTCTGAGCCTAGCACAGTGCTTGTTGCTGTTGTATAAAGATAACTAAGACACATTCTCTACCCTCAAATAGCTCACCATCTGGCATAAAAAAAAGACATGCAAAGAGATATTAGTAACACAGTGAGAGGTGCTGCATATATGCAGGCCTTCATGGGGGCATGAAGGAGGAAGTGGCCAGCTCTGTCTGCAGAGTGGGAAAGGCTTCCCTGGCTGGGATTGTGAAAGATGGTTAGGAGTTCACGGAATGGCAGCATGTTAGGCAGGACCAGGAGGATGCAAGCAAAAGTAGCACATGGGTAAGGTCTTCAGGACAGAAACAAACTGAGTGTTGGAGGACTGGCCAGAAGATTAAAATGGCGAGAGCCTAGGTTGTGAGAGGAATGGCGGCAGGAAGTAAGCTTGGAGAGGTGAGCAGAGTCCAGATTGTGGAGGACTTGGATGCCATCAAAGGGCTTGGACTTTATCCTATGGGCCATAGGGAGACACTGTGGGGTTCTAAGCAGGGGCAGGGCATGATCAGATTTGTGCTTTGGAAAGATTTCTCCAGTAGATATGCCTTCATAGCCAGCACATTTATGAAAGCTTCTCTGATCACATTATTGAATTCAGAATCTCAAGATACCTATATCTCCTTGTATATTTTTGTCATAGTATGCTAATTTTATTTTCTTCCTTTTCTTGTGCACACACAGGCAGCATGCCTTAACTCCCATTACCATCCCTATTATCTACTACTTCTCTTGAACAGAAGCTTTTGAATTGCTGGATATGATGAAAAACTGGAATTAGGACATAATTTTAACAATTGGTCAACATACAACTCCCTAGCCCTCAGAAGATAGTTCAATTTGCGGGGATGGCTCAGGCATTTTATCTGATTTCCTAGTGTTTTTTGCTAAGGTGAATTCCAAATAGGCCAAGGACTTTGTTGGTTTCCAGTTCTCTCAGAGTCCAGTGCTTGATGCAACTCCACTGACTAAAGAAATGTTAAGCTGCCTGGTAAGCAATCTCACATTTGAAGACCGAAATTATAGAAGATAAAGAAAAGAAGGAAGAAACCAAGTTAATGAAAAATTTAGCTTCAATTGTCCAAATACTGAGGTGAGAGGGTCACTTGAGACCAATGATTCAAGACCAGCCTGAGTGATATAGTGGGACCTACCTCAAAAAAAAAAAAAAAAAAAAAAAAAAAAAAGTTGTCCAAATAGCTCAAGTTAAAGATGTCCCTGCCTAACACATCTCAGCTTTTTGCTTTTTTGACAAGTCCCTGTTAACATTTGACGTCTGGTCATGGACACAGTGTTAAGAGTTAACAGTGGAGACAGAGATGGTGGTGGTGGTAATGAAAGTGATGGTAGGAGGTAATGGGATGGTGGTGATGGAGGTGGTGGACCCAAAATAGCTGATCACATGACAGGATTCTAACCAAATACCTTCTTCAAACAATGTATGTAAGCATGAAGCTTTTTATCTAGAAAAACTATCTAACTTAGTAACTCTACCAGTGGGCTGCTATGAGAAACAATTGACATGATATACTTAAAGCACTAGAACATTGCCTGCCATGTAGTAACTGTTCAAAGAGGGTAAGCAATTATCTCGTCTTGATTCCAAATTCCTACTTAGCCTGGGAGATATAAGGTCCAAGGAAGAATGAAGGCAGCTACAAAATTTGTCTACAGGAGGAGAGAATGAGAACAGAATTTACTTTATGCTGGCTCACCTTTTCCCACGTCAATCTCCTTTATCCAACAAAGAACCAGTCTACTGAGACACAGCCAGCCAAGTGCACCCAGTTGGGTGGTAGAGGTCAGTCAGCACTCCACCTGTCTGAACTGGTCTGGTTATTACCAAACTTCAGGCGAGGACCAGGAAAATAAGTCCACTAAAACGTCAGAGCCGTAGCCCAGCTGATTGATTTTCACCTTCAGAATAAGAAGCCTGAATATCCAGGATCTAGACTGCACGGGCTTCCTCAGGAGAAAGAAAGCATTGTCTCTAAATGCAATTTAAAACCTTTAAAACCTTTTCTTCTTTTTCCTTTTTACTTAAAAAAAAAAAAAAGATACCATCTGCTAATGCAATCACTAATTAGTGAGAGAGAGTTATTCTAGCTTCCTAAGAACAAACCCAAGAGGAGGCTGAGTTTCAGGACCGTCACTCCTGCTCCAGGAATAAGCAGCCGAGTCAGGCAGATACAGTGCTGCAGGCTGGAGCTGCAGGGAGCTGGCAGAGGCCAGGGACCCAGTTCCCTCCCCTGCCTCTAATCTCATAAACCAGAAGTGCTCAAGCTCAATGTATTCTTTTTCCCCTCTCATTTTTCATAATGGAAAAAAAAACGCTGTTAAAGTTTTGAATTAAGAAACAGTTGCCATCTGGGTAATTGAATTCTGCTTGAAGCAGGCCACCTGGTTCACATCAGCGGCTCTTGGCAGGTATGGAAGTGTCAGCTAAGGCCCTGCATTGACTTCTAAACACAGGCTCACATTCCATGAGCAGTGGAGAAACCTTAATTTCAAAATAGTGAAAGCGGTTTTATATCAGGTTACCTCAATGCATGGTAGATTTCTTAGGCTGGAGACATGTCAAATTATAGCAGTAATGATTGGTCATGTCCATTCCTAGCCACATGCTGCCTTAAAAAAACTGCAAAGCCAGTTCCCTTTGGCTTCCTGTTTGGACATTCATGTCACAGAAATATGTGTGACTTAAATCACCTTGCTCTCCTAGAGGACTCAGGAGGCTGAGAGTTTCCAGCTCCTCCAATAGTGGAGAGAGGAGTGGGCAGCCTGGGAGAGATGTCAAGGATCTACCTCAGGTTTGGATGCCAAATCCTACCCTTCTCTGCTGCTTTCTTCATTGCCAGTTTACTCCTGTTCCTCCAGGGGAGGCATAATCATGCAGCATGAACGGTTTGTGGAAGTGCCGTCCTGTTCCCCCACCTCAGACTCTCATTTATTAAGTCAAATATGCACCTCCCCAGCCAGAGCGGTCTGGGCCAATGATGCTGTCCATCTATGTGCACAGACAGAGCTGATGTCAAGAGAAAGGGTTGGCTAGGACAAGATATAGCATAAAACAGAACTGCTATGAACTTGGGTGGTCTTGAGCAAGTCCTCTGAGTCCATTTCCCATGTGTCTGAAATGTCTGCAACAGAATTGAGCGCAAGTGGGAGCTTTGCTCAGGCAACATTGGATTCGTGAATTGAGAGGGTAGATATGCATAGGATAGAGCTCTTGTTCACAAGTAGGTTGGGTTTTACAAACAGCACTGAGCTTATGGAATGAGAATTCTATGCCAGAAATTTCCCCTCCTCTTTTACAGGGTGGGATTGATGCTGAGTGGGTACATGTGCTTTCTCCAGGGTCACAGAGCTGCTGCTTAATGTCAAAGTGAGATCCCCAGCCCCTTCTCTTTCCACTGCACCATGCTGTTTCCTTAGCGTTAGGGGCCACTAGAAAAGAATCAATTCTGAGAGCAGAAATATTTTGCTTCTAAACAAAAAAAATGAGGCTTATCCAAAACATGTAATTTAAAAGACCAGCTCCTTTAAAACAGAATTTTCCATGATGCCCTGTGTACTTATGTGTCACACAAACACACACACACAGACAGACACACACAAACTGTTTTCAAGTTGAGAGAATCCACGGAAGCATCTTCCTTTTAACAAAATTGAGTCACGGTAAAATTATTGTTATTATTATTATTTTATTATTATTATTTTTTTTGAGACAGAGTCTTGCCCTATCACCCAGGCTGGAGTGCAATGGCCTGATCTCGGCTTGTGCCTCAGCCTCCCGAGTAGCTGGGATTACAGGCATGTGCCACCACACCTAGCTAATGTTTGTATTTTTAGTAGAGATGGGGTTTTGCCATGTTGGCCAGGCTGGTCTCAAACTCGTGGCCTCAAGTGATCTGCCCGCCTCGGCTTCCCAAAGTGCTGGGATTACAGGTGTGAGCCACCGTGCCCGGTCTTGTCAAGGTAAGGTTAAATTAAAATTTTTTTACAGGGTTCCCAGGCTCAGGATTAGCTCCCTCAGCTTCTTTCCTGGGAAGCCACTTCTCCTTCCAATGACAGTCCCCTGGACCCTGCATCACACCTGCACAGGGGCTCCTCAGGCTGCTGGGTGATGTTGCTCAGCTCCACTCCATGGCCATCTTGGCTCCCGTAGAAGCTAAGGAGAACAGGAGGATCCTACAGAAAAATTCTGATGAGGACAGGGAGGGCAGCTGCTTGGGGGCCTGGGCCTGGTGTGCAGGTGGAGCAGGCCTGAGCAGATACTGGGGATGGGGAGTGAGGCTAACGCAGCCTCACGTAGCCTGGACCAACTCCCAGCAGGCTCACTCAGCCTCATGATCTCCTTTCTTAATCCAATAAATGACCACTTGCCTAAATTTGAAAAGGTGCCATAATATTATTTTATCCACAATATCCTGTCCTCAGGCATTTAAGTTCATGAACTTCCTCCTCAAAACTAATTTCTGTCCAATAAGACTCTTCCAATATCGATCTTGAATCACTAACATTTTAAGCCTCTGAGACGTTATTGTCTCTTCATTCTCCTCCTTCTTGCCAAATGGACATTATCTCAACTCTCTTGGTTCCTTGGCCCACTCTTGCTTCTCTCACTGATGCCATGGCATCCATCTATCCACATCTCTGCCTTTATGTAGAATAGTCTCTTCTCCTGGCTTTAATCAGGTAAGACTCCATCTTCTCACATCTGAATCTTTGCTTAGAGTTCAAAAAAATCAGATTCCTCGTGCTTTGGAATAGAGCAGTGGTGGGGAAAGTACTGATTCTAGGTCCCCTTGCTGGATAGGGATGCAGGGAAGCTGGAGGGACCTGGAGTCCCAGTACCCTAGGGACAGGGGCTGTTGTCTTAGCAGCACAACTCCCCTCTTTCAACATAGGCATCAGAGATTCCTTGGGTAACTTCATTTTCCTTGTTCAGGCTACTCTTCTTACCATGTCTCACTGATAATAAAAGATTAGGCTTTTGTAGGAGACCCATATTGTGATTTTTTCTTGGGCACTCCCACAATCTCTACAAACATCAAGGAAACAGGTCTCTCCTAGGTACTTTTTTTGAGGGTATTGGAGCATCGGCCAAGTATAAAATATCCAACAATACTGCAGTACATTTCTGGAAACCACATGGAAAATCCTAAAACTGGTCTTACCCGTGGGATCTGTGTTATAATTGGATGTTGCATTCTTGACCAAAGACTTGGCATCAGATAAATCACAGATACTAAATATGTCATAGAGGCAAAGATTCACAAAGATTCACAGTTTAAATCAGTAGTTCTCAACCCTGGCTGAGCCTTAGGATCGTCAAAAAATATTTTTTCAAATACCAATGCCTGCACATCATTTGGGACCAGTTAAAGCCAAATCTCTATGGGTGGGGACAAATAACCAATTTTTTTGTTGTTGTTTATTAAGAGCCAGGACCAAAAGAAAGACATAGTTGTCATTTGGCACTTTAAAAAATTAAAAGAGCCACTTGAAAGTAAGTGAAAAGATTTACTGATTCTCCAGATGGAAATTCAGAGATCCCACATTTGATGAACGCGCCATCTCATATGGTGGTGAGACAGGGCATGTGGCACGTGCTGTCCACCAGCACATGAACTAGTGCCCCTGGGTGCAATGTTCGAAGGCTAATGACCAGTGAGTTAATACATATTTACAAAGATTTCATGATGAGCATAATGTCTCTGTACTGGGGACTGGTTTAGGAGTCTTTGGAAAAAAATAGGCATAGTCCCTGTTCTCAAGCATTGTTCAGGGAGACAAGAACACAGTGATTCTGAAGTTAGGCTTCCAGCAATTTAGCAACATAGAAACATTGCCCTTTGCTGACAGTAGCATTTGTATCTGAAATTATCTCAACCAGATAGATCCAATTGTTTAAAAGTTTTGAAAATCTGCAGCTATATTCCAGGATTCCTCCCTTCCCTTAGTAGAAGGTTGGAGAGAGCCGATCCACGGAAGGAAAGCCTTGGGCTCACTCACACACTGGGCCTCCTCTAGAGACACCCAGTGCAGAGAGGAAGGCAGTCCCGCAGGGCCAGCCACCCAGAGGCCCCAGGGAAAGACTGTCCCTGCACATTTCTCACCAGGTTTATGTAAGTAAAGAGGAGGATAAATCCTGCCAATCCAGGAGGTTGGTTTCTATTTCTGATTCCAGTTCTTTGCCATGAATTATATGATTAGAAGCAGGGCATTTCATGATGCCTCAGTATTTCCATTTAAAAAAGAAGAATAGTGTCTATTCTTTACCTATAGAAACAAATACCTTACAGATAAATTAAATTCTGTTCAAAGGTATCTGAGCATTATTATGAATTTTTTTTCTGATTTTTAGTCTGACATGTTTACTAAAGAGAACTCAGAAATTACAGAGAAATAGTTATATATGAAAACAAAACTCACTCATAATCACACTCATAATTCCATAATAATTTTAAACACAAGAAAACACAAAGACATTCTCTATGTGTGGTTTTATACCTGTTTATACAATGATTAAGATTATATAATGAACATTCCTGTGTATCTTAAAATAGTGCTTAAAACAGATTATTTCATGACTGTGTGACAGCCTGCTTTATGGCACTGCCATGATTTGTTTATTGATTGTGAGATACACAACATAAATATTTTTTAAATTTAAGGGAAGGTTAATAATCTAAGAAATTTTGATTAACTATTATTTATAATAATCCATTTGGAGATTTTAAAAGTATATGGACATCAGTTGGAAATAATCTCAGAAGCACAGAAAATGAGATTTAAAAAACAATCAAGAGCAATTTTATTTTTAAAGGTCAATTCACTTATAAGAGACTCAGAGAACATGCAATAATTGCCTGTAACTACATTTCCATTGACTTCTGAGTGGTAATTTTATCTTTAACACCCCCTGCTGGTTTGCCTTATGGTTTTAGTGTTATCACTTTCTTTTTTTTTTAATTGTAATTTCATTAGAAGTCTGACATTTTTCCCGTCCTATTCTCTTTGTTCTCTCCCTCAAAAAATAAAGTGAGAGGGGTATGAGCAAAGGAAAAACAGAACAATCGATTATTACTTTATAGAAATTCACCCCTCACAACTCCAGCCACCATATGTAAAGGAAATAGGCTAGAGAAGCACAAAAGAATGAGGAGATATACTCAGGCTTTCTTTTAAGAACTTTATAACTTGTTGCATTACTCATTTATTCAAGGCCATTGCCATAGACTCTATGTCTCATATTACTCCACAGTAATTATCTGAAAGATAAACCCAGGAATGTGTAGATTCACAGGTCAGGGCCAATGTATGGTCATCCTTTTTTTTTTTCCTAGGGTTACAGGCAGATCAATTCAAAGCACTGCTTGAGATGGCACTTACCTGAACAGTTGTTTGTTCCACAAAAGCACCTTATAGTAAGTTTCTATCCTCTCATTTTACTTCCTACCACAAAGATCCTCTAATGCCCATGTGTGATGTAAAAAAATCAAGAAACAGCTATTACCTCATTTCTGATAGATCTGGACTCCCTTTTTGCATTCAAATAGCATTTATTGAATGTCCATTCTGTGCTTAGCACTGATCGAGGCACATGAACAAGATAGGCCATGTCCCTGTTCCTCCAGAGTTTCCAGCCTAGTGGAAGAAATAAATAACAGCAAAGGAAACAAACAAACAAACAAATAAGCAAGATAATACAACATAGTTATCAGCTCAAAGAGAACCATGAAGCAGGTGGTGGTGGTATGATAGAGTAACTAGGGAGGAGGTGGGGCTGTGTGGGGAATATTTTTGTTAGTGTGGTCAGTGAGGGCTGCTATTGAAGAGGTGCCCAGTCATTTACCTTCAGTCTTTCAACAAGAGTGCTGCAAGCTTCATTCTTCAAATCCTCTTCCTGCCATGACTCTCATGGCTTAGTCTAATGCCTTTCCTCTATCCTTTCTGCTTTCGGATCCTGGGAAGTGTTTGCAAGGGCTCCACACCCCCAGCATTTCTCATGATAGCCTACTTCTCACAAATCTACATTCACTTTATAATCATCTTTAATCCCAGTATCTCCATTATGGAAACATGAGATGAGATTGGAAATAAAAGGGATTCCTATTTGTTTCAACTATATTTTAAAATGTGCTTATTTGCATATGAATACAGATAATTCTATTGTGCTATTTGGGATTCTGCTAAAATCATCTCTTTGCAGAGGAAAAGTATTGCAACACCCACAGTAGCTTTCACTCTCACACAAAAGACCAGATTTCCAGAGAAAATGTTTCTTGGGCTGCTTTAGGAAGTCCAGGGCCAGTGATGGTCTTCAGGGTGGTGGGAACTTTTCTTTTCAGCCGCAACTGATGAACGTACATGTTATCTGGAGACAAGATTATAAATTTTCTTTGATGTCTTTGACTGAAGTAACTTTGGTAATAATGTTTAACCACTGGAAAACAGTTTTTGAAGTTATAATGCTTTCCTGCCATTACTCTTCTTTGGCTGTAGCTGATTTAAGCATTTCTTGCCTTTAGATTCAAATAGCAGGGCATTGGTTCCACATGTCAAATTCTGTGCATGATAAATCTATTTTCTCTTTGAATTTTTGTGACAACCTCATTAATCATGTGTTAGGAATGAGGAAGCTGAGATTCAGAGGGATTATGGCCTGGCTCAGAGTCAGAGGTACAGAAAAGATTTCACTCAAGTCTTTTGATTTCAGTTCAGCTGTGTACCTCTCAGGCTATAGCTGTCTCCTGTCTATGTGTATATAGCACTGAACTAAGTCTTTAGGAAAGTAATATGAAATTTAGTATTCAGGTAATCATCTTAATGAAGATTCCAGTTTTATTGGGACCACTAGTTACCAATGGAACAAGATGTTGAATATGTGCATGAATATATAGATATTAAATATGATTACAAACAAGAGGGCATATCCCTCAGGTGTTGGCTCCCTCTTCTCATATGCAGCCCTGAAGACACCACAGGGTACAAATATCAAATATAGCATGAATTTATAAAATTATATATAAAGATATAATTTACTGAAGCAACAAGAGTGTCTGGTATTATAGTAATAAAGAATGTATGAATTTTTACTGAGAAAAACATTTTAGCTCTATTGCTCTATTAAAAGAAAAAAGAAAAGACCTAAATAAATGACTAGGGCAATTTATTGTTGCTATTATGTCATTTGTCTCCAGATTGTTTTATGTATTTCATGACAATTCCAATCAAAATCACAGTAGGAATTTCTGAAATTATGGTAAACTGATTTTAAATTTTATAAGAAAGCATAAAGGCTCTTGAGTAACTAAGCAATTTTGAAAAAGAACAAAAGAATAGAACCATTTTACTAGAAAATGAGATTTGAGAAAGACATAGTAACTGATGTTATAAAGTTTAGGTGCAGAATAAGCAAAGAGACGAAAGGGAAAAATGAAAAGTCCCCAAATCAAACTGTGCATCTGTGAAAAATAAGTAATGATGGGGACAGCTTGACAAGTGCATAGCAAAAGAAAAGGCCAATTTAGAAAATACTTCAGAGAAAAGTATTACTATAGGGAGAAAAATACAGTTGAATCCCTATATTGACCCATTTAAAAAAAAAGCTCAAAATGGAGTAATTTCAAAATGTGAAAGGAAACCTGTAAAGTGAATAGAAGAAAATGTAGGGGAATATCTGTTTGCCCTTGGGTGGTAGAAAAATTATTAAATAAAGCCTCATATGCTCAAGCTGTCAAGAAATAAATTGACGAATTGTACACTAATCAAAAATGAAAGACTTGTGTTCAATGAAGGGCATCGTGAACAAAGTTAACAGTGACAAGTGACTGGTGACATTCTAGAAGTCTTTGCAATGCCTAAAACTTTAAAGGTATCAATAGCTAGAATGTACCAGAGATTAATGCAGGTCAGCAATAATAAAGATAGAAAAAAGTGATAGAAAAAAAGACGATGCGGATAGGCAATTCACAGAAGGGGAATCCTGAGTGGTTTATAATCTCCTGAAGACATAGATACTCAACCTAACCATCAATCAGAGAACAGCACAACAGAGCACTATTGAGATGGTACTTCAAATCCATCAGATTGGCAAAATCTACACAATCAGACAACACCAAGGGCTATTGAGTATAAGTTGGAACAAAACCTTTGCCCTGCTGGTGTGGGAAGGTAAATTACTATAGCTCTTCCAGAAAGCAATATAGCAATTTTTATAGAAATCTTGTATGCATGATCCTATGACTCAGCAATCTCCTTTCTGAGTACATGCCTCAGAGAAACTGTCCATAGTGGAAACTGAGGTGGATGGATCACTTGAGGCCAGGAGACCAGCCTGGCCAACATGGCGAAACACTGTCACTACTAGAATAGAAACAACTAGCTGGACATGGTGGCACATGCCTGTAGTCCCAGCTACTTGGGAGGCTGAGGTGGGAGAATAGCTTAAACCTGGGAGGCAGAGGTGGCAGTGAGCCAAGATCACACCGCTGTGCTCCAGCCTGGGTGACAGAGCAAGACCCTGTCTCAAAAAAAGAAAAGAAAATTTCTCTCTATGGACAGTTTCCCTGATCCTCATATAAAACAGTAAGTACAGTAAATTTGCAAGGAGGTTCATGAAAGAGTTTTTCAGGATGAGGGTCCATCCTGAAGTACATAGATGATGTTTGGTGTGTGCATTTGACAGAAAAGGGTGCAGCAGGCAGAAGTATTAAATTAGATCGACATGTAACACACAGATATCTCTCAAAAACACGATGTTGAAGGAATTAAAGTTAGAAATCAAGTAAGATTTCTAGCACAATGTAATTTATGTAATTTAAAAGCAAAGACATATAAAGACTTTCTTATGGTATACATTTATCTAAACAAACATTTGCAATTTGGACTGGAAGGACACACATTAAATACAGTAGAGTGGGTGCTGGAGAAGGGAGAGAAGTGAGAACTGAGGCTGTAGGGTGAAAAGGAGAAAATAAAACAAAAAGGGGCCCTGCACAAAATAGGAAGGATATGACGTGGACCTAAGAGAATGAGTGATTCAGTACTGCATGGAAACTTCCCAGGAGGGGAAAGGTCAGAGTGGTTTGGGAATATCCAAAAGGCTTTTCAAAAAAGAGTTGGAATATGAATAGTTATGGGTAAAGTAATTAGTACATAAAGATGATGGTTAATAACGTCCAGAATGTCCAGAATAAATGTCTCACTGAGAGTGAAATTAGAAAGAATCAAAATGCAATAGAAAATCCTACATAGACATGTCTACATTTTTCAGTAACATTGTATATACTTTCTTTTCTCATCAATCTTGTTCTTTTAAAACAGAAATCTATTAAAAGTGGCTACTACTATGATGCAAAGCTGAGTGGCAGTGCTTACTTTTAAGAACTTTTCATGTGTGTATTAGAGATACATATGTTGATTATGAAAAATGAAAATATAGTCTTATAAGTCTTCTACTTTAGTTTTATTCTTGACGTGCTTATTTTTAACAACCTTCCTTCCTTCCTCCCTCCCTCCCTCCCTCTCTCTCTCTCTCTGTCTTTCCTTCCTTCCTTCCTTCCTTCCTTCCTTCCTTCCTTCCTTCCTTCCTTCCTTCCTTCCTTCCTTCCTTCCTTTCTTTCTTTCGAGACAGAGTCTCACGCTGTAGCCCAGGCTGGAGTGTAGCAATGATATTGGCTCACTACAACCTCCACCTCCCAGGCCCAGGTGATCCTCCCACCTCAGCCTCTCAGGAAGGTGGGATTATAGGCATGCTCCACCATACCCAGCTAATTTTTTGCGTATTTTGTAGAGATGGGGTTTTGCCATGTTGCCCAGGTTAGTCTCAAACTCCTGGGCTCAAGCTATCCACCTGCCTCACCTTCCCAAAGTGCTAAAATTATAGGCATGAGCCACTGTGCCTAGCCATGAACAAACTCATGCATTGTAATTGAGTCCTTGTGTTGCTTATGGAAAAGTATACATTCATTTTGATTCAGAAAACACACAAGGCTGAGTGTGGTGGCTCACACCTGTAATTCCAGCACTTTGGGAGGCAGAGGTTGGCAGATCACTTGAGCTCAGGTGTTCAAGACCAGCTTGGGCAACATAGCGAAACCCCGTCTCTACAAAAAATATAAAAATTAGCTGGACATGGTGGTGTGCATCTGTAGTCCCTGCTACTTGGGAGGCTGAAGCGGGAGGATTGCTTGGGCCCAGGAGGTCGTGGCTGAAGTGAGCTGTGTTTGTGCCACTGCACTTCAGCCTAGGTGACAGAGTAACACTCTGTCTCAAAAAATAAAACAAAACAAAATAAAATAAACAGAAAACTAAAAATATAATGGTTAAAAATCCACCTTCTTAGTTATTTTGACATCCAAAAGGAAGTTTCAAGGTAGGTAAAATGAGATGACAGAATTAAGATAAAATATTACTTGTACAGATGACAATATGGACCTAAAGTGACAAGATAAAATTCGACAGGGATAAATATTAGCTCCAGCATTTAAATTCAATAAAATCAATAGCCCAAATAGAGAATGAGAGAATTCTGGCTCTACAATTGTCAGTGAGAAAAGGATCCGGGGTGTTTAGTTGACTGCAGGCTTAAGTTGAGCCAATGGTATGTGTCTGCTAAAAAAATTAGCTCAGTATTTCGGCTGCATCAGTGGAAGTGCAGAGAGCAAATCACAGGCAACCACATTTAACTGTACTCTGTGCTGGTCGAGTGTCATCTGGATTATAAGTCCAATAGTAGACATCAAAATCTGTTCAAAAATAATCGTTTTGGTTATAAAAATAACACATGTTGAAAAAGATACACAAATGACCAATAAGCACATGAAAAGATGCTCAATATCATTGGTTATTAGGAAATGCAAATCAAAACCTTAATGAAATACCACTTCACACCCAGTAGAATAAACATAATAAGAAAGATGGGTAATAACAAGCGTCGCCAACAATGTGAAGCAATGGAAAGATACATACCTTGCTGGTGGAACTGTAAAATGGTGCAGCCACTTTGGAAAAACAATTTGGCAGGTTCTTGAAAAATTGAACATAGACTTACCATATGGCTCAGCAATCTTAGCCTCCTAGGTATCTAAGAAATGAAAACACGTTCACACAAAAACTTGCAGCATTATTTACAACACCCCCAAAATGGAAACAACTCAATGCCCATCAACTGACGAATGAATAAATAATGTATATATCCACACAACAGGATACTATTTGACAATAAAAAGGAACAGAGTGCTGATACATGTACTATAATATGGGTGAATTTCAAAAGCAATCTATTCAGTGTAATAAGCTAGACACAAAATGCCGCATGTTGCATTATTTCATTTATATCAAATGTCCAAAATAGGAAAGTATGTGGACACAGAAAGTAGACAAGTGTTTGCCTAGGGCTGGGGTAGGAAAGGGAAGTAATTGAAATGGGAGCAAAGTATCTTTTTAGGGTGATGGAAATGTCTGAAGTTAGATTGTAGTGATAGTTGCACAGCTGTCAATATACTAAAATTCATTGAACCATACACTTGAAATGAGTGAATTTTATGGTATATAAATTATATCTTAATAAAGACGTTAGAAAAAAATAGCACATGTTCATCATAAAAACTCAAGCAACATAAAAAGTTAAGCAAAGAAAACAAACAAAAAAAACAAAGGAAATATAAACAAACAAAATGCCCCAAATTCTATTACCCAGAAATAGCCATGATCAATATCAATATTTAAGGAATATCTATATATCTATGTGTCTCTCTCTATATATATATATCTTTTTAATTTTTTAAATTATTATTATTTTTTTTAAAGATCAAGTCTCACTCTGCTACCCAGGTTGGAGTGCAGTGGTGTGATCTCAGCTCACTGCAACCTCTGTCTCCCAGGTTCAAGCAATTCTCCTGCCTCAGCCTCCCGAGTAGCTGGGATTACAGGTGTCTGTCACCACGCCCAGCTAATTTTTGTATTTTTAGTAGAGATGGGGCTTCACCATGTTGGCCCAGGCTGATGTCAATCTCCTGACCTCTGGTGATCCACTCGCCTCAGGCTCCCAAAGTGCTGGGATTACAGGCATGAGCCACCACACCTGGACATTCTAGATATTTTTAAAATGCACATTGACAGGCACAAACAGAGAGGTAATGAGAGAGAAATGATTTTGCACAATGGTATCATACAATATGTGTTTTTTTCTATTAAATTATTAAAACAAACTTTTCTTGAATTTAATGGAATAGGTGTGTTTTTTTAGGAGATGACTAAGAAAGAAGGCTCCGAAACCAGACTCTTTGTGTTTGTATTCTGGCTCTGCCACTCATTAGCTGTAAGATCGTGGCAAGTTCTTTTACCACTCTATGCCTCAGTTTCCTCATCTACACATAATGCAGTTAATAACATCTATCTCACGGGTTTGTTATAATAATTAATGAAACAATTTATGTACAAAGGTTGGCACGGTGCTTGACACAGAGCAAGCATTCAGTAAGTATTTATTACTGTCATACAGTGATTACTATTGCATCATCTTTAAGGCGGGGAGAGTAGGAAGTCCAGGATGATGAAAATTTAAAATCATGTCATTCAAAGAAATAGTTAATGGTCACTGGAATGGTTCACCTGGAAAGAAGGATAAGGGGAAATATCATGACTTTTTATATTCGAAGGCCAGGCCGGGCATAGTGGCCTGTAATCCCAGCACTTTGGGAGGCCGAGGAGGGCGGATCACCTGAGGTCAGGAGTTTGAGACCAGCCTGACCAACATAGTGAAACCCTGTCTCTACTAAAAATACAAAATTAGCTGGGCATGGTGGTGCATGCCTATAATCCCAGCTACTCGGGAGGCTGAGGCAGGAAAATCTCTCGAACCAGAGAGGCAGAGGTAGCAGTGAGCCGAGATCATGCCATTGCACTCCAGCCTAGGCGACAAAAGTGAAACTCTGTGTCAAAAAAAAAAAAAAAAAAAACTACCATAGTAACCATTAAAACATTTTTTTTTCTTTAATTAATGAGACAGGGTCTTTCTTGGTTGCTCAGGCTGGAAAACAGTGGTAAGATCACAGCTCACTGCAGCCTGGATCTCCCAGGCTGAAGCAATCCTCCCACTTCAGACTCCCAAGTAGCTGACACTACAGGTGTGTACCACCACATCCAGCTGGGTTTTTCTTTTTGTAGAGACACAGTCTCACTGTGTTATCCAGGCTGGTAACGCTTTTTAAGTGAATGGTTAGGTGTTGTTAAGCACATTCACATTGTTGTGCAGCCGTCACCAACATCCATCTTGCAAAACTCTTCATCTTGCAAAACTGAAACTTCATATCTATTAAACAATAACTCCTCATTCTCTCTCTCCCACAGGCGCCTGGCAACATGATTCTACTTTCTGTTTCTACTATTTTGACTACTTTAAATATCACATTTAAATGAAATCATAAAGTATTTGTCTTTTTGTGACTGAGTTACTCAGCAAAATAACCTCAAGTTTCATTCATGCTGTAGCATGTGTCAGACTTGCCTTCCTTTTTAAAGTTGAAAAATATCTCATTGTATGTATATACCACATTTTACTTTTCTATCGATGGACACTTGGGTTGCTTCCACGTTTTAGCTATTGTGAGTAAATCAGCTGTTACATGGATGTACGAATGTCTCTTTCAGACCCTGCTTTCAGTTCTCTTGGATATATAGCCAGAAGTGAAATTAACGAATCATATAGTAATTCTATTTTTAATTTTCTGTGGAACTGCCATACTGTTTTCCACAGTGCTGTATCATCATTTTATATTCCTACCAATAGTGCACATAATTTCCAGTTTCTCCATATCTTTACCAACACTTGTTACTTTTTGTTTCTTTTAATAGTAGTCATCATAATGGATGTGAGGTGGTATCTCACTGTAGTTTTGATTTACTTTTTCCTGATAATTAGTGATTTGAGCATCTTTTCATATGATTATTATCCATTTGTATATGAAATGCTTATATAAGTCCTTTGCCTAATTTTGGTTGAGTTTTTTACTATATTTGTCATATTTTTGTTGTTATTGAGTTTTAGGAGTTTTCTGAATATTAAACCCTTATCAGATACACAATTTGCAAATATTTTCTCCCATTCTGTGGCTTTCCTTTTCACCCTGTTGATATTCTCTTTTGAGTATAAATTTTAAAAAATTTTATGAAGTTCTATTTGTCTATTTTTTCTTCTGTTATTTGTGCCTTTGGTGTCATATTCAAGAATTCATTGCCAAATCCAATGTTGTGAAGTTTTGCCATTTGTGTTTTCTAAGAGTTTTATAGTTTTAGGTCTTAAATTTAGGTCTTTGATCCACTTTGAATTAACTTTTTGATATGATGTCAAGTAATGGTCCAGTTTCTTTTCTTTTCTTTTCTTTTTTGTATTTGGATATCCAGTTTCCCTGGCAGCATTTGTTGAAAAGACTGTACTTTCCCCATTGAATGGTCTTGGCATTGTCAAAAGTAATTTAACCATTTATTCAAGAGTTTATTTCTGGGCTCTTTATTTTTTTTCATTGGTCTATATGTCTGTCTTGTGTCAATATCACGTTGCTTTGATTACTGTAGCTTTGTAGTAGTTTTGAAATCAGAAAGTATGATTCCTCCAGCTCTGTTCTTTTTCCTTAAGATTGTTTCAGCTATTCATGGTCCCTTGAGATGCCATATGAGTTTTTACATGGGGTTTTCCTATTTCTGCAAAAAACATCATTGATATTTTGACAGGGATTGCATTCAATCTGTACATTGCTTTGGGTGATATTGATACCTTAACAATTTTCAATTGCATTGAATCTGTACATTGCTTTGGGTAGTATTGACACCTTAATAATTTTCAATAGCATTGAATTTGTACATTGCTTTGGGTGGTATTGACATCTTTTAATCCATGAACATGAGATGTGTTTCCATTTTTTTATGTCTCCTTTAACTTCTTAATGTTTTGTAGTTTTTATTGTATTAGGCTTTTGTCTTTTTGGTTAAGTTAGTTATTAAGTATTTTATTCTTTTTGATGTTATTATAAATGAAATTATTTTTATAATTTCTTTCTCAGATTATCCATTGTTAGTGTATAAAAATGCAACTAATTTTTATGTGTTGAATTTGTATTTTGCTACTTTGCAAAACACAAATGAATTCATTTATTAGCTCTAACAGTTTGTTTGAATTTTAAGGGTTTTCTACATATAAGGTCATATCATCTGCAAACAGAGATAATTTGACTTCTTCCTTTCCAACTTGGATGTGTATTTCTTTTTCTTGCCTAACTTCTCTGGTTACAACATCCAGTATTATACCCAAAAGTGAGCATCCTTGTCTTGTCTCTGATCTTAGAGGAAAAGCTTTCAGTCTTTCACCATTAAGTGTGATGTTTGTTGCAGGTTTCTCATGTATGGTTTTAACTATGTGGACATAATTTCCTTCTATGCTTAGTTTGTTCAGTGTTTTTATCATGAAAGAATGTTGAATTTTGTCAAATGCATTTTCTGCCTCAATTGAGATAATGATGTGGTTTTTTTTTCACTTCATTATGTTAATGTGGTGTATTGCATTGATTGATTGTTTATGCTGAATCATCCTTGCATTCCAGGAATAAATCCTACTTGGCAATGATCTATTATATGCTTTTAATATGTCTGTTAAATTTAATTTGCTAGTATTTTGTTGAAAATTTTTGCATCAGTGTTCATAAGGAATATTGGTTCATCGTTTTCTTTTCTTGTGGCATCTTTGTCTGGCTTTTGTATTAGCGTAATGCTGGCCTCATAAAATGGGCTAGGAAATGTTCCCTGCTCTTCAGTTTTTTTTTTTTTTCTTTTCGGAAAAGTTTGAAATGAATTGCTACTAGTTCTCTTTAAATGTGTAGTATAATTCACTAGTGAAGTCATTAGGCCCAGGGCTTTCTTGGTCAGAAGATTTTTTGATTACTGATTCGATCTCTTTACCTAGTTATACCTAGTTATAGGTCTACTCTGATTTTCTCTTCCTTTGTGAATTAGCTTTGGTAGGTGCTGTGGTTTGAAACAAACTATAGAAATGATTCCTGAAAGTACAGTTTTTGGGTGCTATGCTTTGAATGTTTGTGTCTCTACCAAAATTCGTGTTGAAACTTAATCCACAAGGGTACAGTACCAAGAGGTGGGGCCTTTAAGAGGTGATTAGGCCATGAGGGCCCTGTCTTCATGGATGGGGTCAGTGCCTTATAGAAGGGATTGAGGAAGCAAGTTCACCATTCTCATACCCTTTTGCTCTTCTAGTCTTCTGCCATGTGAAGACACAGCATTCAAGGTGCCAACTTGAAAGCAAAGACCAGGGCCCTCACCAGACACTGAACCTGCCAGAGCCATGATAGATTTTCCAGCCTCTAATACTGTGAGAAAATAAATTTCTGTTATTTATAAATTACCCAGTCTCAAGTATTTTATTATACAATACAAATGGATGGAGTAGGTTTTGTGTTTCTAAGAATTCATTTTATCTAGGTTGTCCAATTTGTTGGCATACAATTATTTATAATTTTCTCTTATAATCCTTTTCATTTCTATAGAATTGGTAGTAATGTCTCCATTTTTATTTCTGATTTTAGAAATTTGAATCTTCTTTCTTTTTTCTTGGTCTATCTGGTTTGTCAATTTTGTTAATCTTTTCAAAAACCAACTTTTGTTTTTGTTAATTTTCTCTGTTTTTTATTCTCTATTTTATTAATCTCTGTTCTAATATTTATTATTTCCTTCTACTAGCTTTGGGGTTTAGTTTATTCCTTTTTTTTTTTAAGCTCCTTAAGTTGTAAAGTTAGGTTATTGATTTGAATTCCTTCCTTCCTTCCTTCCTTCCTTCCTTCTTCCCTCCCTCTCTCAATCTCTTCCTTCTTTCTCTCTTTCTTTCTCTTTCTTTCTTCTTTCCTCCCTTCCTTCCTTCCTTCCCTTCCCCTTCCTTCCTTCCTTCCCTCCTTCCTCCCTCCTTCCCTTCCCCTTCCTTTCTTCCTTCTTTCCTTCCTTCCTTCTTTCTTTCTTTCTTTCTCTTTATTTCCTTTCTTCAACAGAATCACATTCTTTTGACCAGGCTGCTGTGCAATGGTGCAATTAGAGCTCACTGCAGCCCCAAATTTCTGGCCTCAAGCAACTGTCCTGCCTTAGTCTCCCAAGTAACTAGGACTAAAGGTGTGTGCCACTATACCATACCTGGCTCATTTTATTGTAAGCATTTATAGCTATCAATAGCACTACTTTTGCAGTGTTGTGTAAGTTTTGGTATAGTATGTTTTCATTGTCATTTGTCTCTATTTTCTAATTTCCTTTGTGATTACAGAAGGACATTTTATAATAAAAATGAGTCAATCCATCAGGAAAACATAACAATCATAATAATGTATGCGCATAACAACAGAGCCCCAAAATATATAAAGCAAAAACCAACAGAATTGAAAAGAGAAATAGGCAATCAAACAGAAATAGCTGGAAACTTTAATACTTCACTTTCAGTAATAGATAGAACAGCTAGGCAGACAATAAACAAGATACGTATGACTTTAACATTATAAACCAACTAAATGTAAGAGATTGCTGCACCAAACAAGTGCAAAATACACAGAATACACATTCTTCTCAAGAGCACATGAAATATTCTCTACGATAGACTAAATGCTGAACCATAAAACAAGCCATAATAAATTTAAAAGAACTGAGATTATACAAAGTATGTTCTCCAGCCACATGGAATAAAATTAGAGATTAATAGAAAGCTCTCTTTACATGAGCAAATATATCATCACGTAGAAGTGGATGATCATCTGTTAGGAATATCAGCCTTTGCTTTCCACATGCACACAGTTCTGCTGCTGGCTACACAGCCCTTTCATCCAAAGAAACCTCTCACTCAAAGCAGGTGTGGCCAGGATATTTCCAGCCTCAGTTAGGGCTCTAGAAACTTAATCTCACTGGAGAATTCTAGAAGATTGCATAGACTGTGCCTCAGAGTTATTTTCGCAGGAGATGGGTTATTTATAGGTTAACTCCCTGTCAATCACTGTTTGAGGTTGCTTCTAGGCATTAAGTCTCTGGAGATTCCAGCTTGTCCTGTACTTAATCCAAATCTATTCCTGAGGCCAGGACAAGGCAGGGAGTTGCAGTTGTTCACATAAGCAGACTTGGAATAGAGAGTGAATGTCAGCCGCCAGCATCTGCCACAACACCCCAGGTCTTTGTTCTGGGTATTAGGCCCATAAAAACAACTAATCAATCACTAGACTTATCTACTTGTATCTAATTAATTCCACAAATATTTATTTAATACAGAAGAAGTGTCAGGTTTTATACTAGGAGATGAGACTTTAGTGGGGAGTAAAGCAGTCTTGGTCTCTGCCTTTTACTCCCCAGAGGCATTTCAAACGAATCTGCCTAACACTGGGCCCATTGTCTCCTCCTCCAACTTATTCCTCTTTCTTTATTTTCTGTCTATGTAGATGATCACCCAGGCCCAAACTCAGAAATCTTTCTTGACTCTTTTTTAACCTCAATATCCAATCCATCACTACACTTGCCAGCGTCATCTCTTACCTCTTTGGCCCTTTCTCAGTATGTGGTGTTTTAAACATGTATTATTTGTTCAGGTGATAATACAACTAAGCAAGAAAAGGGTTTCAATGATTTCCTTAGTGGTTGCCAAGCCGAGTTTTTGTGGCTCAGTGATTGTAGGTTTCTGCTTTGTTTTTTTCTGCAGTTAGGCTCGAAGCCTTTGAGTACAGGTGCCACACCTTACTTTTTTTCTTACCCCACAATTCTGGGCACAGAGCATTGTGCTTTCCTTAAGCCACAGCATTCCTTACCCCACAGTTCTGAGCATTGGCTGAGCACCAATGTCTGAATAACATTTGCTGTGTGCTGACATACCCTCAGCAGGGCCATCTTATCCACTGGGCACAGTAGGCTTGGACCTACAATACTCTCAAGGGTGCATAAATATATTTTAGTTTCTTTGTTTTTTTTAAAATCAGGAAAAATGAATATTACATAATGAAAATAATAAATATATATATAAATGAATACAGTCTGGATTATAGTTGTCTTTATACCAGCACAGTCATAAAAAATAATTTTTAATATTTTTTCTTTCTTTTTATGGAGGAATGGGCCCATGAAGGCAAAATTGCCTAGGGTCCATGAAAGCGATAATGTAGCCCTGGCTCTCAGTTCAGCATCACCTTCTCGCCATGAAGTCAGAAGCTCTGGACTGGGTTGGGGGCTCCACTACTGTTGTACCCTTTCAGTTATGCTTGAAGAACTAAGAGAACTGTGTATTCTGCCTTGTTCTGCCTCTCTTTAAGATTCCAGGACAAATATATCCCTAAGGCCTTTTGGACTGGTTGAACTGAAGATAACTTTAAATTTAAGAGGCTCTAACTTCCAACATGGGAGATAAGATGAAAAAAGAAATCCAGACAGCCTGCTTTAATTCTATCCCAATCAAACTTTTATTTTAAAGAACTATTTAAAGGACCTGACATATGTGAAAAACAAAACTCTTTTTTTAAACCTTTAGCGATATGACAAAGCTCCTGAAATGAGACCCCCTCCTTCCTGCAGCATTAGATACCCTGTGAGTGCCAAGGTATGGGCTATGCAGGGTGGATAGCTCTGTTTTGCCTGTCCCAGGGCCATCTGTGATACAAATCGTGTGCTTCCTGGACTCCCTGCAAGCTGCAAGCTACAAGCCTTTGCCTAGCAAATCAGGTTAAGATGAACAAAGGCAGCCATGAAGGGGGATGTCTCAGAAGGGCATTGCAGGCCAAGGGGTGTGCATAATGTGTTGGGTAAGGATGGAGTGAAGCAGGTTGGGGAGGCAGAAAGATGTTGCTAGGCAACCAGCCCCGGTGCCTTTGTATATGTAGATATATTTTGTTTGAAGCAGCAGCTGGCAGCCACCACCTTTTTTTCTCTCCCTCCTCCTCCTACCCATGCCCAGAACACAGACCTGGGCTACAGCTCTCAGAGAGGTCCTGGGAGGATAAAGTTGGGAGCCTGGTTCATGCTATGGAAAAAAACATGTGTATGAAAAGGCAAATAACTTTACAAGACAGCATTGACCTGGTGAAATCTGGACATTACATTTACTAACCAAGATCTTGGGCAAGTTGATTGACTCTCTGTGACATTCAGGTTCCTTGGCTGTAAAATTGGGGACATAACTTTCTTATAGGAATATTGTAAAGATTAGAGAAAATGTATGCAGATGACCCAGGCTGGTATCTGGGACATAGAGGATGCCCAATAATCTGTAACAGAGTGGTAAGAGTGTGTGCTCAGGCACCAGGTTTCTTTCATCCTCATCTCAGCTCTGCCTCTTAACTGCAGTGTGGGGATAATGATAGTACTTACCTAACAGGGTTATTTTGAAGAGGAAATGCATTAATAATGCAAAATGCTTAGAATAGTGCCTGGCACATAGTAAGCACTCAATACATGTTAATGATTATTTATGATATCATGTGTAGCATGTCTGCGTGCATCTGCAGAACAGGTGAGTGGGTGCTAGAGCTGCTGATGTGCATGAGCTCATTTTTAAAGGGCTTTCCATTTTGACTGGCCAAGACAGGGTAGAAACTTGTGACTTTGGTGCTGTGTTGATTGAGCAAGGACTTTTGTGGAATCTGGATTCTTCAGTGAACCTTGGGCAAGTTACCTAAACCTTTATTTATAAGAGACCTCTTTGTAAACTGGGTATAATAAGGGCACTTACTTTGGCTGTTAAATAAACAGATTAAATAAAGTGACTTGTAAGGTGCTTAACATAATTCCTGGCCCAGAGAAAGCAGTCAAGACCTGGTGGCTGATACCATTTCTGGAAATAAACAAAGAAGAGAGATTGGTAGCAGCATGGGGGTCTGTGTCCATTCCAACTAAGCCACATCAGGAAGGGCAACAGGTGGAAATGGAAGAAGCTCTGTCTTTTGGATGAGGATAAAGGAGCTGAGCAGAAGCAAAGCTGCTTCAGCCTCCAGGTGCCCAAAAGTGACCTGGACTAGGAGAAATGTCCTTTTTTTTCTGCATGGATGACCACATCTGTCCACTCTGCAACTGGAAGGTTGAAGGCTCAGGGCATCACGCCCTGGCATTCTCACAGTGAGAGGGGGGTACATGGATGGGGGCAAAGTATCCCAAGAGGAGGCCCTCAGTGAGGAGGGCTTAGTAGAAGTTGATGGTGATGGGGTCTACAAAGTAAGGTGGGAACCAAAGTCGTAAACGTTCTAAATATAGTGACTACTATTAGGGCTCCATCTGGTGAAACCTGAGGCCATCTGGGTAACATGTGCTTAGTTTTATACTCTAGGAGTTAAGAGGAAGAAACCTCACCAAGAACTAGGGCAATTTTGCATAAGCTCAGGAATCAATTTGAACTTTATTAAAGAATGAACTCAAACACATGGAGAAGAAATGGCAAGAAAGTACAGATAAGGGAAGTCTAAGCGAAGGTCCAATTGGAGGAATGAGCTGGAATGATGAGCTTAAATCTTTTGGAGTAGAGCGGCTTTGCGGAAAACTTCAAATCCTCAGCTAGAAAGTTTGAACATGCTCCAGAGACAAGGGCGTATGTTAAATATTTTTGAGCAAAAGGATGACAGAAAAGAAGTCCTGGTTCAGGAGAATATGGGGGAAATCATGCGATGTGGCACTGGAAGGCCTGGGTTTCAATCTTGACTCTTCCTTGCCTTGTGACCATGGACAAACCATGAACTCTTCTGAGACATACAATGAGGATAATAGTCCATTTTTCCAGGCTAGTGTTAGGATTCAAGGTGTCATGGGAAAGCAGCCTGTCGACTGTAGACTTCCGGACCTATCTTCTGTCCTTTTTTATTTCTTGACTCAGCTTCATGAGGTGTGTCTTTCTCTGGGCTTCCCTAGCACCTTTACAGAGTGGTGCCAATTAGCTGCTGTGGTATGCCAAAACCAGCTATCCCTTAAACTATCTTGAACAATAAGGAAATTAATAGGCTCCTATAACCAGAAGTCTATAGGTAGAGTAGACTTCAGGATTGGCTTCAGCCAGGGGCCAGAGGCCCAGGTCCCTGCAATACTCTTGGCTGTGTACTCTTTTGTGTATTGGCTCCACCCTCAAGCTGGGTTTGACATGGCTGCAGCAGTGCTAGGACTGAAATCTGTGCATCAGAACATCTGGAGAAAGAGAAACAGGGTGACTTCCAGTAGCATACCCTGAAGAGTAAGGAAGGTTTTCTCAGAAATCCCAGTGAAACCTCTTTTGACAGCTCTATTTCCCAAAGTGATCACATACCTATTCCTGAACCAATCATCAGCAAGGTAATGAGTTACCTTTGGATCAATGGTTCCCAACGGGGGATGTTTTTGCTTCCTGCCTCTATTTGCCCCGAACCTGGTATATTTGGCAATATCTGGAGACAGTTTGTTTTTCACAGCAGGGGAACAGAGAAAAGGTATGTCACTAGCTCTAGAGGATAGGGGCCGGGGACACTTCTAAGCATCCTACAGTGCACTGTACAGGACATCCCTCCACAACAAAGAATTATCCAGGTCAAAATATCAATAGTGCCAAAGCTGAGAAGCCCTGTTTTGGACTAATTAGTCCTGCACTCATATGGGAGTACAGCTCGTGGCCATGAATATATGAGTGAGGAGCAGCTACCTGAGCAAAATCGAAACTTGCCTAGGAGAGTGGCACTAGATTCTGAAACATCAACCAACAATGTACACTGCAACTTTGCTCCATCGTAGCCATTTATCTCCTTGTATGGCCACTGCTTATTCATCCCTTTTATTAGCTTTCTACTACTGTGTAATAAATTGCCACAAACTTCATGCTGTGAAACAACACAGAGTTACTATCCCACAATTTCTGTAGGTTAGAAGTCTGGGCATAGTGTGGCTGGATGCTCTGCTAGCATCTTGCTAGACTGAAATCAAGGTGTTGGCTGGGGATGCAGTTCTCATCTGAGGCTTGTGGTCTTCTTACATGCTCATTCTTTTATTTTTTGAGTCAAGATCTCACTCTGTCACCCAGGCTGGAGTGCAGTAGTGTGGTCATGGTTCACTGCAGCCTTGACCTCCTGGGCTCAAGTGATCCTCCCACCTCAGCCTCCCGAGTAGCTGGGACCACAGGGATGTGCCACTACACCCAGCTAATTTCTTTTTTTTTTTTTTTTTGTCTTTTAGAGATGAGGTCTAGGCTGGTCTCAAACTTTGGGATCAAGCAGTTATGCTGCGTCAGCCTCCCAAAGTGCTGGGATTACAGGTGTGAGCCATCACACCTGGCCCAGGCTCATTCTTGTTATTGGCAGAATTTATTTCTTGTGGTGATAGGACTGAGGTCTCTGTTTCCTTGTAAGCTATCAACTGGGGCCACTCTCAGCTCCTGCAGTGCCTGCATTCCTTACCCCATGGCTCCCTCCATCTTCAAGCCAGCAATGATGCATTGAATCCTTCTCATGCTATGAACCTCTGACTTTCTCAACTGTTGCCAGAAAACTCTGCTTTTAAAGAGTTCATGTGATAAGGTTAGGTCCATCCAGATAATCTCCTTATTTCAAGGTCAACTAACCTGGAACCCCATTCCATTGACAAAATTATTCACAGCAGCACTAATATTTGTGTTTGGCTGAATAAGTGGGAGAAAATATATGTACACCAAGGCTGAGAATCTTGAAAGGCCATCTGAGAATTCTGCCTACCACATCCTCTATACTTCTTGTCTTAGCCCATTCAGACTGCTATAACAGGCTATTTTAGACTGGATAATTTATAAACAACAGAAATTTATTTGCATAGTTCCGGAAGCTGGGAAGTCCGAGTCAAGACACCAGTAGATTCGGTGTCTGGCGAGTGCCTGCTCTCTGCTTTATAGATGGCACCTTCTCCCTGAGTCTTTACATGGCAGAAGGGATGAGTGAGCTCCCTTAGGCCTCTTTTAGATGGGCACTGATCCCATTTGTGAGGGTGGAGCTCTCACAACCTAATCACCTCCTGAAGGCCCTATCTCTTAATACTATTGCATTGGGGGTTTAACATGAATTTCGGGGAACTCATTCAGACCATAGCGTCCTTATTCCCCAGACTCTAACCCTCAGGGTCTGTGTCCCAGTCATCTTTGTGTCCCTAGATTCCAGAATAGTAACTGGCTCACTTTTTTTTCCTGATAAATATTGCTTGAATGCATACAAAAATAATAAAACAAACTCATTTTTTTTTGATAAAATTACTAGATTGGTCACAAAGAGGACTGTTATAAGCAGAGGATGGTAGAATCTTGGTGTTAGAAGGTACATATGGTCATAGAGGAACCTCTCAGTCATTCTAGGAAGCCACATATTTAGTGTGGGGTTCATCACAACTAGATATCCCTGATTCTAAGCACTATATTCATCACAACGCAGACTAAAGTTTTGCATTGCCTTTTTGGCAGGCTTGGCGAACTGCTGACATATTAAATTTTTGGTTAACTTCAAGCTTTTCTGCATCAACTAGGTCTCTCCCATTTTGTACAGGATTTTATGCTGCTTCTTACTCATTTTCAGGGGTTCTGACCTATAATTTCAGCCTGTTGGAGACCTTTGGAGGGATTCTGATTTTATTGTTCAGCTTCTTTACTTTCCTGACTATATAATACTTGAAAATCTAATGAGTGCATTTTCTTTGTCTTTGTCCAAATAGTTTATAAAAATTTTCAATGAAACAAGGCCAAATTCAAAGCCCTGAGGTATATTATCTCTTTCAAGCTGACAACAATGAGTCAATCAACACTCTTTGCATAGATTGCTCAACCTATGATGAATCGACTCTTACTTGTATTTCTCCAACATACCTACAGGCATATTATGAAAGCCTTAATCAAATGCTTGGCTGAACCTAAGGTATACAGTATAACACTGTGTTATACTCCCAGTTAGATGACACATATCTTTTGCAATCAGGTGCATTCACATGTCAGGATAGTTTCTTCCAAATGCTCAGTTATACCCTACCTTTGAGTACTTCATATTGTTTTAGTGCAGAGGCATAGGTATCCTTTAACCCTCAGTTTTTATTTGTTGCCTTCTAACATTTTCTAAGTAACAGATGATTCTAGTAGCCTTTATTGTTGATGTGTGAGCTGGCAAGCATTTCTACTTTGTCTGCATGGCTTATGGGAAATTCCACTTAGGAGAAGAGATGCCTGTCCTGACTTGTGAGGATTAAAGGTGGGGCTGCAGGGTAGGTGTGAATGACGTGACCCCCTATTGAAGGGATTCTCATTGAGGCACCTGGTTATTCCCTATGTTTTTCTCTTTGGTCAATTATTTACACTTGTACTTTTCCCTACCCTCCATCATCACACTATAGGAAAATCAAAATACCCTTGTTCATGGAGAAAGGTTGGAGCTACACAAACTGGAGTTCCTTATTAGTCCATAAGGTTTTCTTTTGATGAAAGATTGAATGCTCTAGGACCCCTAAACGAATCAGTGATACTGTATGGATAGAGTTGTTTTTAGAACATCTGCGAACTTCAAAAGGGAGAAGAGAAAGAGAGTGGAGAAAAATTTAGTTGTAGCATCTTTGAAATGGCCCTCAATGATCCCTGTCTTCTGGTATTCACACTCTTGTGTAGTCCCCTCCTGCACTTTACTAAGGCCAGCCTGTGTGACCAATAGACCATAGCAGAAGTGATGGTATGTCATTTCCAAGATTAGGTGATAGAAATCATCGCAGCTTCCATCTTGATTGCTCTACCTCTTTTTTTGACCAGTCACTCTAAAGGAAGGCAGCTGCCTTATGAGCATTCTGGAGAGAGGCCCATGTAGTGAGGAGCTAAGGCCTCTGACCACTAGCCAGCAAGAAACAGAGGCCTCATGCTAACAGCTGTGTGAGGAACTTGGTGGTGGATCTTCCAATCTGGTCCAGCCTTCAGATGACTGCAGCCTCGGCCAACATTTTGACTGAACCTCATAAGAAACCCTGACCCGAGCACCCCACTAAGTCACTCTTGGTGTCCTGACCCCCAGAAATGACATGAGATAATATATTTCTATTGTTGTGGCTGGTAAATCCTGAGATAATTGGTTACACAGTAAAATATCATATATACTAGGAGATGCTGAATGAGATGGTTGGATTTCCTAAAGGGAAGTGAATAAAATGCTAAGGTCCCAGAAAACAGTGAAAGACTAGTGAATTTCTAAACTCAGAACACTGAAGGACAATGTTATCAAACTTACATAGATAGGTCTTTTACCATTTTTCAAAAGTGTCAAAAATAATACTGTTCTTTGTAAAAAATACACACACAGATATATAAGATAGAAAGAGCAAGTACCTTTCTTCTCTTCTGGTCTGACTACTCAGAAGCAACTGCTCTATTACTTTGGGTTTTATCCTTCCAGATCTTTTCCCCATCAATTATAATCACACACACACACACAATTATAAAATTTGACGTGTGGGTGTGCTGTTTGACAATTTTTTTTCATTTAACAATATATCATAACTCCTTCCCATGCCAGTAGACTTGACTCCAATGTAATTGTTTTAAAGGTACATTATATCTCATACTGTGGTGCTCCATAATTTATTTATATATTACCTTACCTGTAATAATTCATAATGTTTTACTAATTAATATATTTATTTGCCATTATACACAATGCACAGTCAAGCATCTTTGAGCACATGTACAAATATTTCTTTAGGATAAATTCCTAAAAGTGGAATTGAGGGTGAGAGGTGTGTAGATTTAAAATTTTGATAGATACAAGGTGGGCAGATCACGTGAGGTCAGGAGTTCAAGACCAGCCTGGCCAACATGGCAAAACCCCATCTCTACTAAAAATACAAAAATTATCTGGGCATGGTGGCGGATGCCTGTAATTCCAGCTATCCAGGAGGCTGAGGCAGGAGAATCGCTTTAACCCGGGAGGCGGAGGTTGCAGTGAGCTGAGATTGCACCATTGCACTCTAGCCTGGGTGATAGAGCAAGACTCTGTCTCAAAATAATAATAATAAAATAAAATTTTGATAGGTAATGACTAATTGCCCTTCACAAATGTTCTGATTTGTCTTCCCAGCAACATTCTCATATCCTGACACCAGATAGTAAGAATTTTAAATTGCTGATTTGATGGGCAAAGATTTTCAATTTGTCTATATTTGCGTATTTTTGATTTCTGATGAGCAATCTACAGATATTTGAATTATTCTCCTATAAGTAGTATGTCAACTTTCTGGCTACTTTCCAAAGTTTTGTTCATCCTAGTTTCTAGCATTTGGATTACAGCATGACTGGGCATAATTTTTTGGGTTTATCCTGTTTGTAGCTCACTGAGCTTCTTGAATCCATAGGTTTATGTCTTTTGCCAGATTTGGGAAGTTTTTAGCCATGATTTTTCCAGTATTTTTCCTCTGCTCTGGGACCCTAATGACACAACTGTTCGAGATTTTGATATTGATTCACTCACTGGTCCCTGAGGATTTGTTCATTTTTTTTCCCCCAATTCTATTTTTCTTTGTTGTTTATATTGGATAATTTCTACTGGTTAATCTAGTAAGTTTAAAAATTTTAGGTTTTATGTTTTTAGTTCTAAAATGTACATTTGGATCTTCTTTATACCTTCTGCTTCTCTACTGAGACTTTCTATCTTTCCATTAATCTCAAGAGTCCTCTTCCTTACTTCTTAGATTTTTTTTATAATAGCCCCTTTAAAGTCTGTCAGAAAATTCCCACATCTGCATCACCTCAGCATTGGCATCTGTTGGTTGTCTTTTTTCATGTGGGTTGAGATTTGATGGTTCATTTTATTTTGAGGGCTGTAGGCAGAATAAAGTCTCATCAAAGATGTCCATGTCTTACTTCCTCAAACCTGTGAATATGCTATGTTACATGACATAAAGGATTTCAGGTTGCAACGCATTAAGGTTGCAAATGCAATTATGGTTGCTTGTCTACCGACCTTGAGGAGAGGAGAGTATACTGGATTATCCAGGTAGGCCAAATATAATCACAAGCATCCTTAAACGCAGAAAACATTTCCTGGCTGTGTTTAGAAAGGGTTGTGACAGCAGAAGAAAGATCAGAGAGATGTTACATTGCTGACTTTGAAGACGAAGAAAGGGGTCCATAAGCCAAGGAATGTGGGCAGCCCCTAGAAGCAGAAAAGGGAAGGGACAGATTCTCCCTGAGTGCCTCCAGAGGGAACCTGCCCTGCTGACACCTGAACTTAGTCCAGTGAGACTGATTTTGGACTTTCGACCAGCAGAACTTTAACATTTAAAACGCTGTGTTGTTTGAAGCCACTAACTGGCTTAAAACGTAAACGACCACTAAGTTTGTGGTCATTTGTTTCAGCAATAGAAAACTAACGTGCCGAGTAACTTTGCATTGTATCCTGGCTGTTATGTTATGAGACTATTGGTTTTGTTTATGTACTTTGTGACTATTGATATTAATGTTTTAACAAGCAATTCAACCTAGGTGGATTCAGGTGGAACATTTTGCCAGCCTTCTGTGGGTTGTAGTTCAATGTCAATTCTGTTGTTCAAGCCTTTGTAGCTACTCAGATCTTTCTCCTGTTTTTGCCAAAGTCATTCCTCATAGCCTTTGGTGTGCTGTTTAGGATCAGATCGACACATACCCAGTACAGGATTGAGCCCAGGAGTTTATAAACAACTGTATGTGGCCACTTTCCTGAGTTATTCCCTTTTTGGGTTCTCGCTAGTACCTTTCAGTTCTCTGTGGCTCCTCTTTAATATCCTCTGGCCAGGAAGCCAGTGCTCTGTTTACCCTGCTGGGCTGCATGCTTCCTATGAACGTGGCCACATTTGGGCCAAGTAGTACGAGAACAAAGAGAGAGGGAAAAGAAAGGAATGGGGGTTCCCCATCCCCTTGACACCAGAGCTCCTCCAATCAGAGTGGAACGGTTCTCTGTGGGACCCCACCACTGCTGCTGTCACTGCCACTGCTGTGGGTGCCACAGGATTGCCTGGGGTGGAGTGTGAAAGAATGAAGAAGAGAAAGAAAAGACGGAAAGATGGGATTTCCCCCACACTCACTCAGCATTACCTGCACCTTGAGCCAGAACAAGATGGCACCCTTTCTATCCACACCTGGTGCTCACTTCTGAATTTTGGGCTACCGCAAACCCAGGCTAGGGGCTACGGAGCAGAAAGGGAACACTCACTGTTGATTCACTGACAGTTTGAGTTCTGGTCTTCTTTCTTAATCCATCTGCTACCATTTACTTTTCAGAGTCCTCAGATAGGCACGCCATGTGTTCTGTTCAGATTTTATTGTTGCAATGAGGGTGGAATGTGCTTGCCCCTGCCTCTCCTCTTAGTGGCTGCTAACACATTTTCCCTTAGGGGTTCTGTTCTATCAGGGCAGGCTGTGTCATGGCCTCACCACAGCTCCCTCTTTTCTTGCTGCCCTTAAATGAACTTAAACAGGCCACAGCCCAACATAAATCAATCGTGACAGAGCAGCACTCTTTATCAGTGCCACTTACCTGTTCCTGCCTACCTTGTGTTCTAGGACTTTTATTGGAAAAGCCACATAGAGGTCAAACTCTGTCTAGCTATCCGTCTATAAAGAAATCCAGACAGCGTAATGCAGCATTTTATGAACAACAAGTGGATCTTCTGGGAATGACAGAATCCTCCCTACGAATTAGAAGCATGGAAGGATTCGTTACACTTTAACATGTAAGCATGTTACCTACAACAAACTGTTGCCTTTCTAATATAAACTAGTTCCTCCTCACTGAAGAGTGGTGGAAATCTTTTGATGGTGTGGCTAAGAGAATGGAGTTTGCTCAGGTGTGAGCTTGTCCTCTTGTTCACGTCTCCGTGTGTGCCTGAACTTTGAGAAAGCGTTCTTATACGAGGAGGTTCCTTATTGTTTTTTGGGAACGCTGTAAGTCACTGCTCATGTTCAAAGTCCATCTATTGTATTGCAAGGACAGCTTTTCATCTTTTCCTTTATACTCTCAGAAGTGCTGATCCTTATTTTACATATTTTTCCCTTAATGTTTTTCCCTGTTTGCTTAATATTGCTGCTTGGTTTCCTAACCTGAGCAGTGTGTTGTCTGACCATCTGCCTCTGTTTTCTGCCCTTTTGTTTATGATTGGTCTATGCCAAAAATAATGGGTTTTTAAACTCCTTTTATTAAGAAAAACAGATAACCCTCATTGGGCAGAGAAAAAGGAGGCCAGGATGCTTCTGTGCTACCAGTAAACATTCCTGCTTAATTATTTCTTACCCAATTGTCATGTAGGCCAGTGCTTATCAAACATTAATATGCATATGGAATCATCTGAGGATTTTATTAAAATGCACTCTGATTTAGTTAGTCTGGGTTGGGAACTGAAGGTCTGCATTTCAGATACACTCACCCGTGATATTGATGCTGCTAAGCCTGCTGTCAGCACATTCAGGAGCTAGGACAGAGGCTATACAAGAGCATTTATCATTTGTATTTTAAGAGCTTTACTGATAGTGGCAGTGGTTTAAAAGAGAATACAAAAAACAAACCTGGGAATGTTACGTTGTTTAAGAAATGTTACTAAGCTCTTCTGATCATTGTCTCAGGTTGGTTCCCTGGGAAGCTTACTCTGAGATGGAGATTAGCACGTGGGGACGTATTAGGTAGAGTTCTTCTCTGTGAAAGAGGCAGAGGAAGCCGTGGAACTGTGATGCAGTCTCTGAAGGAGGGATGCCGCCTTAGAGTTTTCCTGAGCTCAGGGGAAGAGGGCTGAGCCTTTATAACAAACTCTGCCCAGTCATTGGATGCAGGCTGCCCCAGGAAGGGGCTGTGACCTTGAGCAAGGGGACTCTCATCACTGAGGCACTTCCTGTCCAGAGCAGGCAGCTACGACTGTTAGTAACAGGGCTTTCAGTACCAGAGGGACCATGTGGTGAAACATCCTGGCACACACGCAGTGTGGACCCCGGTCTTTCCTCTAGCAGATGAGCTAGTTTGAGCCCTCCTCTTCATTCTTATGCTGAAATTAACACCCTCAAACATAATTCCTTCTCACTACCTGGGCCTGAAAAGCCAACTGCAGTTGTCAACTAGCGTCAGTTCAAGCCCCTTGGTGGATACATTTTTTAAAATTTCTAGGCTAGATTTTTCAACATTGGGAAGATTCCTTTTAACATTTCTTCATAGCTTCCTTCTAAATCAGAGGTTCTGATGGTCATAAGAAAATCTCTATCTGAGACTGAGGGAGTGATTTGAAGCCTAAAAAGAAATGGTCTCTCTTCCTTGCAGAGAACAAAGGCCTTGAGTTATACATAGGCTGAATTAAAAAGAGAAGCGTTAGGACTGAAAAAGTCCATTTGTAGAGGAGTGAGGACAGAAAGAGCATAGGACAGGCTGTTTAATGATTTAAACTTATGCCTTATTGCATAATGTGAACTTTAACCTCTGCTAAGTATAGTTTGTGCCCTGAGAATCCTTCACACTTTAGTAAAAATAGTTGCACACTTGAATGGTGCCTGTGTGTGATGACTGCAGGGAAAAGGGCTGGGAGGTGCTGGGAGAGGAAGGAAGAGAAGCCAGGAACCCCTGGGGCAGGGTATCTTGAGTCATCTTGCCATTTAAATGCTCTAGGCAGCAATGGAGGGAGTTGTCCAACAGAAACAGCAGCAGGAGGCAGCTGGAGGCAGCTGGATGGTGGCCTGGAAGTTCCCTAGGCAACTGTGTAATGAAGCTGTGGGCTGCACCAAAGTACACCACTGCCTCCATACACCTTGCTTCTGTTGGTACCTCCTACTGGAGCTGAACTGTGACATGTAGGGGACAAAGCTTCCTGCGCAAGGTAGATTCTTGCAGCCCGAACATTGGGAAATCTAGTCCTCCAGTGTGAGAAATGTAGTCATTGAAGAGTGTGGGTCATGGAAAAGAGCCAGATACCAGGGAGCGGGAGCTCACTCAGGGCCTGGGCAGGAGCTCTACACAAAGGAAAGCACAAGAGCAGAGGGCCACACATGCCCTACAGTGGACTGGAGACCCCCTTGACTGGGAGGGATCCCTGTGTCACCACTGGACACAGACTGATGCCCGAGATCAGGGCCAGGGTTGGGAATTCTGAGTTCAACTCCGATGCATGGGCTAAAGAAAATACAAGAGGAATAAAGAAAAAGCAAATCTGGTTTTGCTTTTTTCACTGGGGTGACTGTAGGCACCAAAGGCATCAATTGTTGCTATTTACTTACTCCAGCTCCATGCCCTGATCCCTGTGGCACCAGAATTTTCCATATGCTTTCTGTACAGAGATGAGAATGGAAATGGTATCTGATGCCCCTGGGAAGGACTGTGTTGACTTATTTGTGCAATCATCTGAGGCATTTTATGAGGGCTAGGTTGTCAGAGAATCATGTCATGCAGGTAGAAGTAACGCAAGGTATGTCTGACAGAGAGCAGAGATGTCTCTGCCAGCCTTCACCCTATTCCCTAAGAGATTCTTCTGATGGCTTGATGCACATAGGAAAAACTTTATACAAATGAAGGCACACAGAAACTTCTCAACCGAACAAAATGATGCAAAACATTGAACAGATAGAACCACATCCTGGGGGATTATGGGTGCCCAGCCATTGATTTACATGAATATTTATTCCAGCAAGAAGGGAGAGAGCAGAAGCCAGGAAGGATTCAGTTGTATGGATCCTGTACTAAACACTTTTTCACAAATACCATAATTATCTTTCCTTTTATTCTTCCTTCACTAGATGACTTCAGGCTACTTCTTTGCTATTGCCACCTAAATGTAGGAAGAAGAGTTAAACTTATTGAGAAACTGCTATATACTTCATATGCTAATCTACAATAACCCAATGGGATAAAAAAATTTTTTAAAAACACATGAAGGAAACTCAGAGAGAATAGGTGTATGTGTCAGGGTTGGGGATTTTAAGCCCAGTTCTGATACCAAAACCTTGCTCTTATCAAACCCAGTTCTGATACCAAAACCTTGCTTTTATCAAACCCAGTTCTGATACCTAAACCTTGAGATAAGGTGATTCTCAACCCTATCTGCCTATGCACATCACCAAAGGAAGCTTGGAAAACACCAGTGCTCTGGACCCACCCCAGGCCAAATAAATAAAAAACTCTGGCTATGTAGGTTGGCACTGTACTGTAAAAATACCTCTCTGAATGATTCTAATGGATCCAGGCTTGAGAATCACGAGGCTCACTATACTTCCTCCTTCCCATTACCGGCAGGAGAAGCCCTGTGTTCCAGCCATCTGCACACTCTTTGGCTTTTCAGAAACATCCCAATCCTTCCAGCTTGTCCACAGAGCCCCAACAAATGAAAGACACATTTGAAGGTCTAAAGGTCATTCTCTTTATAACAAATGTGTGCAAGACATAACTGATGCAGGCATTCTTGTTAGCGGCATATAAATGAGTCTGATGAACACAATTTGAATTGCGCTGGAAGCAAAACAGCAGCTCTGAGAGATGTTTACTAATTGTTCTGCATTTGTTACATGATGTAGTAGGAAAAGCACTGCATTTGGAGCCATAAACACAAGATTCTTGTTTCTGTCTGCCTGCTAGCTAGCTTTAGTGTATGAAGAAAATTTCTTTACCCACCTGGACCTCAATTCGCTTACTTGTAGAATGTGGGTGTAGGATTTGAGGATATCTGAAATTACTTCCACCATCTGCCATGTGGATCAGGACATCACTGCTGTCTCAAAACCTTACAATATTCATCTAGAAGAAGGCTGTGTCATCTAGTCAGTGAGAGTTTACCTTAAATTTTTAAATCTTTTTATGTAAGCAAAAGTTATGAAATCACAAAAAGCTGTTTTCCCAAATAAAAATTAGGCCAAGATCTCTCTGTCTCTCTTAATACCCTTTAAAGAACAGTCTGAGGTAATTTAGAGAGTCTAATACTTATGCTTAAATGTTCATTACAGGTTTCTTCAGTGACATGTGCGACCTTGACTTTTAATTATTCAAGAGTGGCAAGTATGGAACCTAAAGTGGATTGTTGACACAAGATGCCTGGAAATAAGGTAACCCTTCTCTCTTTTTCTCAAAGTAGTTTTTGATGGAAGTATTAAAGATGCATTCGTTCTAGAGAAGATTAATTTAGCCCAGTGGTAATTCTGAAATTTAGGCATTATTCATATTTGCTGACAATGAATATTAGAGGAAGTCCAAGGACATAGCCCAGTGAGGCTTTTACTAGCTTAGGGCTTGTACAATGCAGATGCCCAGAGACCCAATGGTAGGCCTGTCCTGGAATGGGAACTGCCAATTTCCTAAAGGGCTGATTTGCAGCCTTCTACCAACGCCTTTCTAAGGCACCACGGAGCAGTAGATGTGCTCTGACAAATCGGCTGAAGCGTGCAAGGCTCTGCTGAGAAGTCGGCCACTTAATTGTAGGTGCAAATGGGAGCTGGGAGTAGACACTTAGTGATATTGATTAATTCTGTGTTTCCAAACTGAGCTCAAAGGTGTCCAGGGTCTTGCAAGATGTCCCAGAGGAGGACTCAGAAGGAGCAGGAGATGCTGAGCAGGGAAGGTCACTAGAACCGCCTTCTGATGCAGCCTGAGAGGCTGTAATTTTCTGCATTGCACCTCTCTAGGTTTTCTTGGGGAAAATGTCCTTTGGCAAACAAATAAAACCTTGACTTGAACTTCATTGGAAATTGCTCTTTCTTAAAAGCTATTCTCCAGAATTCTATCCTTAGGTCTTCTCTCACACTACATCAGCAAGCACTTTTCCTTCTAACACCCTATGACCTGTTGGTGATGTTTCCTTGTATTGCTTCTACTAAACAACTCTTCCAACCCCATGGAAGTGCATTCTCACCTGACTCAGCCAAGAAATATTTAACCAGCATCTACTCCTGAGGAGAGCAACACCTTTTTCACTTCCATAAGCAGGACCTACAGGACCTCATAAAAGGAATCCTCCCCTCTGTGAAGATTTATATTTTTTAAATAGCACAAGTTAAAGAAGAGTTTCTTACCATTTGCCTGGGCCCTGAAGTTCAGCCTTTGATTGGCAGATGGGTGATCATGCTCACCCAAGTCACTTCAGGGGCCAGCAATGAGCTTGGAGGGGCAGGATTCAGCTTGAACTCCTATCCCACTCCCTCCCACCCTCTCCAGAGCTCACAGGCCAGTTAGGCTTTTCTCTCCCTTCTTTTTTAATGGGACACTACCTTGGGAGATGGCCTGTATAGGTCCAGAGTGAAAGGCTTCACATTCCAAGGAGTAATCACAAACTGGAACAAATCCCTCTAGAAAGTTCACAGGTGCAGACTGTGAGAATAGTATGTTCCAGTCTGAGGTACTTACGAGCCTGAATACCACGGCTCCCAGCTGGCACAGGTGTTTACCGAGAGCTGGACAACCCATTTTTGTCTTGAGGCAGGCTTTTTGCCCCATTAACAGTTCTGTTTCAACAGTCTGGTGGTTTTAGATTCACTTCTCCCCTCCCCACACCGCTTAGCCATAATAAAGATAGGCTATGGAGATCAGATTTCTCTTTGTACACTGTGTTTTCATTCCTTCTGATTAAACATTTCCTGTGTTTTCCTAGCCTGTGACAATCCTGTCAAAGCCTCGGTCCGGTTCTCAAGCCTCCAGCCCTTAGCCCCAATTCTTGTGAAATCAGGATAGGGGCTACGTTCTCTCAAGGCTTAGGGCCCAGGTTTTCTTCCTAAGAAAACATCTTTGAAGATAACAACGGATTGTTAATTACTTGGAGATCCCCAGGCCCAGATGCAGGTGTGCCTCATCTTTTGCATGATATACTCCCTGAAATGAGAAAGTATTTTCATGCATGAGTGCATAAATTCATTCTTTAAGGGGAGGAAAAAAACTACTTTTGAAATTGCTCCCTAATTAATCTGTAGGTTTGGATTTTTATAAACATTGAGTTTCCTTCTGGTCTAATCGTGACGCCCCCAACTCACCACCCCTGAAGGCAGAGCATTTCCTTCTCCCTGTGAATGCCCCCATTGCTCCTCTCTTGTCCTGTCCCACAGAGAATGAGCCCAGACTCCCTTCTACTTTTCTGCCATTGTTTGTCTTACTCTACCCCGGGCTCACACAGCCTGCTTCTGAATGGTGCCCTTGTGGGTGAGATGCTTCTGAAGCCTGTGGCAGGAACAGCGAGTGCCCTGGGGCTGCCTGGTGTGGGATCCTGCTTGTTTGTGGTGGTTTGGCCAAACACAGATGATAGCCTTGGCAGTATGAACAGGATCCATGTCAGTGCCATGTCAGTGTCTTGTTTATCCTAAGGAAGAGGAAAGTGGACAGCATTTAGTTTTTGATGACTTGTGGCGGATGATGTCTTTCTTCCTGTGGATTATTTCTGAGCTATGATAAATCTTGGGATCTCACTCATGCAAAAATTAATGAAGAGACTCTCTCTACAAGATGAGCAATCGGGGTAATTGCTTTGGGACTCCCTCATCTAGGAACTGTGGCAACTGAGGAATTTGGAGGGGCAGTGCTGGGGATCACACTCACCCCCAATTATTACCGGCAAGCATATTCCTGTCTATGGCCTATTAGTGATGTTTCCTTGCATTGCTTCTACCACCTAAGTGTTGTGTTGGATTTTGTGAGTACCACTGACCAAGGCTGACCTTGATGTCCATTTAAACCAGAATTCACTGTGTGTAGATATTATCAGACTGGTAAACAGGGGGACCTGCCCTCTGTCATGAACCTTGACTTCAACTCCATTGGAAATTGCTCTTAAACGTTGTCCTCCAGAGTTCTGTCCTTAAGGCGTCTCTCGTACTACATCCTCCATGGGCGATTTCATCTATTCCTGTGGATGTAACTTCCACCTATATGCTGAGGTCTTCTAGACTCAGGCTTCAAGATTTCTCTAAGACATATAGATTCACATGTCTCACTACCCCTTGTTAGCTCTATGTGGGTGTCTTCTAGGTGCCTTGAATTAGACATCGAGAATTTAACTCATTACCTTCTTCCCCAACTAGGTTTTTCTTCTGTGGCACTTCTTCTGGTGGGTTGCATCATCATCATCATCACATACATGTAAACTCAAGACAGAAACTTAGGCATCAGCCTAGAGCCCTTCCTCTTCCTTTGTCCCCATTTCATGTTACTGACCTGTTTAAAAAACGTCAACCATTCCTATCTCCTTCAGAATTGAATTGAAACTTTTTAGCATGGCACAAAGGGCCCTTGTCATCAAGACCCTGAGTATGTTCATATGATCCATGCACTTGCTTCAGCCAAGGGTAGCTTTGGCAGCTTTCTGAGTTAGCTATTTTTTTTTGTACACACAGCCTCTGCATACGGTTTTGTTTTGTTTTTTTAAATTCTGGGAACACCCTTCGCTTTCTTCTCTTTTACTAATTTCCATTGCTTCAAGACTGCTCTCGTGTCCTCTTTAATGCTTTCTCTGACATATCCCCTTCTCTCTCTAACGATGTCCCATCATGGGAATTAATAGTTATTGCATTTCTGCTGGGGACTTAGTATTTTGAATATATTTACATATCTTATCTTTTTCTCATCTGCTCATTAATCCTGTAAAAAAGGTATCATTATCCTGGTTTAATAATAAGGAAACTGGGCTCATAGAGGTAAAGAAACCAGGGAGCTTATTAAAAATGCAAATTTTCAGGCCTTCTCCCAGGCCTCTGAATGAGAATCTCTGTGGGTTCCTCCAGCAATCTGAATGGTTTCTCCAGGTGATTCTGAGGCACACTGAAGTTTGGGGGGCATTGTATCACACAGCTTGAAGAAACTGCATGGAGCATGAAGAGAGCAATTTTGGAATGGTGGTCCTCAGGAAAGGACTTTTCTCTCAAGTGCTTGAAAACCAACTTAATGTCACTTAGAGATAGTCAAGATATGATTTTAAGATGGAATTTAGTTGAAGAATGAACTGGTATATATGGGTTATATAGGCACAGGCAAATTATAACCAAATACACCACTGAACTTTAGGAAAATCCTCTTTGAGACCATGACTATAGACAAGGTATGATCTTGTTTGGCAAACAATTACATCTCCTTAAAGTGTCCTCTGGGAAAAGAGTGAATTGGGGGCAGATTGTCCCAAGTATATATCATCTTTTTTATTTTAAAGCCATTCATCTTTTCTCCTGGGTTAGCAAATATTTCACTTTCCAACTTAGGACTATGTGGGGTGTGACTAGGGTTTAGGGTGATTGTCAGGAATTCTTATTTTTTATTAGGGGTCTCTTGCAATTGAAAGTCTTTCATTACCAAAGCTATGCATTCTTTTCTAAAGATAAAATTTCAGGCCAATATGGGACATTTGGGGAGTAAAAATCCTCAAAAGGATGACCTCCTACTGAGTCAACTTACAGAACTGACCCTGCTAATAACCAAGAAGTGACACAGAGTATGTTACAGGATATTTATGGGGTATCCTTAACTACTAACACTGCTGCTGAAAATAATAATAATAATACCTGCCATCTATTGAGCATCATTTTACAGGTAAGGATATTGAAACTTAGAGAAGCAAAGTAGTTTGTCCCAAGTTATAATATGGGGTTATTAACAGGTCTTTGCAGAGAATTCAGGATGATACAAGATGAAAAAAATCTTTTTTTCTTCCACCTACCTCTAACAACATCATACACTCTAAGTATCTTGAAATATCATTTACACTCAGTATTACATCAACATTTTGGTACTTATTAAACCTGCCTCTAAATCTTATTACTTAATGCACCAATAATGAGGTAGAAATATTACTATAGCACAATTTTTATAAGTGTTCTGATAGCTTTTAACATTATTATATCTCAATAAAAATTATCTACTCTGTAATCTTATACACTTTATTTTATGCATTTAAAAGCCTCATACTGGGAAATGGTCCATACGCTTCAATCTCAGTTGCTAAAGGGATTTACAATATTAGAAAAAAAAAAAAAAAAAGGGTAAGATCCCCTATGGGTGGTTGGGCTTGAATTCAAACCCAGCTCTGACTGATCATAATACCCATTTTTTTTTTTTCATGCTACCTGTCTGCTTGGTGTATTTTGGCCCAAGGTTAGCAGTACATTGATGATGCTCTTTGTCAATACTCAGAGCTGTAGCCAACCAGAACTATTCAGGCACAAAGGGAGAGCAGCTGGGAATAGGGAGTGCCTCTCCCGGTTGTAAGTCACACTCTGGGTTAATCCTTCAACTGAATCCAAAATACTTTGGCTTTGAGAATGAACCTGTGTGCCCTGTGACAGAGGAAATTTCAAAATTATTGGCAGCATTAATAATGTTTATTGTGTGCCAATATGTGTTGGTTTCTATCCTGGCACCTTAAGAGAAGCTTAGTAAATATTTATGGGGCAGACACAATGCACAGGCATTGTGATAGGCAGTGTGAAGAAAGAAGGGAAAAGACTGAGTTTCTCTTTCAGACTAAGCAGTCCAACAGGGCAAAAACAAGCAAACTATTTATCAAATTATTTATCAGAAGTTGGGGATGGAGAAGCCCAAGGAAGAGAAGGAACTGGCTAGAGCCACGAAGGGTAGGCAGGGTGGGTGGATTTGGGGGTAGAGGAGGGCCTGGAGCCATACAGGAAAAGGCAGAGTGTTTTTGGCAGAACCATGATTGACTGTGTGACTGTCACACTCTTGGGCAATGGCTTACCAGTCCCTACGCAACCTGGAGCCCCACCACCTCTCCCAGGACAGCTGCTCTTCTTTGAACAGCTCAGGCCTGCTCCTGACTCAGTGCCTTTGCGTTTGATATTCCTTTCCCAGAAACACTCTTCCCTTGATATTTTGGAGGCCCACTTCCTCATCTTGATGTTTTCAAGCAGGTGTTACCTTTGAAGTAAGGCTTTTCTGATCACCCTGTTGAAAGCCACAATCTGTCTCCTCACCCCAGCACTCCACCCATTTCCTGCTTTAGTTCTCTCCAAAATAGTGATTATCACTGACACTGTATCAGTGTTTCTTAAACCTGAGTACTTATCAGAATCACCTAGAGGGCTTATTAAAACAGTCTGCTGAGCCCATCCCCAGATTTCTGATTCAGTAGATCTAGGGTTAGGCCCAAGAATTTGCATTTCTAAAAAGTTCCCAGGTGATTCTGATGCTGCTGGTCTGGGAACTCACTTTGAGAACCAGTGTATTATAAATTTTATGTCTATTGCCTGTCTCTTTCCACTAGAAGGTAAGCTGTTTACAGCAGGGATTTTTTGTGCTTTGTTCACTGTTGTACTTCCAGTGTCGGAATAGAGCCTAGCACATTGAGAATGCTATCTGTTGAGCAGAGAGGCAGATGTGGGATGCTGGTGTGCAGTGTGAGCTAAGTTTAAAAAAGAAAGATCAGACCATATCCTCGCTAAATTATTATAGAAATAATACTATATTATTATGAATATAACATTTATTTTAACAAAAGCAATTACCAATTACTGAATGTTTCTACTGTGTCAGGCCATTTAACAATGAGGTTGGGAGATACTGTATGCTTTGCTTTGCCTCAGACCACACAGTACGTGTAGTAGGTGACTTAGGTCTGCCTGACTCCAAAAAGATGGCCTTAACCACTGTGCTACAAAGCTGTCTAATGATGGACTTTTGAACTTTTTATTTCAAAATAGTTGTAGATTGACAGAAACGTTGCAAAGATGATACAGAAAGTTTTCATATACTCTTCATTCAGCTTCCTCTAATGTTAACAACTTACATAACTATGGTACATTTATCAAAACTAGGAGATCAATGCTGGCACAATACTATTAACTAAACTTCAGATTTTATTCAGATTTTACCTGTTTTTCCACAAGAATGTCCTTCATCTGTTCCTGGATTCAATCCAAGATGCCATTGTCTAGCAATTTTTAGAGACTTACTACTTGAGAAACTTAAATGTGGGCCTCATGAAATCCTGATGATACAAAGATGAGGAAAACGCAGTACAGCCCTTGAGGTGCATATGACAGGAAACAGATCCAGGAGTAAAGGGGTTCTCCTGGGACAGAGGGAAGCTCAGGGTGTTCTAAGGGCCAGAGCAAAGTGGAAAGGCAGGCCAGCCTTGGAGTTTGAGAAGGCTTCCTGGCAGTCAGGCAGGAAGAGCAATGTGAATAGGTATTGAAAGTCACTGAATTTCAGCAGAAGGAAAGGCCAGAGCGTGATGGTGGTTCAGGAGAAGCAATAGGAAGAGACTGGTCAGGAAACACCAAGAACTGAGACATTATCCATTGGTGCTGGGGACTAATGAGGCTCTCTTCCAGGGTGCCAACATAGTGAGCTATTTGTTTGTATTGGACTCTTCTGGCTGGAGTGTGTAGGCTAAATGCTTATCTTTTGATAATAAACCTAATTGTTTATATAAGCCTTCCAATATCTTTTTTTTTTTATGTAGAGACTGAGTCTCGCTCTGTCACCAGACTAGTGCGCAGTGGCACCATCTCAGCTCACTGCAACCTCTGCCTCCTGGGCTCAAGCAATTCTCCTGCCTCAGCCTCCCGAGTAGTTGGGATTACAGGCGTGCCACCATGCCCAGCTAATTTCTTTTGTATTTTAGTAGAAACGGGGTTTTGCCATGTTGCCCAGGCTGGTCTGAAACTCCTGAGCTCAGGCAATCTGCTTGCCTCAGCCTCCTAAAGTCCAGTGTCATTTTATTATACAGTCATGCACTATATATATATATGTGTGTGTGTGTGTATATATATACATATATGTATATATATACACATATATACATATACACACACACACACACACACACACACACACATATATATATATATATATATATATATGATGGTCCCATAAGATTATAAGGGAGCATATGTAGAAATCTGATATATGGGACTTGATACTGGCATTGCAGCTCAAGCAGGGGAAATGACTGATATTCAGCAATTGTGCTGGGACATTTGGTTTTCCATATGAAAACATATATAAATAAAAACATATATACCATCTATGTTTGTGTAAGTACACTCTATGATGTTTGTTCAAGGACTAAATTGCTTCAGTACACATTTCTCAGAATGTATCCCCAGCGTTAAGTGACATATGACTGTACTTATATATGGGAGGCAGTATAAGATAGCAGTTAACAGCACAGGCTCTGAAAAGAAGCCTCCTGGGTTGAAATTCCACCTGACTCCACCTTTTCCCACTGTATGACTTGGAGAGTTACTTATCTTTCCATGCCTTGCTTTTTCCCACTTGTGAAATGGGAATAACACCAATACCTATCCCACAGTGTTGAAAGGATGAAATGAAATGGTGACTGTAGGCACTTAGCACAGCGTCTGTACACAGTAAACAGTCAATGTCAACATCAGCTATTATTGTACAAGTATGTGTCTATTTCACACCATGTCTGTATTTAGTAGATGAAAGCCAAGATACCTGAATAGCCTGAATACCATTTTCTAAGAGCTTTCATATATATAGTCTCATCATACCTTCAGCATGATTATTGTACCTGTTTTATAGACAAGGAAAGTAGAACATAGCAAAGTTAAATGACAAACCTACAATCAAGGAAAAGGGCCAAGTCTTTTATTTACATTCCCAGATTTTTTATGCCACTACTGGAACATTGACCAAGGTTCATTAACATAAAGGAACAGTTAGAAAAATAATGAACTGTCTGTTCTTTGGGTCCTATCTAGAAGATAAGCCTTTATCAGCAGTTTTACTGCATAAAATATTTTATGAGTCTGCCTTCTGTGGTGAAATGTCGGACTTGTGAACATTTGAGCAACCTGCAAATGCAGACTGATTTCGCTTGCAAAGGGCCAAAGAACCCCCAGGGTTTGACAAATTGTTAGTTGTCATAAACACAGCTCACAGATTTGGCCCTTGGAGATAAGTCTTAGGGGTTGAGCAGACAAGAATTAACTCCCTGTGTAACTTCAGGTGAATTGCTTAACCTTTAGGATTCTCAGTTTATTCATCTGGGAAGTGGGCATTCTAATATTGGAGGTATAAAAGACACATGCATTGTACAGACCCTGGCATTCAGACAGCATTCATTAAGCGGGAGTCATCTCTTCCTACTCCATCCCTTTCTCATAGTTGTAAATTATCTTTGGCAAAGGGCATGAAATAGCATAGATGTGCAAGGAACTCTAAACAATATAATTTTACCAGAGGTGTTAAATGTAAGGCAGGAAGAGACTTTAAAAATCAGTTTTCGGGCAGATAATAAAACCAAGATGTGTTTTTCTCCATTAAAATCTCTGAGAAGTCAGAATCAGCAATTGGATGCTGTAGTTTTCACTTTAACTACATTTGAATTTTATTGTGCTAATGAGGACTGAAATTTTGATTGCACTGGTGACTTCAAGTGTCTCTGGTGGTCTGGTGTCGTTGTGGAGGACAGTGTGGACTGCTATGCTGGACAGACCTCATCAGCAAGGGAGTCCTGACCATAGCAGGCCTCAGCTGACATATACTTGGGCTCAGAGCTGAATGCCATGTCACCTTATGTCTAAAATGTGTTCTGGATGTTTCTCTCAGTGAGGTTTCAAACATATTTATGTGTGCGTGTATATATACGTGAGCATATGTGTATATCTGTGTATGTATATATGCATATGAAAGGAAAATATATCTGAAATAAATATATAAAAGAAAAGAAATAAATATGTATATGAAAGGAAATAGCTGGCAAATATTGCAAGACAGCTAGTCACCAAATTCATATTCAAGGATCTTATACAACATCTGTGAGCTGTCCTACCTTCCAAGCTGAATTCTCAAAGTGACAGTTCTTAGAAACACCACTCCTTTTCTGGTTAAGTGGGTCCGTGTTTCAGAAGGAGCTCCCATTTCCAGCGCCTGTGACAAAGCTGCTTTTGATCAATATTTGAACAGGCTCCTGCGCAGGCAGGGACACACTGAGAGGCACAGGTGCGGATGTGCATGTGGCCTCTTCCCATGGCCCCTCTGGCCTCTCTAACTATACTTGGAATAAACTGCCCAATAGCAAACATTCATTGGAGAACAGATCAGTGTGGCTGAGGCGACACTAGCCAGCCAGTCTTTGCCTAGATGTGTTATCTGTGCTCCATAGTCTCTGGGCTAGCTGGTGGTTACTAGTCACTCAGCAAGCACATTTAGCTGTGCACTGAAGCTGGCAGGAGCTGACAGGACCAGGTTTCATTTTCCTGCAGGGACTGGCCACTCTCAATTGGCTTTCTTTTAATATTGAACATGAATTTCAGATCTGTTCCCAGCAATGGCTGAATGGGGTCCTCATCTTTCCTGTGCGTTATGCTCCCACCTATTTCCCCATTTCATGTAGTCCTAGGGCTTTAGCTAATATTTGCCAGTAACTGGTGATAACCAGAGTGTTCACCTTTCCATGCTAGACACATTTCTATATGCTGACCTTCATAGTGGGAGTGGGCATCTGAAGACCCATATTCCAATTGTTTTTGTTTCTACCCAACTAAAACTCATAGAAAACTCATTTAACGCTTTTTCATCTGTTTTGAAATCCATTAAATAGAGATTATTATCCCTGCTCCATTTACCGCCTAAGAATGTGGTGGAGATAAAATAGGATCACATATATAATAAGGTAGCTCAAAAATTAAGAGGCATGCAGAAATGAAGGTGGTGGTACAGTTGTAACAGGGAAGCTTAATTGCTTTGGATTCCACTGCTGCAGAGTTCCCGACTACTTAGAGGAAGCAGCACAAAAGTGTACCTTTGCCCTGTTATGAAAAAAAGGATTTGTTAAATAATTGAATGATGTGAAATAATATATGAGGAATATGTATAACCTACTTATGAGAATGATAGGGTTTCATAAACTTAGCAGCAGTCATTTACAAATTAAAAATTCATGAGTCATTCTTCTGTGTTCTCCATAGTAAGTAATGGAATACCTTGACATAGCAACACTTAGCTGTGAAAATAAAAAACATAGCACTAAAAGGGAACTTTCAGTTCATCTAACCCCAAAACCTCGTTTTACCAGTGATGAGACTGATTTTCAAGGATAAATAACTTGTCCAAGTTCTCTCAATCTGCTGGAAAAACAAAAAAAAACCAAAAATTCGTGTCTGCCACCATTCAGGCTGACTCCTTTGTTGGCTTGATTAAAGATCAGTTTTTCAGTTCTGAAGGACTAATTCCTGTTTCCTTGTAACGGGAACTTCTACAGAAACACAGACTCACCAGTTATGAGAACTTGAATATTGCCTCCCTTTCTCCCTCGACCAACAGTGGATCCAGGTTTTATTGGGGGCCTGAAGCTTTTTAAATTTGGAGTTTCCTCTGTCAAAAAAAGAACCAAAATTATAAGTTAAGAATTAGGTACAAATATGAATGTTTATCTGTTTTAATTTTTTTTTTTTAAGAGACGGTCTCCTTCTGTCTCCCAGGTTCGAGTGCAGTAGCACAATCAGAGCTCACTGCAGCCTCAAATTCCTGGGCTCAACGGATCCTACACTTCAGCCTTCCAAGATGCTGAGTCCACAGGCATGTGCCACCATGCTTTGCTAATTTTAAATGTTTTTGTAGAGACAGGGTCTTGCTATGTTGCCCAGGCTTGTCTTGAACTCCTGGCCTCAAGCAATTCTCCTGCCTCAGCCTCCCAAAGTGCTGGGATTATGGGTATTGAGCCACCATATCTGGCCTTATTAGATTGAGAGAATCACAAGAAATTAAAAATTTTAACGTGTTGGCACAAATATCACAAATCCAGAAAAATAGCGAAATATTTTTATTAGCTCCCTGCCACTGCTCCAAAAACCTTTTTAAAAAACATCTTTGGGTTGCAAACTCTTTGATTACTTCTTTATTATAATTTTGAGATGTCACTACCTAAAGAGAAGAGAAAGATAATTTAACATTTTCTCTGGAATGGTTGATCACAAATTTTTTTTATTACTGATACTTCTAAAAAATTGTCTTTTAGCTTTCCAACTTGTAATTGGGAATGTCATGAAAAAAATTTTTTTTTTTTTTTTTTGGGACGGAGTCTCGCTCTGTCCCCCAGGCTGGAGTGCAGTGGCGCGATCTCGGCTCACTGCAAGCTCCGCCTCCCGGGTTCACACCATTCTCCTGCCTCAGCCTCCAGAGTAGCTGGGACTACAGGCGCCCGCCACCACGCCTGGCTAATTTTTTTGTATTTTTAGTAGAGACGGGGTTTCACCGTGTTAGCCAGGATGGTCTCCATCTCCTGACCTTGTGATCCGCCCGCCTCGGCCTCCCAAAGTGCTGGGATTACAGGCGTGAGCCACCGCGCCTGGCCGAAAATTTTTATGATTGTTTTCAAATTTGAAAAAAAGTCTATCATTTTTGTCATATATTAACTGTTCCATATATGTAGGTACACAGGTTTATAGGGCATGTACTCTGCCATTCTGCTCAGAGCACATGTGCTACAAACGTAGGAATTCTCATAAACTATTTCTCAAAACTCTCATTCAAAATAACAGCAAAAGGGGCTAATTTTTTTGTAATTGTATACACTACATTTTCAGGCATCTTTATGATAAGAGAGAGTTTGCAGTCTGATGAGGTGTTGTGAGAACTGAATCTTCCACTTACAACTTTCCACATCTGCTGTTTGAAAGAATTCTCTATATACAATCTTTGGCTTGATACATTTCAGACTTTATTTCTCCTCCACTTTCCATCTGTAACCGGTGCTGGGAGCTGAAGGACACGTTCTCATTTCCCCATGACCTCCAGCCTCGCATCTGATACTAAGCAGTGGGTGCGTCAGCACAGCGGTGACAGGGAGTATTTCAGAAAGCCATTTGTGCTCTGGAATGGCTGGCAGTAACATAACTATGCGTAGAGGTGGCTGTGACCTACACAAATATATATCTTCATGAACACAAGCTAAACTTGTCACTCATTCATCTTTCCCTTAACTGCATTCCAGAAATGCCTGCAGCCCCCTCCAATGCTGCCCCACCCAAAGAGTTATGTGAGGGAGTGGGAATCCGAGTGAAAGAGGCCGCATTCTAAATCGCAAAGCCTTATCAGCTTTGCAAATTTTACAGTGACAGGTGACCATGTAAACACATTGGCAAGACTCCTCCAGGGCCCTGGAAGGGGCCAATGCAAGGGACAGGTCCTGAGGTTAAGCTTCATTGACCTCATGGTGAAAGGGAGGTCTCTAGTCCATGGAAGAGAAAGAGCTATAGCTCTCAACATTCTGGACAGAATGTAGCATGCAACTGCAAGGGCAGAGTTGAGGCTGTTGTCTGGATAAACTGAGAAGCAAGAAGTCTCAGGTGCTTAGTCCAGGTCAGGTCAGTGGTTTCACCAGCAGTTTCCAGCAGAGGTAACTGCAGTAGCGTGCACTAGAGTAGGCGTCCTGCTACATTGGACTGCCTGGGAGAGAGGGCCTTGTGGTGCTAACTGGGTGTCATCATGTCTTCTGTCCACTGAAGCTCATCCTTCATGGGCCAAGACACCAATGAAAAACCAAGTTACCAATTCCTTGAAATGATGTCACTAAAAAGCAATCACTTTGTTACAATTTAAACATAATATTTGCATCTAAATTTGGACTATTGCATCCTAACAAATATTTATGTTCTGTACACATCAACTAATATTAGAGACAGTCTGGTGAACAAAGAGAGAACATCTTATTAAAAGTAAAATTCTCAGCCAGATGTGGTGGCTCACACCTGTAATCCCAGCACTTTGGGAGGCCGAGGTGGACTTCAAGACCAGCCTGGCCAACATAGTGAAACCCCATCTCTACTAAAAATACAAAAATGTGTCAGGCATAGTGGTGCGTGTCTGTAATCTCAGCTACTCAGGAGGCTGAGGCAGGAGAATCACTTGAATCCGGGAGGCAGAGGTTGCAGTGACCTGAGATGGTGCCACTGAGCACTAGCCTGGTGACAGAGCGAGACTCCATCTCAAAAATAAATAAATAAATACAAATAAAAGTAAAATTCTCATGGTGGTTCAGATCCCACACGGACAGCCATTGTCCTGGGGTCCCGTTTCCAATTTATCCTAATGGTGTGTTTTACGATATGAGCTTGAAGAAAAGTAATAAAAAGTTTTTTTTTAAGTATTCTGAAATCTGATTTTTTAATCAAGTCAGTTCGGTGTTTGACTCTCTATAGAACTCAGACTCTTAGGGCAATGAGTCCCATCTGTGTCTCCTGCTTTCCATTCTTTCTTCAGTCTCCATATTTGCATTTCTGCCCTATTACAACAGCCTTTTAATCAAGCTCTCAGAATCCGGATCTCGCTCCCCTAGTCCACCCTATACTTTGTTGCCACTTAAATCCTCTGAACTGGCCTTGATTAGGTTCTCCCTTCCTTGCCAGCTTCACTGGCTCTCCCCTGACCACTGCAGGCTAGCGGTGGTGCCCAGGACGCTGTGTCCATCCTGCAGTCTTGAGGGGAGCACACTGAGGACAATGCTGCCACAATGAGGATGGCAGAGAGGAAAAATGGAAAGAGCCTCAATCACGGAGACTCAGTCAACCCTGGAGCTGCTCTACCTTGGGACTTCTTAACGTGTGTAAAATGACATTTTCCTCATTGTCGAAGCCATTTTGATCATTTTCATTTGTAAATGAAAATTTACATTTTCTGTAAATTGTAGCCAAAAGCATTGAAAATTACAGAGCTATTTTGCTAACTTGGGCAGGAAGAAGGAGCAGGATATACCATGTCCACTTGGTATTTTTAGACATCACATAGAGATAGTACATAATGATGGAAGAAATACATGCAAAAAAGAAGCAGTTATGAAATCAGTCCCTATGGAGCTAAAGTAGGAGCTTTTCTAAGGCAAAAGTCTGGGTTTATGAGAGGTGTTGCTGAGTAAAAAGCAACAAGAACTCTGCAGAGGTTATCTGTGGCTTTGTTCTATTGAGGACTTCTTTTGCTCTTCCTTTTTGCTCTGTTCTACGGGGCATCATTCCTTGTGATTCAGGTAAGGCTGAACCTGTCACAGGAGTGGGCTGGAGAGGGAGGCCTGGCCAGCAGGACGTGGCACCCCTCAAGCCACAGTGATTGGTTGAGAAATAGGCATGTGGATTTTCACTAAGATTTGATATGGTTAAAATAGACCCTGGGAGAAAGAAAGGGTGCTCCTCTCCCTACCCCCGGGGTCATGGGTCGTAAGGTTTCTATCCAGAGGAGAGAGCCCTGTGAAATTAAAGCCAGTCAGAACTCAGAGGAAAGTTGCACTGAAAGATGGGGAAGATAGAGCCCCTGAGTGCAGCCAAGCCTGAGGCCAAAGTCTACCTTTAGACTTGTCATGACCATGAACACATTTTGTCCTTGGTGTGCGTGAGTCAGTTTGCACTGATTTTCTGTCAGTGGAAGAGGGAGGCCCTGGATCTGCCATTGTGATCAGAGTGAGACCAGGTGGAGAAAAATGTGCAGGAGATAAGAAACCGTGAAGGCATCATGAGGCCTGCTGCAGTAGTCACAGCCTGATAAGTAGACAAGCACAGGTTTGGAACTGATTTGAGTTTTAATACCAATTTTGTTACTTACCACATTGATGAATCTGAGAAGGCCACTTACACATTCTGAGTCTCAGTTTTTTCATCTATAATATGGGAAGACACTACTACTTGCCTTACAAATTTGTTGTTAGAATTAAGACAACATATGTAAAATACCTAGTACAGAAGCAGGCAGATAATGCTCGCTTAAGAGATGTTAGTTCCCAGCATCATAGAAAACACGTATCAAAGTTACTGCAATAAAAATGTTGAAATTTACTACAAACGTTCTTCGGATTTTCCTTTCTCCTTACCACCTTTTGCTTTTATCTCTTTCTCTGGCTATTTAATCCTAGTAGTTTCCATTGAAAATAATAGCTCCCATTATTAGAACATGTACTTTGTTCTAGTACTTTACATACATTATCTCTAATTTTGACAGTTATGAATCAAAGCAGGTAGCAACCATTTTACAGGTTGGGAGACGTGTGTTCAGAGAGATTAGTGACTGGTCTACCCTGTTAGTATAAGACAAAGCCAGGACAGCATTTTGATGCAGCTGGTGGGGGAGGAGAAACCCCAGTGGCGTTGTTTACTGTTGGAATTTTTCTTTCTCAGGAGAATTATGAAAGACATACTGTTGTTTTAAATTTCAAACCACAGTTACCTGTGTAACTAAAGAACCTGTAAGTCCCTCAATAGGAAAAAGTGGAAACTGACCCAGAGGATGCCAGACAGAAGGATATATCCAATTGCAGTTCTTACCAGCATACAGGTAAGAGAATGTTCTTGAACTTCACATAGGTTAATCCAAAATTGAGATTTTTAGATGAAATTAATTCCAATTAAATTAAAAAAATACTTTAGAATTATGGAGGTAGAAGGTGAGATGCAAGCTAAGTGGACTTTTCTTTCATTATTATAAAAATGTGCAAAGCCCAAATATCTACCATTATCTTCACGAACCCCTTTCTCCCTTCCCACTGCAATCTGTTTTTTCTTTTTTTAATATAGGTGATCCAATTCTGATCTGCTTCACTGTCTTCATTAGGGCATAATGAAACTATTTTTGTTCCTATGGAAACATAAAAGCTGCAAAGACATGTCCGAGGATGTTGGTTGCAGTCTGTTTATAATAACAAAAAAGTGCCTGTCTTTATTGCTGATGTCCAGCAATAATGGGAGTATTTCCCTAAGTGGAATGCTATGCTCCAGCTAAAAGAAGAGATAGGGCTATAGGTACTAACATAGGATGATGTTGACAATATATTCATATGTTTCAAAAGTTAAGTTGCAGGATGATACTTAGGATATAACCTTATTTTTATATAAAAATAAAGAGAAAAGAATTTTTATAAAGGAAAAACCTAGAAGGAAGAACACCAACCTATTACTAGTGGTTATTGAATTATCATTTGGAGTGGTATCACAAAGGACTTTTTTTGCTTTAAACATTTCTATATAATTGTGAGATTAGGGCCTTTTTTTTTTAAACAACGAGCCAGTTTTATTTCTATATTCAGAAAATAAAATTAAGATTTTTTAAAGTTGAAATTCACATCAAATTGATCAGTACTCAAGAGGGTATGATAAGCTATTAATTGATATTGTTGTGAATATTAGTCTCTGTATTCTATATACTTTGTCCTGTGTTTGTTTCCACAGCCCAGAATCATTTTTCTAATTATTGACTGTGTGTGAAGTTTTCCCCCTTGCGTAACAGCCTGCTGGCCTTGGAACCCAGCCACTCTGTCTCCTGATGTACTGGCGCTTCCTTTGTCTTAACTTGGAAAGATCCCACCCAGGGTATTACAGCCACTTTGTTCTTCTATCTGTAAGATATCAATATCACATCTATGGTTCCCAAGTACAATTAAAGCAAGATTAAGTTTTTAAAAAATTGGCCAGGTACTGCGGGTCGTGCTTGTAATCCCAGCACTTTGGGATCACCTGGGGTCAGGAGTTTGAGAACAGCCTGGGCAATATAGCAAGACCCCATCTCTATTAAAAATAATAATCATAAGTTTTTTTCTCCCTGAATATTTAGATCAGATACTTACTTTACCTTCATTCTCTAACATGTATTCTGCACCTGCCTCTTGCCAAGCACTTGATAGGTGAGGCACAGTCTTTGTGCCAAGGTGCGGAAAGCATCCTGGTAGAGACAGACAGGTGGGCAGCAAGAGTGACAACACAAGGTGACACCTGTATTGTTACATATGCTGTCTTAGAACCCAAATGTGTGTCTGTATTAGATGCTGGAAGGGCAAAGATGAGTAAGATATGATCCCTGACCTCTAGAGGCTTATAGTCTAAGCAGATATCCAATAGAAATATGATACAAACCATACAGGTAATTTACATTTTTCTAGTAGTCACATTAAAAAAAGAAATAGAAGAAATTAATTTTAATCATATATTTAACTCAATATTTCTCTAATATTATCTTGTTTAATTTTTATTTTTTCTGTTTCTCTTTTTTAAATTTTTAAAAATATGTATTTATTTATTTATTTGCTTATTTTGGGGACAGCGTCTCACTCTGTTACCCAGGTTGGAGTGCAGTGGCTCAGTCATCGTTCACTGCAGCCTCAACCTTCTGGGCTCAGGCAATCCTCCTGCCTCAGCCTCCTGAGGAGCTAGGACTATAGGCACCTGCCATGATGCCCAGCTAATTAAAAAAAATTTTTTTTAGATACAGGGTCTCCTTGTGTTGCGCCAGGCTGGTCTCAAACTCCAAGTGATCCTCCTGCACCTAGGCCTCCCAAAGTGCTATCATAACAGGTGTGAGCCACCACACCCAGCCTATAATATTATTCCACCATATGATCAAGAGAAACATGATCATTGAGGTATTTTATATTATCTCTTTCATACTATTTCACATGTAGTATGTATCTGATATTTACAACACATCCCTATTCAGACTAGACACAGTTCAAGTGCTCAGTAGGCATGCGTGGTCAGTGGCTACCACATTGAACAGGGCAGATCTAAGGGGAAGATGAACTTATAAATAGATCATTTTGCAACAACATATTCAGAGCTCCCATAGGGCATGCCTAGCCTAGGTTGCGGTGGGGGATAGTCCTCACTTACTGGGGTGGGATGTGTGGGGGAGGGGGGAAGGGTCAGGGAAGGCTTCCTGGAGGAAGTGGCATGTGATCAGAGGTAGCCAGATGCACTATGGGAAGACCATGTTTAGAGGTGAAATAGACCTGAAGATGTGCTCAGTGGCTTCAAACACTGCAGTGCATGAAGGGCTCATCACTACTTTGGTGGTTATAGCTTAAAAAGTAAAACAGAAAAACATAATTTTTTTTTAAGGGACGCTTTTAGAAGATAGGACAGGAATGAGGTAGAAGGGGAAGTGCAGAGGAAGGCCAGTAAAGAGGGAAGCTTTACTACTCAAGGGTAAACTTGACCTGAGACCAGAAACATGAGGAGCATTTTGCCTGGGCAGTGCCCAGTTAGTGGAGGGCAGGCCGGATTTCAGCCCCTGGTGGGCCCCGCAGCCAGGCCTTTTATGGATTCCATGGGCTGCACAAACTTCTATGGTGGCATTCATTCTGCTGTTCTGTTATGCTGCTCCCTCTTAGGCTGGGCTGTTTCTCCACATTTGCATGAAAATAAGTGTACTGGAGCTGGTTAGAGAATGTGACTCTGATTACTTTTTTCTGGGGTTTGTCTGTAGGTATAAGTTTCTAAGTGTGCTTGAACCTTGCTGAAGTGTCCCATAAGGACCAGGGAAAAATACAGTCCATGCCTTCTGGGGGCCTGTCTTTCCAAACACTAGCCTTAAACTGGCACTGCCATTTGAAGGGCATCTGTGCTTACAGACCTGGAGAAGGAATGCCACGTGTGCTCAGCATGTGTCTAGGCTGCGGTTATCTGAGCAGGACACCAATCCACTGTGCAACCTTCGACCAGTCACCTTGCCTCTGTGCGTTTCCTCTCCTCCTCTGTGAAAGTTGAGGTTGGGATAGATGACAAAGCTCACGGTGTTGTGACTAGGAATCTGTAACTAACTGGAGCAAACTTGCCCTTAGCAAACAATGCCCTAGGCTGTCCCCAGTCTACGGCCCCCAACCATGACACACACAAAGCTGAACATTTGGTCCTCCCAACCTCTCCTGAACAAGTGCTTGCTGAAACCCAGGGAAATCCGGTTTCAGAAATTTCCTTATGCAACAGTTTTTCCTCACTTTACGCTGCTGGTGCTTTAAGAAACACAATATTGGCAAAATGGATTATGCTCAGAATAATTCCTAAGAACTGGATGGACCAGTTTGGTGAGAAGCCCAGGGCACCTTCAATTAGGGACTGGCATCTCTGTCCTCCCCCAGTGCTCCCCTCTCACTGGGGTGTAATGGGATGACAACCAGGAGTCAGGCTAGGTCACAGGATGAGAAGTATGCACTGGCTGAAGCCGCCTGGGACAGCTGTAGAGTACCCTCGCCTTGGCCTCGGCTCACTGAGGCTTTAATAATGCAATAATAACCAGCTTCTAAAGCACACAAGGCTTTTAGAAAGAAGGACATAAAAGCAACTTTGTTCTGTTCTTGCCCAGAACAGCACACATCCACAGGTGTTCCCACAGAAGCTGGCCACGTGGCTGCGGCTGTTGTTGGATTTCCCCCCTTCTCCCTTACTGAGGCGCTATAGATAGCTTAGAATGAAAACGGCACCCAGAAGAGACACTTTAAAAAGAGAGGAGAAGGCCGGGCGTGGTGGCTCATGCCTGTAATCCCAGCACTTTGGGAGGCCAAGGCAGGCGGATCATGAGGTCAGCAGTTCAAGACCAGCCTGGCCAACATAGTGAAACCCCATGTTTACTAAAAATACAAAAATTAGCCGGGTGTGGTGTCACACACCTGTAATCCCAGCTACTTGGGAGGTTGAGGCAGGAGAATTACTTGAACCTGGGAGGCAGAGGTTGCAGTGAGCCCAGATGGGGTTTGAGGGTGGGGAGAGAAAGAAAGCAGAAGAGGGAAGAGCAGACTGGTGAGCTGGATGTGCTTTCTGCTGAGCGCTTCTCTTCCAAAGACTGCTGGCCCCTGCAGGGTGCTGCGTCCACTCCATCAAAAAGTCATCATCAGCCCGGTGTGACCCTTACTGCAGTCAGAGCGTGGGTGGCTGCACAGACAAAACCATTTCTCCTCCATGCTCTGCATTCGGCAGGCCTCATCACTGCGTATCCCGCGGAGGGGCAGCCAGTGCTCAGCTCACCCTCCCTGCCACTGGGACCCTGCCCCGCCTCCCTCCTCTCCAGCTTCCCCACCCCCACTTGCCCAAATGCCTAGGTTATATAGTGGCTTCTTCATCCCTAGTTCTTTCATTTTGTTCTTTGCAGAAGGAAAACCCCTCTGCTTAGGGTGGAAACCACTCTCCACTATGTAAAGTCCAAATTGAGAACTGGATGGTGGATGGGATTAACCCAAATGGACCCACTTCTGCCTCTTGTGTTACAGAATGAGAAACAGAGGCCAGAGAGCAAAGTGATGGGGCCAAGGAGACATAGCTGGGGCCATGTTGGGAGCTATTAAGCCCTATGTTTATTGCTATGTGTGTGCAAAAACAACAAGGTGCTTTATTTATAACCTCAATTGTCATCGTAAGGAGTGTGGGCCCTATAAACTGTGCTGGGGGAGGAGTGGGCCTTTATTTAAACTGTATTGTGGGTTGATAAAGAAACACTTGGTGGCTGTCCAGCAGTGGAGGAATTTGCAGAACATGTATGTCTAGTAGGTCTTTTTTTTTTCTTTAATTATTTGCTGTGGAGTCCTTCTTCTCTCTCCCTCATGAAACTGTCAGGAGATTCTCCACTGTTCATTAATGTTCTATGAGTGGATCTTGGCGAGGCATTCAAAGAGTTGCTGAGATCTGTGTCCAAGTTGACATGCCATGAACAGACAGCTACTACAAATGCCTGGTGGAGAGAATGAGGAGTCAGCTGTCACATGTCTACATGTGACATCTGGGTGCTACATGGAAGTCCATAGGGGGCTGACAGCCCTTGTCATAATGGCCTATTTAGAACTGATTTTGAGTTTGCACGTGGTCTTATAGCTGTTTCCAGACAGTCAGAAAGAGTTGCAGCATTTCCCACAGCTGCATGCTAGGCGAGATATCTTTGGCTGTCTTTCTCAGCTTCTGGGCTGTCTGGACGGAAGCCTCCCTCAGGCCATTCTAATTTGCAGTTCCATTTACCAGTGGGCTGCTTTCATGTTCCTCTCTCGGCCAAACATTACTCCTACATGCTCACTCCATCATTGTGGGGCTGGGACAACGCATGCTTCAGCATTGGAAAATGGAATGTCTTTCAAAAAATTCATTATTTTAAAAATACTATATTGATGGCTCCTGCTTCCTGTTCCAAACTGCTGTGGTTTCCTATTGCCTATGATATCAAGTCTGAAGTCTCAATCCTGTTATTTAAAGTTGTTTACTTTTTGGCTTTAACTCACATGCATTCATTTATTCATTCATTCACCAAATACCACTTTGGCCTACAAATTTAAGGTGCTCCAGTAGCTTTTGTCTCCTACTTAAAATAATTTCCTTTCTACCCTTCCCTGAGGAGTCCATGAGAAATTTCATCTTTATGCTGCCATCCATACTAACCTGGGCTCCTGGATTTCTCTTTCCCTCTGCTCTGCCTAGTCGAATCCATTTCCTTTAGCTCTTAGCTAGCAAGGAATAGCACTCAAACAGTCACCTGGAAAAGAAGTTCAATGAGTGGCTGTAAGGCTATACCTGGATTTAGACCAGAGCTGGCAAGATATCAAGTTGCAAGGCAGATCCAGGGACTAGCTGCTCCACCTCTCTTGTTTTGGCTGAATGGTCTCTATTTTTCTCATGCTATTGTCACTTATGTGGAGTGTTTGCTCCTCTATTGACCAGCTCGTTCTATCTACTCATGACTTTGGCTTACTTATGGTTTTGGCTTGCCCTGGACTCTCTGGTTCCTCCGTTACCTTAAGGTAATACTGGAGGCAAGTCTTTTAGCATCTGCCTGTGCTGCCAGCTCTCTCATTTTGGTTTTTCAATTTCAGATTCCAGAAGGGAATCTGGTTGATGCAGATTATCTTTTTATGTGGGTCCAAGTTGTAGGTCTCAGGCTGCCCAAGTATGAACCACACCCTTGGATCAGACGCTCTCTCTGGTTACTCAATCTTGGCTGGTGGACAAGGATCCAACTCTCTCAGTGGGGACCGGAATTGGGATATTTCCATATGGGTAGCTTCAGGCATGAGCTGGCACACACCTTGATTACAATGGCCTTGAAAGCCTAGCTCATGTAATTGCTGGGCATAGTGGCTTATGCCTGTAATCCTAGCACTTTGGGAGCCTGAGGCGAGCCGATCACCTGAGGTCAGAAGTTCAAGACCAGCCTGGCCAACATGGTGAAACCCCATCTCTATTAAAAATACAAAAATTAGCCGGGTATGGTGGTGCATGCCTGTAATCCCAGCTACTCGGGAGGCTGAGGCACAAGAATCACTTGAACCTGGGAGGTGGAGGTTGCAGAAAGCTGAGATCATGCCACTGCACTCCATCCTGGGTGACAGAGTGAGACTCTGTCTCAAAAAAAAAACAAAAAACAAAAAACAAAAGCCTAGCTCAGGTCATATGTCCTCTGTATTTCTCTTCTCAATTACCTCTTCACTTATTTAGTATTTATAATATTGTATTTTTAGTTATTCATGTCCATGCATTTGTCTTTTGTAACCTAGATGATTAATAACTTAAGTTCTGAAACTTAGAAGCCCAAGAACCATAAAACCAAGGCTAAATGACCTCCTAACCTGAATTCTTAGTGGCATTATGATTTCAAATATTCTCTAGTACTGTCCCTGGAAATTGTTGAAATATTTCAAGAATTCCAATGTTTTTGAACTTTTGTCTGCTTCTCAGAATATCTCATATGTGGAAGTGACACAAAAATTTTATGTCTCAATTTTTGAGGTTGAAAACATGGCTGCTGTATTTCCTAAATGTGGTGATGGAGGGTAGTTGACACTGGAGAGAGAATAAAGAAGCAGAATGTTTGGTTGGGTAACTCATTGACTATAGGGGAAGAGGAAGAGTATAAACTTTATTAATAGAATTACCCATGTTTTCAGCTTGGGTGCTTAGATGGAAAATGGGAAGAGAATTCTAAAATCATAAAAAGGGGGGAAGGTTGAATGTGATCCATATTTTATAGACCTTCAATATTACATTGATAATATTTATTTAGTGCTCACTCTTCATCATGCACTGGGCTAGGGCAGTTGATACCAACATGAATAAGACAGAGTACCTGCCATTGAAGTGTTCTGTCCAGAGGGGGAGATATTTAGAAAAACAAAAGATTATAATTTAATATAATGTGCTAAGTACCATAATGAAAAGAGACTCGTGCAAGATATAGTGGTAGGCCAAAAAGAGGAATAATCTAGACCTCTTGGGAAGATCATAGGAAATTTAAGAGGAGAAGACACTTAAGAAGAGCTGGGAAGGATGATCAGGTGATTGGGGAGGGCATTCTTGACATCAGAAATATCTTTTGAAAGGTCGAGATAACACTCAGAGGACTGATAGGAAATGAAGCTGAGATCAGATCCTAGAGAACCTTAAAAGGCAAGCTAGTGAGGCTGGGTTTTATTCTCCAGAAGAACGGGAGCCATTGAAGAGTTTTAAGCATGATAGTAAGGTGGGCAGATTTGCAGTTATAAAATGATCACTCAGGTAGCAGTGTGAAGGATGAATTAGATGGGGATGAGACAGAAGGCAGAGAGCATGGTTAGGAGGTTGCTGCAATAGTTCACCAGAGAGATTAAGAAAGTTGGATCTGAGGGAGCTGCAGTAGTGAGAGAAGAGAAGAGAAGGCTGGAGAGATGTTACAGAAATAGAACGCATAAGACTTGGCAACTGACTAGATGGAAGGATGGGAAAGGAGTCCTGTGTAATTGGGCAGATGGTGATAATAATATCTAGAACCAAAAATACAGAAGTTGGTTTTGGACAAACTAATGTTCTCCATCAGATTGCTGTTTCCCTGAGAACAGGGACTGTGTTTTATTCACTTTTACATTACCTGTACCTAGTACAGTGTATGGAATGCCTACTGATTAGAGTTTTGAGCATGTGGATTTAAAACATCTGAGGGATATCCGGGTAGACACATCTAGTACTCAGCTTTGAAATTCAAGTGAGAGAGAGATCTGAGCTGGAGAGGCACATTTGGGAATCATCATATATAATGATGAGTGAGCTCACTAAGGGAGTAAGACCAAAGGATGGTTGGGTAGAAGACCTTGAGTAATAGCAATATTTAAGGGGCAGGAAAAAGAAGAGGAACCATTTGCAAAAATGAGAACATGGTGTCATGGCGTCATGGAAGCCAAAGTGCAGACAGTATGCAGAACATGGAAGAGGTAAACAGGATCAAAGGTCACTAAGAGGTCATAGCTCCCAGGAAGTATCAACGCAGTTAACTGGCTGGGCTCTGGCCTCAGAATAATAGATTGCCATTCTAGCAAACCCAGTCCACGTAGACAGTCTCAGGCCCACGGCCTCACTTTCCTCATTCAAGAAGCCATAGCATCAGAAGACTAAATCTGTCCTGCTTTTCACACAATGCTCTTGTAAGGGTTGAATGAGATAATATGGTAGCAGCTCATAAAATTTTTGGCTTCAGGACTACTTTATACTCTTAACTTATCAATAACACAAACAAGCTTTGGTTTGCATATATCTGTCAAGATTTTCCATATTATAAATTAAAATAAGAAATTTTAAAAAGTCAACTCATTTAAAATTAGCAATAATAAACCATTCTATGTTAACATAAATATTTCATGAAGTATCACTATATTCTCAAAAACAACTTAGAGAAAAGAGTGGCATTGTTTTATAGTTTTGTAAATTTCTGGAATGCCTGGCTTATTAGAAACAGCACTTTCTCCTACCTGCATCTGCATTCACTCTGTTATGATATCACATGTCATGTAACCTCTAGAAAATCCTATTGTACTCTTATGAGAGAATAAAAGCCACAAAGGGCAAATAACAACTTGGTATTCTTATAAAAATGGTTTTATTCTTAAGGATCACCTGAAAACATCTCAGTGATGCTCAGATATTCCCAGACCACAGTTTGAGAATTGCTGATGTATGTGAATTCACGTTGGAAGCTAGAAAGTTCACAAAATGGTGTTTTGATCACCCTGAAAACCTATACCCTGGGAATCAAAAAGGAATCTCTCTCACGTGGCTACAGTTTGCCCCCAGAAGAACATTGTATATGAATAACATTGTTCCAAACAGGCCAAGATAGAGTTTCTAGTGCAGATTTCTTACTTTCTCCTTCCTGGCAATTAAATGAAAAATGTAAATGAGAATGTGCTATAAAAAGGCAGGCTGTTAATCCAAACTGTAAGTTAAGATCTTGTTATTTCCAGGCCAACCACAAAGAAAATAACTCTCTCTCTCTAAATATACATATATATCTCCTTGCTCTCTCTCTCTCTCTCTCTCTCTCTCTATATATATATATACGTATATATATATATAGCGGCAGCAGCAAAGAAATATTTTGTGCTAGAAAATATCTATTTAACACAAAAGAAAACAGAGAATCAGTAATGAAGGAATAAAGGAACAAAAAAATACGCAAGGTATATGGAAAAATAAACAGCAAAAGCACAAATTAAATTCTACCTTGTCAGTAATTACTTAAATGTAAATGAACTAAACTTCAAGAAAAAAGCAGAAGTTGGCAAAATGGATTTTAAAAATCCTTAATTCAATTATATGCTGTCTAGAGGAGACACACTTTAGATTCAAAGACACACATAGGTTGAAAATAGAAAGGTAGGAAAAAATATAACATGCAAACAGTACCCAAAAGAGAGAGAAAGCAGACAGAAAAGAAAGTAGTAAAACTGTCTTTATTTGCAGATGACATGATCTTGTATAAAAAGAAATCCTAAGGAATCCCACTAAAAATTATTAGAACTAATAAACAAGTTCAGAAATGTTTCAGGATACAAGATCAATATACCAAAATCAATTGTATTTTTATACACTAGCAATGAACAATCCAAAAATGAAATTAAGAAAGTAATTCCATGCACAATAGAATCAAAAAGAATAAAATATTTAGGACTAAATTTAATAAAATTAATGCACTACTTGTACACTGAGAAATGCAAAACATCATTGAAAAAAGTAATAGAAGTTTTAAATGAATGGAAAGATGTACTGTGCTCATGGATTAGAAGGCTAATATTAAGATAGTAATATTCCCAAAATTGATCTTCAGGTTCAGTGCAATCTCACTCAAAGTCCCAGCTGCCTGTTTTTTGTTTTTTTTTTTAAAAAAAACATATATAGACAAGCGAATTCCTCAACTTCATATGGAAGTTCAAGAGACCCAGAATAGTCAATGCAATCTTGAGAAATAAGAACAAAGTTGTAGGACTCATATGTCCTGATTTCAAAACGTACTACAAAGCTATAGTAATGAAGACAGTATGGTACTAAAATAAGCATAGACACATAGATTAATGGAATAGAATTCACAGTCCAAAAAAAAGTCCCTTACATTTATGGTCAATTGATTTTTGGCCTGGCTGAAAAGCCAGTTCAGTGGGGGAAATAATATTCTTTTTAACAAATATGCTGGGACAACTGGATATTCACACACAAAAGAATAAAGTTGGGTCCCTACCTCACACCATATAAAAGTTGATTAAAAATGGATCATATACCTAATGTTAGAGCTAAAAGTATAAAACTCTTAGAAGGAAACATATTTGTAATCTTTGTGATCTTAAATTAGGTGATTTGTTTTTAGATATGAAATCAAAAGTACAAGCAACAAAAGAAAAATAAGTAAATAAGTTAAAAATGTTGGTGCTTAAAAGAACACTTTTAAAAAAGTAAAAAGTTCACTCACTAAATTTGCAAATTATATCTTTGATAAGGGACTTAGTTCTAGAATATATAAAGAACTCTTACAACTCAACAATGAAAAGACAATCTAATTAAATGAGCAAAGGATACAAACAGACATTTCTTCAAAGAAGATATGCAAAAGGCAATAAGCACATGAAAAGATACTCAATATCATTCACTACCAGAGAAATGTAAATCAAAACCACAATGGAATACTGCTTCATACCCATAGGATAGCTATAATTAGTGTTGGAAAGATGTGAAGAAATGGGAACCCACATATTACTGGTGCGGATGTTATATAGTACAATCACTTTGAAAATAGAACAGATAGAATAGTAAAGAATAAAGGGATATGTAGAATAAAGAACTCTTCTTTCTGGCAGTTCCTCAAAAAGCTAATCATAGAATTACTGTATGACCCAGCAATTCCACTTCTGGGCATATAGCAAAGGGAAATGAAAGCATGTGTTCATACAAAAAATGTACCTGAATGCTCATAGCAGCATTATTTATAATAGCCAAAATGTAGAAAGAGCCTGATTTTCCATTAACTGATATACAGATAAATAAAATATGACACATCCACACAATAGAATATTATTTGGCTATAAGGAAAACGAAGTACTGATACATACTACAATGTTAATCAACCTTGAAAACAGTATGATGTAAGTGAAAGAAGCCAGACACCAAAGACACTTATTGAATGTATTCATATGAAATGTCTAGAATAGGCAAATCCATAGAAACAGAGTAGATTAGTGGGTGCTAGGGCTGCAGTGGGTAATTACTGCAATGACTGTGATTTCTTTCTGTGGTGATAGAAATGTTATGGAATTAGACAGTGTGATGGTTGTAAAACTTTGTGAATATATGAAAAGACACCAAATTGTACCATTTAAAAGGGTGAATTTTACTGTATGTGAATTTTATCTCAATAAAGCCATTTTTTTTTTTAACGCTAGGTGTTTTTGCACTTATCAGCAGTGTTACTTTTGTCTTCTTCCAGCCCATCCTCTATCTTTGTTGCCATAATCTATACAGTTCCCAGGAGTCTAGAAGTTTGCTTCCAAGGAGTCCAAATCTGAGTTCTTTCTAATTTGGACTGTGGATGAAGATGCCGGTGGAGGTGGAAAAGGGATCAGAGGATGGAGTTTACATTGTGATTCTCTCCTTGAGCTTTGGCAAGTCACCTTGTTTCTCTGAACTTCAGGTTTCTGTTCTGAGAATAAAAATGACCCTGGCCCTATGCACCTTTCAGGGTTGTAAGTGACAGCAGATACCCTGTGAGCAATCTACTTACTAATTAATCCTTACTAAACTGTAAGCACTTCACAAATATTAGTCTTCATGATCAGGATTTCCATAGCTTGATGCCAGGGTTTAAGGATTATGAGGGGAGATATAACCATCATCCCAGGCCTCTTTAATCACAAAACCCTAAGGAAGAACTGCTGGATCTCAAGTTTTACTATTGTTGCCCTGAGCTGCCTGGGAAAAATGGTGATACTCTCTAGCGCCTGAGAGATGGCTGTTATTATTTTAAGTGTTTATTTAGATTATCTTTCTTTTGAGGATTTTCACTTATTCAACCCACTGCTTTGCTTTTTTTTGTTTATTTATTTTTGGTGTTTAAAAGCATTGTTTATGAAAGCAAGGCATTCTTGAGCTTTGATCAAACGTTGATACATGTGGATCATGGATTAAAGATTTACTCAACAGAATGATTCCTGACTGCCTTTCTAGAAGGAACACAATGGGTAGCATAGATTTTAATGTCAGCCTGGGTTTAAATTCCAGTTCCACGACTTTCTAGCTTTAAGACCTTGAGCAAATTTCATTATTTAACATCTGTGAGCCTCAGTTTCCTTATCTATAAAACAAAGATTTCCAACTTCATTGGATTTTTGTGAGGATGAAAAAAGACGATACTTAGCCCAGGGTGCAGAATGCAGTAAGAAGTTAATAAATCTAGCTGTTATTACTGGGCCTGGACAATGAGTGATCAAGGTCAGAGTCTCAGCTTAGGAAAGAGGGTGGCAGGGCTGGCTTTGGCAAACTGGAAGGAAGAGGATTTGACAGTTATCAATTGCCTACTTTGTGCCAAGTACTTTTCCATATGCTCTGTCCCTTGATCTTCACAACTCTGAAATAGAGCTATTAATTCATATTTACATGTGACAAAACAGAGGCTCAGAGAGATTAAATAATTTGTGTAAAGTCACACACATTATTAGTTGTCTATTTGAGTCCAAGCCTGACTGATTCCCAAGTCCAGGGTCTTTCTTTTATTCTGTGTGACCCCAACCCTTTCATGTTGCCTTGCATGGGCCCCATAACTAAACTGGACTGCCCATTCCCAAGTACCTTCACCTGTCACATCTCTCTCCTCCTCTTGCCTCCACCCCCAACCCAGCCAACCTCTGGATGCATGCCTCGCTTTCAGGTGTTTCAGGCAGAGCAGGACTTGCATGTGATGGGATGCTGTAGAGCTGGCCAAGGGCTGAATGAAGGGTTGAACCAGATTAACAAAGGTCTCTCCAACCTTATTCATCTTTCAAGACTCCTATCAAATGCCTTCTCTGAATCCTCCAGGGGGAATTAGTTCTTCTTTCCTTTGTTCTCCCATAGTATCTTATCTAGACCTCTGTTAATATATTTACCATTTTATTTATTTATTAATTTTTTGAGACAGAGTCTCACTCTGGTTGCCCAGGCTGGAGTGCAGTGGCTTAATCTTGGTTCATGGCAGACTCGACCTCCCTGGCTCAGGTGATTCTCCCACCTCAGCCTCCCGAGTAGCTGGGATTACAGGCATGCACTACCATATCCGGCTTTTTTTTTTTTTTTTCTTTTTTTTTTCTTTGTATGTTTAGTAGAGACAGGGTTTTGCTACTTGCCCAGGCTGGTCTCAAACTCCTGGACTCAAGCAATCCACCTACCTTGGCCTCCCAGAGTGTTGGGATCAGAGGCATGAGCCACCGCGCCTGGCCATAATATTTAAACCATCTGTTTATTTGTCTTTCAAGCTGAGTAGAGTCTGTATCTTTCCCACCTCCTAATCTGCACCCTCAATTAAGAAGTATTTAATGGAGGCTAGATATGGTGACTCACACCTGTAACCATAGCAGTTTGGGAGGCCAAGATGGGAGGATTGCTTGAGACCAGGAGTTCAAGGCTGCAGTGAGCTATGATCACATCACTGCACTCCAGCCTGGGCAACAAAGTGAAACTATGTTTCTAAAAAAAACACAAAAAACAAAAAACAAAACAAAACAAAAAACAAGAATTATCTAATGGAGAGCTTCTAAACATTTTTCCAAAAAGTGAAAACAATCCAAGTGTTGATCAACTTATAAATAAATAAGTAAAATGTTGTATATTGATACAATGGTGTATTGTTTGGTAATAAAAAGGAATGAATTACTGATAGATGCTGAAAACATTATGCTAAGTGCAAGAAGTCAATCAAGAAAAGGCTGCATATCATATGGTTCCATTTATGTGAAATGTCCAGAACAGGCAAATCTATAGAGACAGTAAATAGTTTACTAGTTGCCTAGGGCTGAGGAGGTTGGGAAGAAATAGAGAGTGACTGATATGGGTACTGAGTTTTTATTAGGGGTGATGAGACTTCTAAAATTGGTTGTGGTGATGGTTGCACAATTCTATGAATATAACATAAACCTTTGAATTGTACACTAAATAGGTGAATTGTCTAGTGTGTGAATTATATTCCAAAAATACGGTTTTATATATATCTTATATAAAATATATGTAATTCATTACATATAATATGTATTTTATATATATAATAAACTGAGTAGAGTCTATATGTTTCCCATCTCTTAATCTACAGCCTCAATTAAGAATTATTTAATAGAGGCCAGGTGCGATGGCTCATGCCTGTACCCAGACTTTGGGAGGCTGAGGCAGGCGGATCACCTGAGGGCAGGAGTTTGAGACAAGCCAGGCTAACATGATGAAACCCCCGTCTCTACTAAAAGTCCAAAAATTAGTTGGGTGTGGTGGTGGGCACCTATAATTCCAGCTACTTGGGAGGCTGAGGAAGAAGAATTGTTTGAGCCTGGGAGGTGCAGGTTACAGTGAGCTGAGATCGCGCGACTGTACTCTGGCCTGGATGACAGAGTGAAACTCTGTCTCAAAAAAAAAAAAAAGATGTGGTGGCCTCCATTTTATATATATATATATATATATATATATATATATATATATATATATACACACACACACACACACACATATAAAATGTAATATATTAAATGGTCTCCATATATGTATAATATATATTATATATAGTGTATGTATATTTGTATACTATATATAAAATACATATTATATATTATATATAAAAATAGTATTATGTTATAGTAGTATATGTTATATATGTACTGTTATATATATAACAGAATACAACAGTATTATTGGAATATAATTCATATACTAGACAATTTATATATATATATATATAAAGCTAAATAAAGGGGAGAGAGAGCACATAGTTTATTCAGCAAAGGAAGGAAGTTCTTCATGGCTGGATCATTGAGCACAAGGAGAGGAGTTTGAGAAATGAAGCTGAGAGAAAGGAAGGGGCTGGGTCTCAAACGGCCTTGTTGAGCATGTTAAGGAGTTTTGATTGATTCCAATCCGAGGCCATGGAAAGATTTGCAAGGGTTTAAATAGAGGGATGACATACTCAGATGCACAGTTTAGAAAGATCTCTAGGGATGTGGGTGAAGGCAGGTCTGGGGAAAGTCAGCCTGGAGGCAGGGAGACAGACATAGGGGCCTTGTCACAGGCACCTGGGTGAAAGTCAACAGTGGAAGGAATCAGGGACAGTGTAAGTAGAAGCCATAGGTCTTGAGTGTGGTTGGCTGTAGGAGATGAGGATTGATGAGGGGAATGAAAGCTGTGTTTCAGCAAGGAGGAGTGGTTTAAAGTGTGGAGTTTCAGGTGCAGCCTTGGCAGGCTAACTGGCAGTGGCACAGATTAATATGAATCTCAGGACAGAGAACTGTGTTCTTGGCAGTGAAGTGAAGTCCTTGACAAGTGAGACAGAACAGAGGAGGAGGAGTTGAGTAAGGTAAGGAGACAAGAAGGGCTGGTCCCGTCTAAAGTGTTCCTATTGTTCTTCTCAGGATGGTTCTTTGAGGAGTTTGGTTTTCAAGGAATGGTTGGTTACAAAAAATAATAATAATAATACAAATTAAAAAAATAAAGGGAAGGACTTGGCTGATCTTTCCACTTTTTGTGGCTTACAGATTTCTTTCAAGTGTTGGCTCTGAATTTCATAACTTTTCTTTGGAGCCTGGGTTTCTTTCTTTCCCTTCCTTGAATCCTTTCTCTTTCTTTCTTTGCTTTCTCTTGTTCTCTTTGGTTTTTAAATTTAATCATTGACGGTGGCTAGGACCCTCTTGTGGGGAAAGTCTTTTGGTATTTGATCTGAAGCAGAGTTTTGGGATATCAAGTCCTGTGTTCTTCCAGGAAGGTTCCTGGAGTGCTCAGCTCAAGTGACTGCTGAAACGCTAGAAAGTTTTCTGCCTCACGGTTCATTAACCAGAAACATCCATTTCTTGCCTATCTCCAGGAGCCTGTTACTTCACTCAGTGTAAAAGACTTTGAAGTTTAGAAGTGGTAGTGCAATCCTTAACATAAGTCCTTTGAAAACCACTTTGGAAATCTGTTGGGCAGTATGCACCACGGCTGAACATGTGCATTCCCTGTAACCCAGCAAAGTCACTCCTAAGTATAGGCCCCACAGAAACCTGGACATATACTCATCAAAAGACAAGACTTGTAGTTGCACTATGGGTAATAACTATAAGCTGGAGAAAAACCAAATACCTATTGATAGTTGAATGGAGGAATAGATTGTGGTCTCTTCACACAATAGAATACTATACAATAGTAAAAATGAACCATCTACAACCACACACAAAGATATTGAGAGGTGACAACGTGCTAGCAGCCCTCGCTCACTCTCTGTGCCTCCTTGGCCTCGGTGTCCACTCTGGCAGCGCTTGAGGAGCCCTTCAGCCCGCCGCTGCACTGTGGGAGCCCCTCTCTGGGCTGGCCGAGGCTGGAGCTGGCTCCCTCTGCTTGTGGGGAGGTGTGGAGGGAGAGGCACTGGCAGGAACCGGGGCTGCGCACAGCGCTCGCGGGCCAGAGCAAGTTCCGGGTGGGTGGGTGCAGGCTTGGTAGGCCCCGCACTCGGAGAGGCCAGCCCATGCCACTGGCCCCAGGCAATGAGGGGCTTAGCACCCAGGCCAGCAGCTGCAGAGGGTGCGCCAGGTCTCCCAGCACTACTGGCCTACCTGCACAGTTCTTGAATTCTCGCTGGGCCTCAGCCGCCTCCCTAAAGGGCACGGCTCGGGACCTGCAGCCCGCCATACCCAAGTGCTCTGCCATGCCCAAGCGCTCCCCCTTCTCCCCCAAGTTCCCACGCAGCCCCAGCCTCCCCGACCGGCCCCACCCCCTGCTCCGGGCACCCAGTCCCACTGACCCTGGCATGGCCCTGGCATGGGATCCACCAGGTGAAGCCAGCTATGCTCCGGAGTCAGCTGGGGTCTTGGAGAACTTTTAAGTCTAGCTGGAAGACTCTACATGCACCAATCAGCACTCTGTGTCTAGCTAATCTGGTGGGGACCTGGAGAACTTTTATGTCTAGCTAGAGGATTGTAAATGCACCAATCAGCACTTTGTGTCTAGCTAGAGGATTGTAAATGCACCAATCAGCACCCTGTCAAAATGGACCAATCAGCCCTTTGTAAAATGGACCAATCAGCTTTCTGTAAAATGGACCAGTCAGCAGGATGTGGGTGGGGCCAGATAAGGCAATAAAAGCAGGCTTCCCAAGTGAGCAGTGTGCAGGCAACCCACTCAGATTTTTTTCCGTGGTGTGGAAGCTTGTTCTTTCATTCTTGGCAATAAATCTCGCTGTTGTTCGCTCTTTGGGTCCGCGCTGCCCTTATGAGCTGTAACACTCACCGTGAAGGTCTGCAGCTTCACCTCTGAAGCCAGCAAGACCACAAACTCACTGGAAAGAACAAACAACTCTGGATGTACTGCCTTTAAGAGCTGTAACACTCACTGCAGAGGTCTGCAGCTTCACTCCTGAAATCAGCAAGACCACGAACCCACCAGAAGGAAGAAACTCTGGACACATGTGAGTATCTGAAGGAACAAACTCCGGACACGCCATCTTTAAGAACTGCAACACTCACCACGAGGGTCAGCGGCTTCATTCTTGAAGTCAGCGAGACCAGGAACCCACCAATTCTGGACACAATATGGATGAATCTCAGAAACATGATGTTCAGCAAAAGAAGCCAGACATATAGGGCGCTTGCTGTACAAATTTTATTTACAAAAACAGGTGAAAGTGGTAGTGACCAGAAGTTGGCATGAGGGGGCTTTTGGGTGCTGGCCGTGTTCGTTTGAGTTCTGTTCACGTAAGTGTGGAGTTTCAGCAGGCTATACTGTATATGTGCTTTTATAAAATGTGCATCGTACTTTAATAAAATGTTTTTTCTATTTTAATTTTTTTGAATTCAGACTTTTGCTGTTATCTAACAAAGCGTATTGATTTTATATGTAGAATCCAAAAGGTGTTAATGTAGGTGTGGTTATAACAGTGCCAAATAATTCTGATTGTCACCTTTTGGCACCAATATGTAATCCAGTGCTTACCCAGGACTGGTGGTGAAAGTGGACTGTCCGAGGCACAGCCAGGAGTGCGTTGTCTGTGGGAATTTTTTTTTTGGGTGAAGTGTCATTTTGTTGTCTAAGCTGATGTGATATCTGCTCACTGCAACCTCCACCTCCTGGATTCAAGCGATTCTCCTGCCTCAGCCTCGTGAGTAGCTGGAACTACAGGCACGCGCCACCATGCCTGGCTAATTTTTTTTTTTTTTTTGAGACAGTGTCTTGCTCTGTAACCCAGGCTGGAGTGCAGTGGCGTGATCTTGGCTCACTGCAACCTCTGCCTCCCAGGTTCTAAGCCATTCTCCTGCCTCAGCTTCCTGAGTAGCTGGGACTACAGGCGCATGCCACCTCACCTGGCTAATTTTTTGTATTTTTAGTAGAGACGGGGTTTCACTATGTTGGCCAGGCTGGTCTTGAACTTCTGACCTCGTGATCCACCCGCCTCAGCCTTTGGAAGTGCTGGGGTTACAGGCATGAGCCACCGTGCCAGGCTGTGTGCAGTGAATTTAAAACAATAATAAAATGGACTAAGAGTGAGTTTGCTTTTTAATTATTACTATGCACTGGCAATTCTTAACAATATCAGTGATAAAATACACCCCTCTCCCCAGTAAATAATTTGCTAATCTAAGTTCTAAACAACTGCTGTGACTACTGTTGAGCTGAACTGGCTGTTCCCACTGCCCTGCCCTTAGTAGGCCAACGACGGGAGTAGTAGCTGTCATTATAGGTGTAGGTATTTGTAGGTATGTGCATTGTATCAGAGACTGAACTTGGTCCTTTTTGTACATAAGTTTCATTTTTCCTAAGATATCTCTGTCACCCAGGCAGGAGTGCAGTGACACAATCATGGTTCACTACAGCCTTGCCTCCACCTCGCTGGGTTCAAGACATCCTTCCACTTCAGCCTCCAGACTAGCTGGGACTACAGGCTCCCGCCACCAAGCCCAGCTAAGTTGTGCATTTTTTGTGGAGACAGGGGTTTCATTCACCATGTTGCCCAGGCTGGTCTCAAACTCCTGGGCTCAGGAGATCACCTGCCTCTGCCTCCCAAACTGCTGGGATTACAGGTGTGAGCCACTATGCCTGGGCAGTATATAAGTCTTTCTTACACCTCAGAGCTGTATGCATTAGGTATTATCATTCCCATTTTACAGACGAGAAAATTGAGGGTTGTAGAAGTTAAGGGACTTGCTCAAATTCACTCAGCTAGTAAAGATAAGAGGGAGGGAGGATGTATCTAAGTCTCCTGAGTCAAAGCCCACTTTTCCACTGGGCTTTTTAGTCCCTGGGTACCAACTGCCACACAGAAGGCCCTTGATATGTATTCGCTGAATAAAAGGGTAAGTGGATGAAAACTTGATCGTTTTTTAAATTAGTTACTTTTTTATTTTTTAAAATGTCAATTTTTATTTTAGATTTGGGGTACATGTGCAGGTTTGTTACATGCATATAACAAACTCATTAAAAGATGTAGTTGCACTATTGATAGTAAGTATAAATTGGAGACAACCCAAATACCTATTGATAGTTGAATGGAGGAATAGGTTGTGGTTTTGTCACACAATGGAATACCTCAATGTGTGATGCTGAGGTTTGGGAAACGATTGATCCCGTCACCCAGGTACTGAGCATAGTGCCCAATAGTTAGTATATGAACCCTTGGCCCCACTCTCTCCCTCCCTTTTTAGTAGTCCGTAGTGTCTATTGTTGATATCTCTATGTCCATGAGTGCTGCAGGTTTAGCTCCCACTTGTAAGTAAGAGCATGTAGTATTTGATTTTCAATTCCTGCATTAATTCGCTTAGGATAATGGTCTCCAGCTGCATCCATATTGCTGTAAAGGATATGACTTCATTGTTTTTGTGGCTGCATAGTATTCCTATGGTGCATATGTACCACATATTTTTAAATCCAGTCCACCATTGATGGGCACCTGGTTGATTCCATGTTTTGGCTATTGTGAATATGGCTGCAATGAACATATGAGTATATGTGTCTTTTTGGTAGAACAATTTATTTTCTTTTGGGTATATACCTAGTAATAGGGTTGTGGGTTGAATGGTAATTCCGTTTTTAGCTCTTTGAGAAATCTCCAAACTGCTTTCCACAGTGGCTAAAATAATTTACACTCCCACCAACAGTGTGTAAGCATTCCCGTTTCTCTGCAGCCTCACCAGCATCTTTTGTTTTTTGGCTTTTTGATAGTAGCCATTCTGACTGGTGTGAGATGGTATCTCATTGTGGTACTGAATTGCATTTCTCTAATGTTGATCATTATTTTATTTCAAGGAGGAGGTTCCATATGAATATAACTTCTTGCCTAAGTTGGTTTAGGTAAGAAGACTCTTCATGTGCCTGTTTCCTTCAAATTTTAAGGGTAAGTCTCTTGAAAAGTATAGTTATTTATCTGCTTATGTTTCATATATGTAATCTACATCTCACAAATATTTTAAGTAGTTTTTATGACTCTCATCTTACAGATGAGGGAACTTTGGCTTGAGCACTCAAGTAATGAAGCAATGGTCATGCAGCTAGTATGAGTGTAGGAATTAAGAGTGGTTACTAAAATGAACTTTGAGGTCTAGAAGACCAGTGTTGGCTTTACCTCTTAGCAATGTGACTTCAAAAATATTAGTGACATTTTTTGAATCTCAGGCTTATAAATCAAACAGGACTTCTATAAATAGGAATTATACTAGTGTTTTCCTAAGAGGCTGCAAACTCAAATGCCTGCAGGAGCCAGGAGTAGGGAGCTCTGCAATGTTGGTCAATCACTTGGCTCTTGCCTGGTACAATACTGAGGGAGGCAGTGCTGGGAATGGAGGCTGGGTTGGACTTCACTTTTCAGGCCTGTGCTCATTCATTCCAGCATTCTCTCAGTCAGTATTTCTGAAGCACACAGGATGTTTAATATGGGTCTAAGCTCTGGAAATGCAAATTTGAATAAGGCTTACACCTTTTCTGCTTTTGAGGGAAACAAACTTGGAGACAACCAGTGAAAACATAGATTATATCTTTAAGTTCTGGGAATCTCATCACAGCAATTCTAAGACTAAAGAGGCTGTGGACAGCTCTTGGAGCACATCTTCTATTTTTTAGTAGGACAATACCAAAATGATTCCAGCCTGGCAAAGAACTCTGTTTCAGTAAAGCCCTGGAGAAAGTGCATTTTATCATATTCCTCTGGAATTCACTGGGCACTTACAGACACTCAAGGCTGGGAGTCAAGTCATTGAGTCAGTCAACAAACCTGTAAGCACAGTGCTGCTCACCCGCAATAGGCTCTTTGGGCCTGATGAAGCATGGGACAGCAATGGATGTGGGCCCAGTCCTGTCCTCTAGAGGTTCACAGCCTAAGACAGGCAAGCACATTCAGATAGACACCTACAGACCAGAATAATAACATCAACCAAGCAGCACACTCCTGGGGTCTCTGCACACCACACAGTATCTCTCATACCTCCTAGATCCCCCCTCATCCACCCACTTTTGTCTCTCCTGTGCGCGCTCACCTCTGCCCTCATTCACTCTCTTTCCTGGAAAACCCAGGCCAGGAGCCTTCTCATCCACTGTTCAAAATGGACCTATGTATACCAATATGTTTATCTTTGGGCTTCCTGAACAAATACTTCAGTCTATTCGTGGACACACACCTCATTCAGCTCTTATCACTGCAGATCGCTGATGTGGGCCTCCAGCTGCTTGTTTATGTGTGTTCTTGGTTGTTTGAGGGTCACTTGTGTTTATCTGTGTGGATGGGAGCAGAACAAGATATGTGAGTAGTTGTGAGTAAGATCCATCTTAGGCCAGACATGGTGGCTCAGGCCTGTAATTGAAACACTTTGGAAGGCTGAGGTGGGAGGATCAACATGATGCTGGGAGTTGGAGATTCACCTGGGCAACATAGCAAGAGCCTGTCTCTAAAATAAATAAATAAGTAAATAAATAAATAAATGAATGACTCATCTAGTTTCAGAAAGGACTCCAGTGGCCTATTTGGATAATAAAAAAATAAAGCAGTATAAGTTTAAAGTAGTGAGAAAAGAATAAGAAAATTAGAGGTCAGGGCTAAGCGGAACAGGAGTCAGGCAAAAAGAAAACCTGCATTCCTTAGTGACCTCTCACTCACTGGGTGAATAATGTGTGCATATGAATGTGTGGGTTTTAAGCTAAGAGTATTCCAGATACTTGTACATCTATTTCTTGTCCTCCCAGGGTTGACTGAGTTCTCTGTCCCAGTTCCCCTCAGTCTTACTTGGTGGGGGACGAAGCGGGAGAGATTCATTCCTCTCCCTTCCCAGCAATCTTATCGTCTCCTTCCTCACTCCACCAACTGGTCATTTTTGCTGTTTTGGCTTTTTGTTCAGGTGTGTTTTGGGAGTCGAGACTGAAAGATTAGCCAGGGTAGAGGAGGGAGAAAATACTACCTCTCTTCTCATCTGCCCAGGAAAGCCTAAGGGAAGAGGAGGTATTGCAGGAGATGGTGGGAAAATGGAAGAAGGATGCTTGGCAGAAGGCAGGAGCAGAGGGTCACTCTAGTGACTTGGAAGAAGTGTTGGAGGTGAGCATGGGATAGGAAAGATCAAATCATTGGAGGAAAGATGAGAGAGACCTTTGGAACAGAGAAAAGCTCCAGGCCATAGCCCAGAATGCCAGTAGGGAGCCTGAGGTGGGCTCCACAAGGAGGGCTGCTGGTGGGTGTGCCCTTGTTGGCTCCAGGGTGAGGACACCAAGGGAAGGCAGGGAGGAAGAGCTCCATTCCATGAAGAATGAGGCCAGTGTCTTGGCTGAGGCAGTGATGGGGGAGGCTGACCAGATTTGGATCAGAAATTACTTTACTTAAGCTAAGCAGAGCCAAACATCCAGATTCATGGGTATAGTTATTCCATAGCAGCCTGGCGATAGCCAGGGCCCTGGAAGATGAAGAGACCAGTTCTGAAGTCCTGGACTGTGTTATCTACAGAAAGACTCTGTTGATTTCTTGAGGTTTTGTGCAAAATAATACAATGAAACCTCAATAGAACCTTGCGATTCCATCCATTAGTGTTGTTAACTAAACCCATTAGAATTGCATAGGGGCCTTCCACTTCCTGAGGAAAAGCCACCTTCTTGTTGAAGGATAATGAGGCCCATGGCCCTACCTGTATTGAGATGGTCCAAAGGTGACCAAGAGTGAATAGAGTTGAGGGAAGGAGCCAATCCTTGCCCGAAGTCTCCCTTGTCTCTCTTTACTGGAAAAATACCATCTACTTTGTTATTGCATTGCAGGAAACTCAGGACTTATTAGAGGGTCACCCATGAGTTTGGCTAGTTCACTGTAATAGCATAAGATACTTCTAAGTTTAATTGCTTGAGAGAAAAGCATGTGTTCTGTGTGAGGCCGGAAAGGGTCATGGAAGGAGAATAAGATGGATTATGAGTTCATGCATGAGCATGGAAGCTGGAACCACTCCAGACCTTCTCACTCAAAGCTCCTTCTATGTTCCCACCACCTGCCAAGCTCCCATACTTTTCAAGGATTTTTCCTCATATGATCTGGAATGGGTCTACGGTTGTTTATGGAAGCCTTTGGATCAAGTGTTGTGCCTTTTACAAGGGTGTAGCAACTGTTTCAGTTTCAAGTGGGACACACAAATTTTGTCACTGTTTTGGAATGTGCTTGGTGGGAGGTGGCAATCAGGTTATTGGATGATAGCTGATGTTTATGGATTGAAGGTTAGAGGAGAGTGACCTAGGTAGGAACTTTAGAGACAGAAAACCCTGTGTTTTTCTCTGCATGTAAATTGTAATTGACTTACAGGAGAGGGATTCCAGTGTTCTGGATCCTGATATATAAGAAGATATAAACATGAATAAATAAAAATCTGGGTTATACCTCTTCAGTTTTCCTTTTTATTAAACCTCTATGTCTTGGAAGAAATACAGCAGATTCTCACACTCTGTAGATATCCATAATTAAGTTCTACATGTTGAAGATGAACAGTTCTTAATGGAATCTGTGATTTGAGGGCTCTGGGGTGGGGCTCGACACATGTGAACGAAGGAGAGGAGTGAGCTTCCAGGTGTTTTTCCTCACATGTGAAATTGCACTTGCCAGCATACTCTAAAGAATTCTGGAAATTACCACGCTTTCCTCAATGTTACTGAGAAAAATTGGTATGCTGGAAACAGGCATGCAGGGTAATTTGCAGAATCTCAGAATCAGGGAAGCTATAAACATGGGCATTTGCAGTCCTAAGTTGCAACATGTTTCTGACTCAGTCTCCTGCCAGTGTGGATTTATACTTGCCCGTGATTTATTGTTTCTGGCTTACCCTGGGGCACTGGAGGGTTTGGAGACTTCTGCCAGAACACCTAGGATATGTAAAGAATTCCTGCCAGAAAACAATAAAAACACTACCAACCTAACACAAAGGGGCTATGCTTGCACTGTTTGAGAAAACACTACCCTCTTGGAGAACTCCATTGTCAGCTGGTGAGAGGGCAAGGTCAGTCCCTCTATGACCAGGTAGCTTCTGAGGGTTCCCATGACCTTGGGCTGTCCAGCCCTGACACCCAGACAGCTGTTTGCAGTTGGTTATCAGGGGAATATGTGAGAAAATATAGATGAATTACTAGTTTTCACTACTAGAAAACACCCGAACATCTATAACCAATGAAATCTTGCCTCTTTATACACTATCTTAAAGATAATCATATGTAAATTATCTACCTAGTAGCTTTCCACAAATTTAAATGTTGAGCTGCTTAATTACAATCTCTGAATTTGCCCTTTCTCCTGCTTCTACAGAGAGCTCTTGCATGGTGGTAGAACCGAGGACAGCCTAGACCTTCTGATTGTCAACTCCTTGTTCCATTGTGTCCAAACCTACATGTCTGAACTCCTCTCATCAAAGACTTCTCAAAGTTATTAATAACTGGGGATCACGTATTCAGTAATTACACACATCAGGCTCCATGCTTTCTGTGCAGTATGTAAATTGATTCATTGTCATACTAATTATAAATGGCTAGTATTATTGCTGCTTTACAAATGAGGCATATGACACACAGGGAGCTAAATAATTTGCCTAAGGTCACCCCACTTGTAAATGATGAAGCCAGGACTCAAGGCCAGGTCTGGCCACCCCTGAATTTAATAGCTTTATCCTCTATATCTCTGTTTTCTCCCAGACCAAGGTGTCTGTACCTCTCTGCCAACAGAGAAAAGGGTTCATTCATTCATCAAATGTTTGTTGAGCATCTATTGTGACTCAGGCAATATCCTAGATCAAGGATTGTCAAACTTTTTCTATAAAGGACAAGAGAGCAAACATTTTAGGTCTCCTGGGTCATACGGTCAGTCACTGTGATTCAACTCTGCTGTTGTAGTACAAGATTGTGAAAGCAGCCATAGATGATATGTCAATGAATGAGCATGGTTGTGTTCCAATAAAATGTCACTTGCGAAAGCAGGCTGTGGGCTGGGTTTGGGCCAAGAGTTCTATCCCTGCTCTAGGCACTGGAGTTACAATAGCAAAAAATTAAAATAAAGTAAAATAAAAACACAAAAATGCCTGCCTTTGTGGTGCTTCCATTCCAGAATGGGGAAGTAATTGTATTTCTGTCCCGTTTATCATGTAAAAATTGTCATAGGATCTTGGAGTTGCTGAGCACCTAGAGGTGATCTGTTCAGCATTTTCCTCCCAGGGCAGCTCTCCACTCAGAACTCTCTTGGCTGGTGAGGGTTCATTCTGTGTGCCCGGATCTAGTGTCACCTCACCTTCCAGGGGACCCATCCTTGTCACATAGTCCTTGCTTATCTGTCTTCCTGACAATTTAACTCACATCCTACCCTGTTTGGGCAGAGGGCCCCACATTTTAGCATATCATAATCACTTTTGGGGCTTGAAACACTTTGATGGGCTCCACTCTCGAGATTCTGATTCAATAGGTCTGGAGTGAGGCCCAAGATTTTCCCTTTCTGACAAATTCCCAGGTAATTCCAATGCTGCTGGTTCCTGGACCACACTTTGAGAACCAGTGTTCTGTAGCAGCAACAAGTGAGCCTAACAACTCCTCTTTCAGTTTTTTCAGATATTTGATCATCTGTTCTGCCTAAGTCTTCTTCCGGCAAACCTCCAAAGCCCTTTGACTTCTCTGCCTATGATAAGTAACTTAGAAATAAACTCTGCCACCACCAGTTGGGTTGAATACCTGGGATACAATGCTGGTAGCCACCAAGGTCACTGCAATTATACACAAACAATGAAAAACAGTGAAACCATGTCTCAGGGACAAAGGGGTAAGAACCAGTGCAATGCTGAGACTGTGGAAAAGAACACTGTGACAGCTGTCAGCAAAAGCATTTCAGTTCCCCTTCTGCATGTGAGTTTGGGCCAGTCATTTCCCCTCCCTGCCTGTCAGATTTCTCATCTGCAACGTGAAAGTTGTCTGAGGTCTTTCCAGCAGTGGGACTGCTGATATTCTTTAGTAGGTGGGGAAATCTAATAGACATCCCTGGTACCTCCCTCCTGGGGATATCTTAGGGGAACACTTACGCAGGTTGCTCTCCACTGCCAGCAGTATGCAAGATTTGCCTGTATGTCAACTGTACATTCAGTTCTATTTTCTCCCATGAGTTGCTTTGCACTCACTGAGTTTGTGTTCAAGCCTGATGTGTTATCATCACTGGCTTATGTCAATTAAGGTCCTTTCCTTTGTTCTAGATCTATGAGCAGAATGTTGTTTTGGGACCTCAGGTCAGCATTTTGTAAATGCACAGTGGTAACCTCCTGTTCCTGCCCCTTGGCCCTGTGAAGTAATTCTGTTGGCTTCCAGGACTTTTGCAGGGCCTAACAGTTCGGCAGCTCCAGGACCATCTAAGGTGACTTAAGACTCTTCTTCCATCCTGAGGTTCAGATCTCAGCCACAAAGAAAGAGATCCATGGTTCCTGGCACCTGGCTTCTGGAAAGTTAAACTGTCGTCTACCTCATTGTCTGATCAAGCAGCTCAGTAGCCCTTCAGTTTAAATAACAACTACAAAACAAATATCACAGAGGGCTCTTGGCAAGGTTTCTTTAGCCCAGGAAAATGTAACATTCAAATTCTGGGCAATATTGTCACGTGGGCTCAGTTTCCTTCCTGTGAAAAGCTTCCCACAACAATTCCCATAAAGAGAATTAATCTGGCATAAGGAGTTTGGACAAAGAAGGCTGCTAGGTGGGTCAGCCATCCAGCCATCCTCAAAAGTTGCGTAGCAGGAATCTGGTGAGCAACTGAGTTAGTGGCTGCTGGTAGGAAGTTCTGAGGGCATTGGAAAATAAACCTGGTGAGGGAGGAGAACGTACTGCTTAGACCAGCAGCAAATTTGATATGCTTGGTTCATGCAAGAGTTACTTATTCTTTCTAAGCCACCTATAATTATTTCCAGAAAAGGCAATAAATCTCAGTAAAGTATTCAGATTCTGGAGTCAGACCACCATGGGTTTTTAATCTTGGCCCTGTGCTTTTCTCACTGTGTGCCCTTGATCAGGTTTCTTGATCTCTTGAAGCCTTTGTTTTTTCTCTTTGTAAATGAGGAAGATAATACCTACCTTTCCAGAACTGAGGGTTATGGGAGATGATATACATGACAGTGTTCAACCTATAGATGTTAATACTATCACAACCTAGTTCTGGAATATTAGCCCAATTGCTTAATGTGCAATAAGCCTTCAATAAATGTCTTGTGATTAAGTTAGATACTATGGGTAGACATCCCAATTATTGTTTACAAAATATGTGGTAAGAAGTAAAAAATGTATTTGTTGGAGTTCTTCATTCAACAGACCCTTTTATCTCTGAGTAATCTACAGTGCTTTTAGAAGTTTAGAGACCAAGAACATGTGTGAAGTTTAGAATTCCATAAAGAACATTCATACAGAAGGAATCTCAGATGTTGTATACTGAGTCTAACCCACAGCCTACCCAAGGTCATGCAGCAGATTGCTGGCAGAGCACGGATTAGGTACCATCTGACTGGAATTGCTCCAGTGCATGTGTTTTCACTGTTGCTTTACAGACCACTTTTGGGCCACATCATTAAAACCACTCAGGCTAATGGTGCCAAAGCCACAGTGACCTTCATGCTTCAGAGGCCAGGGCCAGAACAGACACAGGAGGGAGTTGGGGGTAGGGTGGGGAGTAACTCAAGGAAGTGGAGAGGCAGTCCTGCAGGCCTTTCTCAACTCAACCCCCAGCCCCCCACACCTTATCTTTGGCCCATCCTCCTCCCATAGCAGCTGTTCATAAGTACAGATATTTGAAGACCTCAGCCTCCTTGCTCATTCAATCGTATGTCATCTGCTTTCCCTTCATGGGAGAACAACTGCCAGAAAAACACTGTAAGGGCAGCCATAAAACTTTCATTGACTCTACTATTTTTGCATCTTTGGTGTTAAAACTTTTGACTCTATCCTGATCAGCTCTCCCTCTCCCTCTCTCAGGTGGTTGCCTTCCCTGGAAATCCATCTGTTCCCAAAGATTCGCTGCAGCAGCATTTGCTAGTTCCCTTGTAACCTCCCAACACTCCCCCAGTGCCCCTCAGGCATTCCCACTGGCCTCGGGTTTCAATCATCAGGTACAACTGGATTTTGATTTGGAGACCTGGAGGCTTTCAGTTCTATAATGGGCCATAATTTTTTTCTCTCTATTTATACCACAATTTATTTTCTTCCCTTAACTCTCTTTTGCAATAAAACTAGGTCCTTGAGGGCAAGAACATAGGCTTGTTCTCTTTGTGACCCGCCACTGCCTCCTTGCCTGGAGCAGTGTCTGTCATGTAGCAAATGTCAGTACATGGGTGAATAAACCCCGGAATGGTTCTCTCTTCTAATACTTCATTCCTTTGCTAGGGCTGCTCTGGGTGGGCTTGGAAAGAGAAGCAAGGAAGGCTCAGAAATAGACTGTTCAATGTAGGGGTGCTACAATATAGGGTTTTTTTTTTTTGGTGCTGGAGTCAATTATTCCTGAAGGGTTGCTAGTGGGGAAGCAGCTCTCTTTAGTCAATACCAAGCTTTGTAAGTAGTTCCTTTTTTTTTTTTGAGACAGAATCTCTCTGTGTTGTCCCGGTTGGAGTGTAGTGGCATGATCTCAGTTCACTGCAATCTCTGCCTCCCAGGTTCAAGTGATTCTCCTACCTCCGCCTCCCAAGTATCTAGGATTACAGGTGCCCACCACCATGCCTGGCTAATTTCTGTATTTTTAGTAGACACAGGGTTTCACCATGTTGGCCAAGCTGGTCTCTAACTCCTGACCTCAAGTGATCTGCCTGCCTCAGCCTCCCAAAATGCTGGGATTACAGGCGTGAGCCACTGCGCCCAGCCAAGTAGTTTGTTTTATGTAGGAATACTAGTATCAGTCATCAAAGGGTTTAAGAAAGTGTTTTTTTCATAATTTTTCAGATAATATATTTTTTCCTCTGATCCATCTATCTAACATTTATTGAAAGCCTTTTACATAAGAAGCACCATGCTGACAGTTTAAACTGCAAAGATGAGTGAAGCACAGACCTGCGCTAAGGATCACTTACAGCTGTCACCTTCCCAATACATCAATTCAAAGACAATGGAGTGTAAGGAGAGAGAAGTGTGCAGAGTATTATGGGGACGCTGCAGTGGTCACTAGACTAGCTTGGCAGTACCGGATGGGAGTAAGACCTTAAATAACAGGGAGAGTGGAGAGAGGAGAACACTGAAAGCAGAGGAGCCAAACAGCAAGAGCGAAGGCCTGGGAAGAGGGCCATGGTGGCAGGTGCATAGGAACTGCCAGCTCATCAGCACTGCCAGGGCATGAAGTAAGAGGCAGGCGGTGGCCAGAGGAGACAGAGAGGTATACAGGGGAGATCTTGGAGAGCCTGATCAGCTACTAGACAACAAAATGCATTTGTTTATTTGTATTTTAAAATACAATCAATATAGGTATACTCCCCCACAAACAAATTTTAAGAAGAAAAATTTCAACTAAAAACCTATTAATATAAAATGAATCTAAAATTCTCTCTTTGACCACCTCCCTGTCCCCAGTTCTTTTTTTACAAAGGAAATAAAAACAACTTCTAAGTCATCTTTGCAGGAAAGAAAAATGCAATACTAGAATATTTGAATATTTATATGTATATATTTTTTATTGACACTAATGATCATGTACAATGTTTATTATTCTGCACTTTGATGTTTTAGGTGTTTTCTTTTTACCTTATGTATTAGAAGTCTTCTTAACTTATCAATAATAACCTTGAATGTAAATGAACTATATTTTCCATTTAGAAGCTAGAGACTGGCTGAATGGATAAAAACAACAAGACCCAACTATATGCTACCTCCAAGAAACTCACTTCACCTGTAAAAACACTCAGCTGAAAGTGAAAGGCTGGAAAAAAGATATTCCATGCAAATGGAAACCAAAAGTAAGCAGGAATAGCTATACTTATATTACACAAAATAGACTTCAAGTTAATAGCTGTATGAAAAGACGAAGAACATATATAATAATGAGACCAATTTAGCAAAAGAATATACAAATTATAAATATATATGCACCCAACAGAGAAGTACCCAGATACATAAAGCAAATATTAGATCTAAAGAAAGAGATAGACCCCCATTACAATAATAGTTGGGGATGTCAACACCCCACTGTCAGCATTGGACATACCATCTAGACAGAAAATCAACAAAGAAACATCAGATTCAGACCACACCATAGACCAAATGGACCTAACAGACATTTCCAGAACATTTCACCCAACAGCTGCAGAATACACATTATTTTCATCGGTACATGGAACACTCTCCAGGGCTGACCATATGGTAATACACAAAACAAGTCTCAAAAATTTTTTAAAAATCAAACTCATATCACGCATTTCATCTGACCATAATGAAGTAAAATGACGTCAATAACAAGAGGAACACTTAAAAGTATACAAATACATGGAAATTAAACAACATACTCTTGAATAACCCATGGGTGAAGGAAGAATTTAAGTATAAAATTAAAAAATTCCTTGAAACAAATGAAAATAGGAACACAGCATACCAAAATCTATGAAACATAGCAAAAGCAGTATTGAGATAAGTTTATAGCAATAAATGCCTACATCAAAAAACTAGAAAGATTTCAAATAAACAACCTAAAAACTTCAAGGAACTAGAAAAACAAGAACAAGCCAAGCCCAAAATTAGCAGAAAAAAAGAAATAATAAGGATCTTAACATTAATAACAAAATTAAGACTAAAAAAAGGACAATAAAACAAAAATGTTTTTTAAATATTAAAAAATACACAAACCGTTAGCTAGACTAATAAAGAAAAAAGAGAGAAGATCCAAATAAATACAATTAGAAACAAAGAGAGACATCACAATGGATACCAAATAAATACAAAGAATCACTAGAGACAAATATGAACAAATATACACCAATAAATTTGGAAACCTAGAGGAAATGGATAAATCCCTGCATACATATGCCCTACCAATATTGAACCAAGAAGAAATAGAAAAACTGAATAGATCAATAACAAGTAACGAGATTGAACCAGTAATGAAAAGTCTTCCAATAAAAAAGTTCAAGATTGGATGAATTCTACTGAACTTGTAAAGAAGAATTAATACTAATTCTTCTCAAGCTATTTCAAAATATTGAAGCAGAGGGAATTCTTCCTCTCTCATTCTATGAGGCCAGCATTATTCTGATGCCCAAACCAACAAGGACACAACAAAAAGAGAAAACTGCAACATCCCTGACAAACATAGACACAACAATTCTCAACAAAATACTATCAAACTAAGCCTAACAACACATCAAAAACATAATTCACCATGATTAAGTGGGATTTATCCCGGGAATGCGAGGACTGTTCAACATACACAAATCAGTAAATGTCATACATCACATCAATAAAATGAAGGACAAAAGCAATATAATCATCTCAACAGATGCAGGAAAACCTTTTGATAAAATTCAACCTCCCTTCATGATAAAAACTCTTTTTTCTTTTTCTTTCTTTTTTTGAGACAGGGTCTTGCTTTGTCACCTAGGCTTGAGTGCAGTGGCATAATCATGGCTCACTGCAGTCTCAACCTCCTGGGCTCAAGCAATCCTCCTGCCTCAGCCTTCTGAGTAGCTGAGACTACAGGTGGAAGGTACTATGCCTGGCTAATTTTTTTTTTAATTCTTTATACAGACAAGGTAAAAACTCTTAATAAATTTGGTATAGAAAAAGTACCTGAACATAATAAAGGCCATATATGAAAAACTCACAGCTAACATCTTACTGAATGAGGAAAAGCTTTCAGAATTAGAACAAAAAAAAGGATGACAATGCTCATCACTATTAGTCAACATAGTACTAGAAGCCTTAGCCAGAGCAATTAGGCAAGATAAAGAAATAAAGGACATCCAAATTGGAAAAGAGGAAGTCAAATTGTCTCTCTTTACAGATGACATGATTATATAAACCTAAAGACTCTCAAAAAAACCTCAGAACTGATAAATGAATTTAGTAAAGTTGCAGGATACAAAATTAATATACAAAAATCACTGGCATTTTTATACATGAACAATGAGCTAGCTCAAAAAGAAATCAAGAAGACAATCTCATTTATGATAGCTACAAAAAATAAAATACCTACAAATAAGTTTAACCAAGGACTTGAAAAATCTCTACAAGGAAGACATTAAAACATGGATGAAAGAAATTTAAGAAGATACGAACAATAGAAAGACATCCCATCCTCATGAATTGGAAGACTTAATATTGTTAAAATGACAATACTACCCAGACAACAGATTCAACACCATCCCTATCAAAATACCAAGGACATTGTTCACAGAAATAGAAAAAAAATTTTTTTTTTTAAATTTGCATGGAAACACAAAGGACTCGGAAAGGATAGCTAAAGCAAACCCGGGCTAAAAGAATAAAGCCAGAGGTATCACTACCAGACCTCAAAATATACTTTAGGTCAGGTGCAGTGGCTCATGCCTGTACTTTCAATACTTTGGGAGGCCAAGGCAGGGGGATCATTTGATCCTAAGAGTTTGAGACCATCCTGGGCAACATAGTGTGACCCTGTCTCTATTACAAAAAATTTTTAAATTAGTTTTTAAAAACAAAACAAAATATACTACAAAGCTGTAGTAACCAGAATAGCATAGTACTGGCACAAAAACAAGTACACAGACCAATGGAATACAGAGAATCCAGAAATTAATTTACATGTATCAAGCAACTGATTTTTGACAAAGGTGCCAAGAACAATCATTGCAGAAAGGACAGTCTCTTCAATAAGCAGTGCTGGGAAAACTGGATATCCACACGCAGAAGGATAAAACTACACCCCCACCTCTCACCCTATAGAAAAATTAACTCAAAATAGATCAAAGACCTAAATGTAAGACCTGAAACAATAAAACTTCTAGAAAGAAACACAGGGGAAGTGTTTCAGGTTATTGGTCTGGGAAAATATTTTATGAATAAGACCTCAAAAGCACAAGCAACACAAGGAAAAATAAATGAAATTATACTAAATGAAAAAGCTTCTACACAGCAAAGGAAACAATCAACAGAGTAAGAAGACAACCTACAGAATATGAGAAAATATATGCAAACTACTCATCCAACAGGGGATTAACATCCAGAATATGCAAGGAACTCAATCATCTCAACAGGAAAAAAATAAACCATCAAATTGAAAAATGGGTGAAAAATTTGAATAGACATTTCTCAAAAGAAGACATACAATTGGCCAACAAATACATGGAAAATGCTCAACATCATTAATTATCAGGGAAATGCAAATCAAAACCACAATGAGATATCACCTTACCCCAGATGGGATATCTATTATCAAAAAGATAAAAAATAACAACTGCTGGTGGGGATACAGAGAAAAGGGAACTCCTATACATTGTTGGTGGGAATGTAAACTAGTACAGCCACCATGGAGAACAGTATGGAGGTTCCTTAAAAAACTACAAATAGAACTGCCACATGATCCAACAATCCCATTAAAGGAAAAAATAAAATAAAATCCAAATAAAAGAAAATCATGATATTGAATATGTACAATTATTATTTGTCAATCTAAAAAATTTAAAAACAAAACAACAATAACAAAAGAAGTCTTCTTAAATCAGAATATACAGATATATGATATTGGTCGCAACAGCTACAGAATTCTCCATAGTATGAGTGTGCAAGATTTATTTAAAATCTCCCCTGTTGCTGGACATTCAGGTTGTTTTTTGTTTTTGTCTATTACCAACATTGCTACAATGAACATTTTGGTTAATTTATTTATAAAACAACTATTTATTGAGCAATCGCTATGTGCCAGGCACAGTTTTAGAACCCTAGAATATAGTATGACATATATTGACATATATTCTTTTGTGAGGATATCAATAAACAGAAGGAGAATTGCTGCATTTGAGGAAATGTGCATTTCTGGTTTTGATAAATATTTCCAAAATGCTTGCTGAAAGGGCTGCAGAAATCTATACTTTCTTCAAGAGTATATGCAAATGGTTAATTTCTCCATTGCCAACACTGGGTATCATCAAACTTTAAAACTTTTGCCAATCTGATACGCAAAAAAAAATGGCTTCTTGTTACTATTTTGACTTGCATAATTATGAGTGAAATTAAGCATCTTTTCTTGCTTATTGGCCACTTGTATTTCTTTCTCGGTGAACTGCATGTTCCTGACAGCTGGGCGGTTTTCTATTGAACTCTTGTCTTCCTACAGATTTGTACTTGTTCCCCATAAATTAAGGAAACCAGTCAGTCCTTTGTCATATGTATTGCAAACCTCTTTTCCAGGTAATCTTTTGTCTTTTGACTTTGTTTGTGGTAATTTTTGCAATGCTTCTTGGTAGAGATAACGTTCAAGTTGAGTCTTGAAGGGTGAGTGATGATACTAATTATTAACTCTTGTCTAATCCTTCTAAGTGCTAAGTGTGCTTCTAAGTGCTTTAATATGTGATAACTCATTTAATTTTTACAACAACCCTAGGAGGTAAAACTGTTGTCATCCCCACTTTAAGAGGAGGAAACAGAGGCATAGAGGCAGTTAAGTAACTTTTCCAGGACCTCATAGCTGGTGAGGGGCAGAGACAAAAATCAAAACCCTGAGGAGCTATTTGCAAGGTAGTCTGGGAACAGTAGCAAAGGCACAGAGGTGAAAACAATACAAAATATCAGAGGAATTACAAGGAATTCCCGTGCATTTGGCATAAAGATAGGCTGCTTAATAGGGAAGGAAGGGAGACAAAGTATCGAGGCATCGGGGCAGGTTGTGTCTTGGTAAGAGGAGTCTTGTCTCCTGAGTTGGGGCATAGTTTCCTTGAGCTCAGGGTCCACATCCAGACCCCATATTACATAGCATCCTGCAGAACATATCCCAGCAGATGGGAGAAAATTGAAATATCTGTTATTGTGTGTGATACAAGGCATTTTATAGGGCTTAGCTCATGACTCAATAATATTTTCTGGGTTCCCTGACTTGATTCATGGATCCCCAAACATGGAGTGGTCAGACCTTCTATACACAGCTCATACTCTATTCTGGACAAAATGGAGTCTCTGCTTTATGTATCACTGGCAGCAAATGTTTCCTTCAGCTGCTGTCTTCAGTCCCACCATCACAAAGCACATGTCAAGGCTGTCTTCCCCGCTCTCAGTGTGAACTCTGAGAGGATAACATAACCCCAAGTAAACATAGTTATTGAGATAACTCTGCCACTCTAGGTCATGTGATGCTTCCAAAAACAGATATAAATAATTTTGGATTATCTGTTCCCCTACACTTAATATATTGGTGTCCTTCCTACACAAAGGTGATACTAAGCCCTGAGTCATGGGCAAAGGATTCTGGAATGACCAAATGTGCATTCAGTTTCTTTCTTTCTTCTTTTTAAATGTTGAAACAGGAATCACTCAGGCTGCATCTTCTCTCCCTTCTACTCTCCCTGAGATGAGAGAAGAACGATCACCAATGGCAAATGCAGTTGTAGCGAAGTAAAACCAAGAGCTGGCCTCACGCGCCACAGAGAATGCTGCGTCTCCTCCTCATGGTTTCTGGGGCTCCTCACGCTGAGAAACTTCTGTAGCCACAAATCATATAAATGATCCCTGAAAGTATAGTCTTTCCATTTCTTACTAATGAAGTCATGCTCTGCTCACCTCCAACTTGACAGTGTTTGGTAGCTTTGTCATAGGCTTCTCATTGCTGAGGCAGGAACCATAGGAATATTGGCCTCAGAAACAGTAAGGTGAGGGACAAAGAGTCTAAGATAAGGAACCTAATATTGCATCATTGCCTAGTGGCAGGGATGGCAGAACGCTGTCATTCCCCACCCTGTGCCGGTGGCAGACATTGCTAATCAATCATGCACTCTTATCTACTGAACCTGAGGAGCCTCAGACTCCTCAAAATGGTGGCCCTGAGTCACATCCCAGTTAACTGCACTTGGCTGTTGAAACGAAATGTATTTGTTATCCTCAACCTAATTATTAAAAAGCTGTAGTTTTGGAGTCACACAAATCTGAGCTTAAATTTCGCCTGTGTCATCTGAGCAACTTAGCCTCTTTAAGCTTCTGCTCCCACCATCATCACATCCCTCAGAGTGTGTGGGAAGGGCAAATGGGGCAGTGTGTCTTAAGTTTCTTGAAAACAATGCAAAACCCAGTTCCAGTGTCAAATCCGAGGAGTTATTTAGAATCTCTGGACTGCTCCCAGTTTCCTTCCAGGAAAAATTAGGGTTGTGAAAGTTGTCAAAATCAAAATGGAGTCACTAATGTTAAAAAAAGAAAGAAAGAACCCTGACAAATGGAGCTGGGAAAGGCCATGAAGAGAGAGTTCTCATACGTGTAAGCCTGATAACAAAAACTGTCACACAAGACTCTGTAAAAACCATGACCTCGCACAAAGGCCGTTGCAGCCTTACACAAAAAAGACTTCTGCAAAGACATCTGCCCAGCCACTGCCTATCCAAGCCTAGACTGGCATCACCCTTGTTATTGATCTTTGGAGCCAAGGATAATTATGTCAAAACAAATATGTAATCCTTCTCTTTCTTTCTTTAAAAATCTGTCTTCCTTTACCTCCCTGAACATGTACATAGTTTACTATGATATGCATATTCCCAATACAATGCTCTATTCCCAGGTAAATATCTTTTTCTTTTAAAGAGACTCTCCTTGTTTGCTATTTATGTTAACAGAGAAAAAGATTAGACTGTCTCTGAAGTCTGTCTCTTCCAGCTCATTTGACAGGACTGGGCTGCTTCCCTCTCATGCAATTCATTCAATGACTTTGCCTAAGTGCCACTTCAGCTTGGACAGGCACTGTTCTAGGCTCTGGGGCAGGAGCCCCACCTTCCAGGAGCATATATTCTAGTGGGAAGATAGACAATAAACAAATTGTCAAATCTGTTTTATGGCACATTGCATGTCGGGCAACATCAGCAGATGGAAGTACCGCAGAGAAAAATAAAAGTGGGTGGCTGAAGAGGGGAGCCTGGGCAGATTCCGGGGCTGCTGATTCTGCAGTGAGAAGGAACTAAGTGCCCTGCAGAGAGACTTGAGGCTGGAGGTTAGCTCTTTGTTCTAGCAAAACACTTGGGAGTTATGAGAAGATTGCGTTGACTGCCACCCCCGTTCCCACCCTCTCCTTCTGAAAGAAACTTGTGTGGCTGCATCCATACCACAGGCCTATGTGCAGCATTCCTCCCTGGCTGGGCCTAGGGGCCTCACAGTTCATTTCCTGTTCTTTGGGATGGGGTGAGGAGTGGTCTACCTGGCCTCCACCTATGCAGCCAGGGGCTTCCGCTCACTGTTGCTTGGTAGCTTCTGGGTTGGGGAGGAGCAGAGTTCTCTGGGTCCACTCCATTGCCCGTTTTATCCTGGCATCTCCAGCATGGGACTGCGATGGGTGGCATCTTCACCTGGGAATGGCTAGGGAAAGTCATGAGGGCCAGGTGTGATGAACAGGCAGCCCCTGGAGGCCCAAGCAGGAGGTGGCGAGAGTGGCAAATGGAAATGCCCAGGAGGAGAGGCGAGCAGTGGGCGTAGGTGAAGAGCTGGGTGTAGGTGCATACCTTCATTGTGCAGGGAGACAGAAGTGTGGCAGAGCTGACTGTTGGCGTGCAGGATTCCTGGAATTTGAAGGCAGCAGAGAAGTCTGTAGACAATCAGATGGAGCATCAGGACAAGAACACACTGGCATGGACTCCGAGAACACTGGCCTAGGTGTCAGCACACCCTGAGTTGACATCCAGGCCGCCTACAATGGCAAGAAATGTCTCATCACTGTAATGTTACTATTCATGCAGGGCCTGCCTGGGTGATGACCAGGATGAAGATGCTCAGACCATCATCTTCCTCCAGGATGAGTGCCACACAAGCACGCCATGAGGCACCTTAGGGACATGGTTGGCATCGACACCATTACAGGGATGTCCAGATTGGAGACATAATGACAGGTGGTAAGGGCCAGCTCCTGAGCAAGAAAGACCATCTGTTGCTTCTACATGCTGAGGGGTCAAGGCTGCTGGCACCGAGAAGCACTTTCAGAAATTCAAGCCCCGAGAGACCTCCATTCCCTTAATAATGTTTTCCTACCACATGGCTCAATTTAAAAATTTATAAATTTATAAAATACATCTGTAGACTGGGATGAACTGCTACTGAGCTGATATTTCTACAGAAATCAATCTGAAAGTGAGGCAGTGCTGGGCTTTAGACTCTAGCCTGGGCTGGCTTGGAGCAGAATTGGGAAGCAAGGTGTGGTGGGTTGAATATGTCTCCCCAAAATTCATGACCACCCAAAACCTCAAATGTGACCTATTTGGAAATAGGGTAGTTGCAGATGTCATCAGTTAAGATGAGATTATACTAGATTAGAGAGGGACCTAAATCCAATGGTGTCCTTACAAGAAAAGGAGAGGACACATGGGGAAACACCCTGGGAAGAAGGCCGCGTGACAATGAAGGCAGAGATTGGAGTGATGCAGCTGCAAGCTCAGAAACGGGAAGGATTATTGGAGCCACCAGAAGCTAGTGAGAGGCAAGGAGCATTCTTCCCTGGAGGCTTCAGAGGGAGCACAGTCCTTCATTTTGAGTTTCTAGCCTCCAGAATGTGAGGGGATACATTGCTGTTGTTTCCAGCCTCCCAGTTTGTGGTAATTCATTACTGCATCTCTAGGAACCTAATACACACACAAAAAGATTTGTTTTAAATCTAGCTCTTCAGCTGGGCACAGTGACTCATGTTTGTAATCCCAGCACTTTGGGAGGCTGAGGTGGGCAGATCACTTGAGGTCAGAAGTTCAAGACCAGCCTGGCCAACATGGTGAAATCCATCTCTACTAAAAATAATTTTTTGAAAATTAGCCGAGTGTGGTGCTGCGCACCTGTAATCCCAGCTACTTGGGAGGCTGAGGCAGGAGAATCCCTTGAACCTGGGAGGCGGAGGCTGCAGTGAGCCAAGATTGTGTCACTGCACTCCAGCCTTGGCAACACAGGAAGACTGTCAAAAAAAAAACAAAAAACAAAAAAAAACAAACAAAAAACTGCCTCTTCTCTATGAAAGAAGGAAAGAAAGAAAAGAACAAAAAGAAAGAAAGAAAAGAAGAAGAAAAAGAAAGAAAGAAAAGAAAGAAAAAGAAAGAAGAAAGAAAAAAGAAAGAAAGATAAAGAAAGAAAGCATCAACCCTATTTATAGTTATTTCTGGGTTTTTTTTTTCTATATTCCTCCTGCTGGGTAGCCTTGTCATGTGGAGGGTAAGAGCCACACAGCCTGGATTTGACTCCTACCTCTGCAACTCACCAACTCTGGGGGCTGGCTAAATCTCTCTGAGCCTTTGTGTCCTCATCTCTATGGGGCCTATTGAAGAGTAAGTGAGAGAGCATGAGAAAGCTCAGGTATAGGCCTGGGCTGATGTGGGTCCTCAGTGAGTGCTGGCTGCCTTTCCTCCGTGGTGAATGCCACACAAGCACACTATGAGGCACACCTGGGCCCCCTCTAGCCAGCCCGAGCATCATGCCAATCACTAGGCATTCCTGAGTGCTGTCTTCTTCAGACAGTATCCTCTGTGTCAGCAAGATGTTTTTGTCCCGCTAACAGCCCACCCATATCTAGTACTTTAGTGTGATGTTCCAAGCCAGCAACATTTTCATCTATCAAGAATTAAGAGCCTGCAAGAAGAGATGGGATGGAGAGCAGGATGATCAAGCTATAGAGAGTCAGGCTGTGCTGCCGTGTTGCACAATTCAAGAAGGTCACCGTTTATCATGCAAACCATACAAATAGTTTCCCCTAGAGTTGGGTATTATGGTGACCCTGAGGTGGGCTTAAAAGTATGGAGGAGTGAGGAGATGGGAGAAGAAAGGAATCTCCTCCTCTTCCTCCTCCTCCTTCTTCTTCTTATTGTTGTTCTTCTTCTTCTTGTTCTTCTTCTCCTTCTCCTCCGCCTCCTCCTCCTCCTCCTCATTCTCATTCTCCTTCTTCAGAGACAGGCTGTCACTCTGTCGCCCAGCCAGGAGTGCAGTGGCACAATCTTGGCTCACTGCAGCCTTGATCTCCTGTGCGCAAGCGTTTCTTCAACTTCAACCTCCCAAGTAGCTAGGACCACAGGTGCATGCCACCACACCTGGCTAATTTTTGTATTTTTTATGGGGACAGAGTTTCATCATGTTGCCCAGGCTGGTCTCAAACTTTTAGGCTCAAGTGATGTACCTGCCTCAGCCTCCCAAAGTACTGGGATTACAGGCAGGAGCCACTGCACGTGGCCCTTTCTCTTTTTTTGGATAACATAATTACACACATTGTTATGTCTGGAGAAAGGTATGTGTATTGCAGATTAGGGAATTTGGAGAGGAAAAATGCTCAGATACTGAATCCATTTATATGAAAAAAATTTGCAAGGGAAGAGGTGGGGAAATAACCCACTGAATCCTAATACTAGAGAGAGAGAGGGAGAGAGGGAGAGAGTGACTGGGGAGTGGCGGGGGGGGAGAGAGAGAGAGAGGACAAAGTTATGTTTCCCTCTTATGAAATCTCAGTGCAGTCACCCCAGGGCTGGCTGACAACAGGCCTAGGCCAACAAAGGCAGATTACACAGTGCCTCCCCGTAGCAGGCCGGCTGCCGGCAGCTGTCACTAATCCTTCAGGGGGCTGGCTGCAGGCACCTGCCAGGAAGAGCTTTAAAACCTGACAGAAGGGATGGCAGGGAAGCCCAAAAAATGCCATCAAAATGCTAAAACCACAAATAACCAAAGTGAGGAAGGCAAAGAGAAGGCTCTAGATCCTCATGTGAACTGGTGACGATCCCGAGGGAGTCCTGCATAGCTGGAGAGGGGTGCACCTGCCAGCAGTCATCAGAAGAGGCCAAAGGAGAACAAAATGTGTGAGAGCTAAAAGAAACCCTTCATCTCATGGAGGTGGGGAGTAGAGTGGTGGTTACTAGAGGTTGTGGGTGGGGAGAAGAGAGGTCGGTTATTGGGTACAAAAGTACAGTTAGATCAGACTAATAAGTTCTGTAGGCCAAGCACGGTGGCTCACACCTGTAATCCCAGGACTTTGGGAGACCAAGGCAGGAGGACTGCTTGAGCCCTGGAGTTTGAGATCAGCCTGGCAACATGGTGAAACCCCTGTTTCTACAAAAAATACAAAAATCAGCTGGGCATGGTGGTGTGTGCCTGTAGTCCCAGTTACTTGGGAGGGTGAGGTGGGAGGATCACCTGAGCCTGGGAGGTAGAGGTTGCAGTGAGCTGAGACTGCACCACTGCACTCCAGCCTGGGTAACAGAGTGGGACTCTGCTCAAAAAAAGAAAAAAAAAGTTCTAGCTTTGACAGTATAGTAGGGCAACTATAATTAACAAGAATTTACAGTAGATTTCAAAATAGCTAGAAGAGAGGACTTGAAATGTTCCCAACACAAAGAAGTGATTTATGTTTGAGGTGATAGATATCCTAATGACCCTGAATTAATCATTACACATTGTATTCATGTATGAAAATATCACATGTATCCCATAAATATGTACAGATATTGTGTATCAATTTAAAAATACATAAACACTGCAGGAGGTTTGGACGCAGTAACCAGAAAAGGAGGGAAAGTAGTGTTAACTGAGAAAAATAAGCACTAAATAGTTCAATTGGGGTTTATAGTTTATATTTACTGAGCATTTATTACCTGCCAGGAACCATTCTAAGTAACTTAGGTTTATTATCTGATTTAATTTCAACATCAGCTATGTAAGGTATGGGAGGTTATTATCTCCATTTTACAGATAAGATAATTAAGGCATTGGTGATTTAAATAACTGGCCCAGGGCCTTTCAGCTAATAAATGGCAGAGCCAATGCTCAATAAATACTAGATAATTTAATGAATAAAAGAATAACAAACCAACCTCTTCCCCCTAAAATATTTTAACAGAGTAATACATCTTTGGACATGTTTTATAGGAAATATGTCACAGTATTTGACAAAATCTCTCATAAATTGTTGTAGAATTGGAGAACTGAGGGTGGAGTGATAGTACAGTTTGGTGGGATTTGTTAACTAAGAAGGCTCAGTCCAGAATGTCTCCAGTGGCATTTTCTATTCCTGTTCCTGTTTTGTCCATTTTTTTTTAAGTCTCTGACTTGATAAATACATGCCTGTCAAATTTGAAGATGCTCTACCCTGGGAGAGATAACTGGGGTATAGAACGATATAATAAAAATTCCCAGTAATTGGGCAATAAACTAAAATGAACAGCGTGAAATTTAACAAGGATAAAGGTAAAGTCCTGCCCCAGAGGCTCAAAAAGTTAACTATTCTGTTATAACCTGGGAGAGACTCAACAGACATGGATGAAGAAGACCTTAGCATGGAAGATGGCTCCAACCTCAATCTGAGTTGTCAGTGGAATGTGACTCCTTAAGTACCAAATGCAGTCTGAGTTGTGCTGACAGTTTTATACACCCACAGTGAAGACATCCCATAATATTTTACACTGGTTAGATCACTTTTGTTTTTTGCGATGGAGTCTTGCTCTGTCACCCAGGCTGGAGTGCAGTGGTGCGATCTCGGCTCACAGCAACCTCTGCCTCCTGGGTTCAAGTAATTCTCCTGGCTCAGCCTCCCAAGTAACTGGGATTACAGATGCATGCCTCCATGCTCAGCTAATTTTTTTTGTATTTTAATAGAGATGGGATTTCACCATGTTGCCCAGGCTGGTCTTGAACTCCTGAGCTCAGGCAATCCACCCGCCTTGGCCTCCCAAAGTGCTAGGATTACAGGCGTGAGGCACCTGCCTGGCCCAGAGTGGGTTTTAAGCACATTTTAAGAGGCATACTTCTGCATGCCCAGAGAAGGGCATCTGGTGAAATCTCTGTAAACCACTTTACATTCAGAATGTAAGAAGGTATATGGATGCTTACCTTAGAAGACTGAAGCCCTAGGAGATATGTTGTAGCTGTCTGAAATTATTTGAAGAGTTATCCAAATAACTCCAAAAGGCCAAAGTATAAGATCAATGGGTAAAAATTACAGAATGGCAGACCTTCACAATGCAGAGGTATACCATGAGGATTTTTGTCCTCAAAATACCCAAGTTACTTAATTTCTCCTGCTCTTAGTTTCCTCTTCTGTAAAGCAGGGCTAATAACAGTAACTCTTTTCACAGGAATATTGTAAAATGAAGTTGAAATAAGACATGTAAAGTGTACAGCCCAGTGTCTAACATGTAGGAGTCAATTTTAGATGGTTAGTATTTACTTTACTTTATAATAACTTTAAAAACACATAGAGATGCCTAATAATGGAAGAGATTGCTTTTGAAGGCAGTGAGCAAACATCCTGCCACCGAGCATTTCTAAGTGTTTGCAGAGGAGCTGTGGAAGGGACTCAACCACTAGGTGGGGGATTGGAGTCAGTGGTCCTCAGGGTCTCAGCCATTGAATGATTCCATGATTCTATATATCTACTGACCACTGTCAAAGGTGAAAAAGTCTCAGTGTTCTCCTAATCACAGCTGAGGATTCAAAAGCCAATTGAACCACAGGTTCACCCAAAGCGTGACTTGTTCCCAAGCATTGTCACACCAGTCCCAGGTAAGGACCTTATAGGTAGACATCTTTTGTCTTTGCCTACAGTCTCCCTTCTTCCACATTCATTTTACTAAGTAATTCACTCTTAATATCAGTTCATACAATTAGGGGGAAGCTGATTCCATCTCCCAGACCCAGAGGTTGGCCAAATGCCCAGGCTTGGCCAGTGCATCCCCTTCTCCTGGCCATGAAGATTTGTTCAGAGATATACATGTGACCCACTCAGTCCAATAAAAGCTTCAGGATGGTGCTGAGGCCACTGGGAGAGATGTTTTCTTTTTCCCAAGGTTGTTAATCTTAAGCCTGGAGCACTTGGTGGCATTATTTGAGAAAGAACCTAATAGAGGAAAAAAATAATTTGAGAGATGGAAAGAAACAAATTCCTAATAAGATTATTTTAACAGCTAGATCTAGGTACTCCTGAAGTATTCCTGAAGTTACCTAAGCCAGTAAATTCATCTTTTCCTTTAAGTCAGTTTGAGTTAGGTATGTCTCTTGTGACCCAAACACTAACGGCCAATCCTCCATCCTCCTGTCTTCAGGAGAATAATAGCTACAGGAGGCTGGGGGAAAGTTACAAATTACTTTGGGAAATTCCATTTGAAACAAGAGCCCGCATATGACTGCAATGACATGGGAGACCCCAAGTGAGAACCACTCAGCTGAGTCCAGTCAACCCACAGAAGGATGAGAGATAATGTTGCTTTATTGTAGAGCTACAGTAGGTAAGTGAAACACACATTCAATAATGGAATCTCTGAGAAAATCCTAGCACATACAGTAAAAGCATAGAGCGCATGGTTAAACCTCCATTTCTTTTCTGAGCTGCTTGGTGGCTCTCACTGATGTATGATGAGTCTATAGATGCAACATGTCACTAACTCATGAACGACAAAGTCCCTCTAGGGTGAACAACCAAGTTATAGAGAATAAGAGGCCTTTTAAGCCCTTTTGTCCACCTTTCTTCATATCAGTGGTTAAGATGACAGTCCTTTGTAAATTCTAAAGAATTTTCTTTATTCTTCCTCATCCAATCCACCTCTCTCTTATTCACCCAATCTGTATTCATACCCAGTTAATCTTGTTTTTGGTCATAAAGGGACTCTGTTACAATGTCAGGTAAATCCTTTTCACCTTCCTTCAAGGGAGGAATTAAGTCAGGGAAACTGTTTTGCTCCTTGGAGTAGTTGTTCTTTAAAATGAAGTTATTGATTAGGCAATGTCTATAAAATTAAGATGTATGTACTTAAGAATCCCAATGGTAAGACTTTATTCTACGGACATTCACAAGAGTTTGCTAATATATTTGTACAAGGATGCTAATTGGAGTGTTCTTATAATTGAGGAAGGAGGAAATGAATTGTCTACCCACAGGGGACTGGTTGAAGAAATGATGGTACATCCAAATGATAGAATCTATGAAACCAGATGTTTAAAAGAAAATGAGATAGATCCGTATGTATTGATCTGAAAAGAGCTCCAGGATATACTATGATGTGGAAACAGCACTCCTACCACACTGTGCGGCTCTGGTGGGCACCATTCACACTGTGTGCTATGGGAATATTGCCCCTGTTCAAGACACCCTAAAGTACAATGTGGTTGGTGTTCCATGAAGTTGTGCAAACCTGAGGCGGTTTTGGTACACTAAAGATGTTTAAGGACAAATGGAAATGTAGGGGTATACATACATTGTTTTCCCATGGGAAAGAAAGAAAAAGCACGTAAAAATGTGCGTTTAAGAGAGGGATAAGTCAGGGGATGGGAGCTTTCACTTTTTATTTTGTACATATATATTATCTAATCAAGTACTTCTACAATTATCTGAGGTTGGGGGAGAGGAGATTATGGGCCATTTTTTTTGTTTTATTCTTTGTATATCTTTTATTTGCAAATATTAATGTGTAGCTCTTTTTAAAGAATCCACTAAGCTTTTCCAAACACCAAACATAATTTTTGAAGATCATTCAAGTCAAGTTATCCACTTTTCTCAGGGAAAGCATATTTCTCATGTTGCAACCTTCCCTGTTATGATATACTTGTTTCTACTTGTGGCCCTGAAATTCTTGGGTAGGCACATATTTTCTGTCCCTGGTGCTGTTAGAAGAATGTGGGATTGGGGTGGCAGGTGGCTGCTGCTCCTCGCCTCCCCTTGGTCAGTCCCTGCCAGGTGGCCCACGCCATCAGACTCCTTGGTGCTGCTTCCTGCATGCCAACTCTCAGAGCTTGTTTAGAAGAGAGAGATGAGTCAGCAGATTTGCCTGATGCAAGACTGGCCTGGTGCCAGCATGATGCCCTGACTGGTTTCAGCCACCCAACTTCAGCAATAACTGGGAAGAGAGGGTCAGAGCCACCTCTTGGGTTCTGGAAATGAGCTCATCTTCTTTGGCTGCCCTGAGGAGACAGACAGCCTGGCCAAGGCTGAGGAGGAGGGTTTGAAGACTCTGAACCGAGTGCCTCCAAGCCAGCACAATGAGTGGTGGGGACGGCACTGGGAAGTATGAGGAACGCCAACACCACAATAATTGCAGGCGGGAGCGCCAGTTGACAATAACTTCTTCCTCCCCCATATTTCTCAGGAACACCCTCTGTTCCATTTCCTCTGTCTCTTCTTGGCTGAGGACCACAACTATCAAAAGCCAAAGACAGGAAGAACCAAACAATAATTCAGGTACATTGATAAAGTTGGGGACTTCCTCACTGCCAGCCCTGAATCACCGTCTCTTTTCAGCGTTTTCTCCTATTGGTCAGTTGGACTGAAGGAGCCCGAACTCTGAACCTGGTACACATACTCATGCCCCATCACCTCTTCTGACAGGTGCTGTCTCCATTCCAGGCTCTTCATGAATCAACCACTCTTCATTCGCTGGGCGGGGGCCAGGTGCTCTGTTTGACTGGGTGCTCCTGCTGACTGAGGAAAGCACCACCTTATCTCGATTTTCATGGTACGGTCTTCACAGCAGCCTAAGGGTCCCCTGATCTTTTGTTGCTTTCCATGGTTTTACCTGCCTTGTACTTGAGTCGCTCCTTTTCCGAGGCAAAGGTCTATCCCCATTGTCCTTCAAGGCAAAAGCCCCAAAGACATCAAACATTAGGAGTCCTCTTGCCTTCCATGCAACAACAGTACAATTCAACAGATGGTTTTATGCCAACAGTAGCTCCTGCCTGGGGACTCTGCTTTGGAAGAGAACAGTCTCCCCTGTCAGGAGACTGCAAATGCAGCTACCACTGGGTATATAAGGGGAAGACAAGTTTACTGACTGTCATGCTTGACATTGTAAGAATTTTGATCACCTATATTCCTCCTAACAATTCTGAGTGGCAAACATTTTTCCCTCTTTTTTCATAGAAGGGGAAACTGAAGTGTGGAGGGATTCAGTCATTTGCCAGGGGAAATCAGCTTAGATAGAGTCCCAGTCTGTCTCCTGCAAATCTCTGATGGCCTCCTTCTGGGTCAATGAGTTGACCCCACATGCTAAAGAAGTACAGTAAACAACTCTTTTGCTAGTGAACTTGCAGATTGTGTGTTCAGATAGACCCAACTTGCTACCCGCACAAATGCAAAGTGAATGTGACCCAGCCTATGGTTCACTCACAATGGGGCTTGGTGCCAACCTGGCCAAGAGATGGCAAGTCGCTACCTGTGGCAAATACCGTCCCTGCCTTAATCTTAATTCCATGAAACTCTCTCATGTAAGATTGAAGGAAAAACAAAGGAAGCTGCGAAATCCTCCCAAGCTCCAAAATTCAGGGCCTTTAAGCCAGTGGCCCAGTTAACATGTTCCTTCTTGTGATGGCAACCCCAATTGATATAAGCCATTGTCCTTCCAGGCTACGTAGGCCTGGCCTCAGAGCCTTTCCCTACTCATAATAATATGGCTGAAAGACTGCTTAGGGACTGCTGGCCCCGGGAGACACCTTCCTTTGGGTGACGATAGCAGCAGCTGTTCCATTTAGAAAAGCACTGTGCAGGCCTGGCTTTTGGCCCCATGGTTGTTATCATGAGGCTAGAAGGGAGCCTCTTGGGCCCCAGCTCTGGCCAAACCATTATAAAAGTCAAATTTCAAACAGAGTCAGCTCTCAATTATTCAGACTAATGGTTCAGTTTGTAGATGTTCTTCCCCTTCTTCACTCTGTCTCTAGCCTTCTCTTTGCCAGCTGCCTTTAGGCTCTCATCATTAATACACCCACCAGAGGAGGATTAGGCAGAGGACATAAGATCAATCAATGTTAGAGCCTGTGGGTGATTACAGTAAAGGATTTGTTTAAGAAGCAGGTGGAGTGTGGATTTTACGTATTCTTGCTAATCCCATTCCCACCTATTATGGACAATAGAAAACTGCCTTGAGTTCTTTGAGCCCCTCTGATTTGCTGTCTTGCCAGGAGAAAACAATAGAAAGACCAAAATCTACATGCCCAGAGCCAGGGGGTCCCAGGCTGAGACTAACTGGGCTGAGAAGGCAGCCACACCTGGCACCAGACCATCCTGCAGGCCCAGGGTGCAGTGCCTATCTACCCGGAAGCTTTAGGGTGTCCAAGGGCGAGAATACAGTCATGGGTTCTTAGTTTCTGTTTCTGGTTGGACCAGTAAAGCTCCTTCCTCATCCTTCTTATCTGCTTATTACTAGAGACAGAAACTAAAAACCATGGCTTCAGGCTGCTAAAAGCCTAAAACAAAACAAAACAAAACAGAACAACAAAAACAACAAAATAAGGCCAGTTGGACAAAGTTGTCTCTTACGGTGGACAGCAGACATTGGGTTTGCGATAAATAAAACACTCAGGGCTTTTCTCCCTTGAATGGTTGAAATTGTGTGTTTCCAGACCAAATAAATTAAGAAATAAAACATGAAAACTAATTCTAAAAGCATAATTCACAACTGTAGCAGTAGGCCCGTCTTTCTCAGCAAAAAAGACTTGCAAGGTTTAGGATGGGTTGCACGCCCAACATAAAGAGCAAAAAAGGAGACTATGACTTTCCTTTATTTTATTAATAATAATAAAAGCTCATATATTTATACCTAAGCGCCAGATGCTAGGCTTACTGAGATATATGAACTGTCTTATTTAATCTTTACAACAACCTTGGGAGGTAAAAACAGCAAATGAGACTTAGAGAAATTCAGTGACTTGCTCCAGGTAGCAGGTTGGAGTAGGTTGTCCCATCCAGTTGGTCGACCCCACGGCCCTTTGATCTACCACATTGTTCCACCTTTTCTACAGTGTGATCCAAGCTACATGTTTTAGCCTCTTCTCTTGACCAAAACTAGAATAAGCACGATTACTACCATCATCACCACAAAAACCCCAGTAGCATAGTTGTGAATTCCCACTCCCCCCACTTTCTGTTCCCTCCATATGGCCTCTCTCATGTTTTTTTTTTTTAAATACTCACCATTCTCATTTATTTTTATTTAATTAATTAATTTTAGTTATTTAGAGACAGAGTCTTGCTGTTGCCTGGGTTGGAGTGCAGTGGCACCATCATAGCTTGCTGCAGCCTCAAACCACTGGGCTGAATGTCCTCCCACCTCAGCCTCCTGTGTAGCTGGGATGACAGGCACATACCACCACACCCAGCTAATTAAAAAAAATTTTTTTTGTAGAGACACGGTCTTGCTATGTTGCCAGGCTGGGCTGGAACTCCTGGGCTCAAGCAATCCCCACTCCCACCCTCAGCCTCCAGGCTCCCATATGGCCTCTTGATTTCCACATTTCTAGCCTGAGGTCTCCTGTATTCTGCTAGACAAGCCATTCCATTTAGCAGAGGACTGTGTGCATCGCACGCTTCTTGTATTTGTGCTTTCAGCATTGTTAGTTGTTCTTATATTGTTATTTCACTTTTTCTGTGTGTTTGTTTAATCTCCCCAGAGTGAATCCATGGGAGGGAACCTTGTCATGCGTCATGCATGTTTTAATTTGTCACTGTTTCTAGCTTGATGCCAGGTATACAGGAAGTCTATAATACCCATTTTCTGATTACTTGGTTAATTGGGAATAAAAACCACGTAGAACATACCTCTGTTGAGCTTGCCGTGTTGATTAACACAGCACTGGGCGTATATAGCAGATACTCAGAAAATGTTTGTTAAGTATTTGAGTATCTGACTACCTGGAAGAGGAATGAGTCCAACAGTTACCAGCAGGTATATGCACTTTATATATATTATCTACTTTAAATCTCATGATAATTCTGTGTGGTAAGTGTTTTCTTTCTTTTCTTATTGTTTATTTCTCCAAGAAAAAATGAGGTAGATATTATTTCTACTTTTCATATAGCTGTGGGAGAAAAAAGAAAAGAACATTTTTATCTGAGGAATATGAACCCCTTTATCAGGTCCAGAGAGGCACTGGAATGAAAGGGCTGTCAGGTCACTCCCCCTTGAGTGAAATAATTGTCGTGAAGCCACTTGCTATGCAAGTGCTAGACTAACTGAAGGCAAGTGGCCATAACATGCCATACATACTGTAGTTCACAAGGTATAGATAATCACGAACCAATGTTATTTCTGCAAACCAATGAGAATTCCTGATGAACAACAACATTTGTAATCTCCCCCTCCTGATTTGTCCTTTTTCTCTTTAAACACTGGAGCCTCTCTTTTGTTCTCCAGAGCACTCCCCAAGGCAACTCGAAAGTGTGTCCCGGGCTGGAGGCCTCAACCTTGGCCCAAATAAACCTTTTTTTTTGAGACGGAGTCTCGCTCTGTCGCCCAGGCTGAAGTGCAGTGGCACAATCATAGCTCACTACAGCCTCAAACTCCTGGGCTCAAACAATCCACTAACCTCAGCCTCCTGAGTAGCTGGACTACAGATGCGTGCCACCACACCCAGTTGATTTTTGTATTTTTAGTAAAGACAGGGTTTCACCATGTTGGCCAGGCTGGTCTCAAACTCCTGACCTCAAGTGATCCGCCCACACTCGACCTCCCAAAGCCTGGGATTACAGGCATGAGACACTATGCCTCGCCCCAAATAAACTCTCCATTAATTTTGCCTCAGGTTCTACCTTTAGGTCTATACAGCCCCACATCCTCCCCTGGTGATACTGAAGCTAGGATTCACATGCAGGGCTCTTGGCAGCAGGGGGAGGAGGACAAGGGCGCCAACTAGGATGTCAGCCTGGGACCAGCAAGGATTGCCCCTGGAGACATCCTGGGTTGGTCATAAGGTTAGGAAAGCAAGGATCTAGGATCTGACAGGCCAGGACCTAGGGGCAACTGAGAGGTAGGCCTCGGTGTCTCCAACAGCAGCCCCCAGGAACAGCCTGTGGGGAGTTTCTGTTGACCTAGACCCTGGACCTAGTTCTGCCACCAGGCTCTACCCATATTAAGACTTGCTCTTTGGGCAAATGACAGCAACCACTCCAGCCTATGACTTTCCAATTGTTCCTGGACCTAAGCTGGTTCCAGTTGGATAAATCTGCATCAGAACAGAGAGGGATCCCTGGGAGTCTGTGGGAACTTGGGGGAATGGCAAGATAAGAGACAGCCGGATTAAAAGATTTAACAAAGAAAGCATTGCTTTCCATGGGACAATGCCCAGAGAGCTGGTTTTGAAGCTTTTGTGGAGTGGGATTTGTTTAGCCCAGGAACAAGAGGGTTTATATTTACCTAAGCCTCCACTGCTAGTCTGCTTGTCTTTTGGGAGACTGGGACTGTTCTAGGGTTCCTGGTCCATCCCACCCATGCTTTCCTCACAGCTTCCAGTCCCTGCCTGCTCCCATTTCAAGTTTGAAAATTTCTCTTTACGGGAAGGCTGTTAGGGGAGACAGACTTCCACAGCATGTGGGTGTGAGGGAGGATGAAAGACAGTGTGGTTCCCCAAGCCCCACCCCAACCAGCCCTAGCATGCACGTGGACACACACAGCTTCCATTCTGCCAGAAGAGATGGGTGCTGTCTTTCCCTGGGCTGCAAGACAGAGGCAGCCAGACTGGCCTACACAGGTTCCTTCCTGTCCTCTTTTCAGGAGTCTAGGCTTCTCAATTGGGACCTCATCTCCCCGCTGCCTGTGCACAGTGAGGTAGATTATAAACTCTAGGAGGGCAGATAGCATGACTGCCTTATTCACCAATGCTGGCGTATGAATTTAGTTGAATAAATGATTTGACGGTGTTTCAGGTATATCTATTAACCTGGCCCTCTCTGCAGTGCTGTGGTCCAGTGATTATACAAATATGCAGGCAGCGTGGGGGACTGGGGAAGTGGGGGGAACTGTGAATCTGCTACACAGGTCTGAGTGCTCATCAGTTCTCAGAGTGTGGAGTATGCGCTGGCTCTTCCAGCCTCCTTCACCTTACAGATGAGGAGCCAGGCCCGGGGAGGGAGGGAACCTCACCTCAGATGCAATCTCCACATGCCTCTTCACTCCCCTTCATGAGCCTGTAATTACTCTCCATGGCCTACCAAGTCCTACCTCCTTAGCCTGACACCCAAGGCCCCCACCAAACACCAACTTCATTCTCTAGTCTCAATTCTCCCCACATAAAAACCCCTTCTCTCAACTGTCCATGACATCTGGTACTTCAAGCACTAGGTAGTTCCTCGATCTCCATTGCCCTTTCTTTCTCCTCTTCATTTGAGAAACTTCTTTGCACTTTGGGTTCCATAGCCATCACCTCCTCTAAGATGTCTTCCTGGGATGCTTCCAGGTGGGCTCAGAGGAGACCCAGCCTTGAGTCTCAGAGTACCCTGTATCCTCTTCTGTGGTATACTTATCACATGCAATTGCGATGTAATTGTATTGCTTGGCTTCCTCCCTCATCTTCCTGCAGATCTTTGAGAGGAAGGCTCTTCTCTTTCACCCCCTAACACAGTGGCTGCCTGCCACACAATAGAAGCTCAAGGAATGTTGTTGAATGATAACAGTCACAATTTAATCAAACCAGGTACTTGTTAAAAGGTCTTTCCCTATATTAACCTATATTTTTTAGAGTATGTATTATTATAATCATCATGACCACCCCATTCTTGTGGAGAGGGAAGGGAAGCACAAGCAGCAGGCAGTGGGGCCAGGAGCAGAATGAGGCAGTCTGGCCTGAGGGCACAGGGACGCTAGCACCTCACCATCTCCTCCTGCCGGAGCCTCTTCTCTGGTCCATTGTCAGTCATGCTCTCAGCCATGCTCGGTCCCGCCTTCTCAGGAATCCTCCCCCTCTCCACTGCCTTTTAAAATTATAACGGTCTCTCTAGACCTAGTCACATTTTCCATGACCACTTTCTTTGCCCTCCAGCCCAAACAGCTCAATCTTGACCTCCCACAGCATTAAAATCAACATGTAGTTAACTACGTACTTTGATTCCTCCCTTAATTGTGTTGTAACATCGCATTCTTTCCAACACAAAGGCTGCTATGTGCTCCTTCAGGCAAGGGTCTGTGTCTCATGTCTTTTGTGTCTTCCCTCCCTTGTGCCCAGTGGACTGTCAGGAGCATGATAGTGCTCAGGAAATGCTTATCAATATTTGACAAAACACCTCAAAGTTGCATTGCATCTTTGCAGATGATTATGGCTATTTGATAGCCGTCATCATGTTGAAACATTGGCTTCCCCTCCACTTTTGGATGTGTGTTTGTCGGTGTTCTGATCTCAGGGTACATAGACAGCAGACTGGATTTGGGAGATTTTATGTAATGTACGATTCTTTGTCCTGTTCTCTGCAGATCAGAACTTTATTTGCAAATCTCTGAGTAACTCGATTCTTCTTTGTCCCACTCTCCCTTCGATTTCCTCACTTGACCCCTAGAGAGAAGGAAGGAGGTTCATACAGAACAGCTGTGGAGCTGAACTAGGAAGAGATAAGAAATAAAACAGAAAGGTGTGTCCAGGAAGGAGGCCTATAGCTCAGCTGGGGACAGGCATCAGATCTCATGTGCCCTATCTCCTTTTCTGGGGACACCCTTAATGGCCGGCTATTTTGCCACCCTGTTTGAAGGATCATATTGGAAGACATAAAAAGAGAATTGAAAGACCACTTAGTACCTGACTTGGGGAGTCTCTCTCTGGGTTTCAGGTTTTTTGCTTGAAAAATGGTAATAATAATGTCTAGCCTACTTACCTCATTGTAGCTTGTTGTGTGGGTTAAGTGAGAAAAGAATGTGAGAGCAACTCTGTGGACTAAAGTACATCCATTCATTCATTCATTTAATAAATATTTATTGAGCACTCACTATATGCCAGACACTGAGTTAGGCAATGGGGATGCAATGGAGGGCATTTTACCAACAAATGTAGTTTCTGCTCTCATGAACCCTACAGTCGGGTGGGGAAAAATGGCTTTAATCAGATAATCACACTACTGGGTAAATACTTGAGATATTAGGAAAGGGACATGGTTCCTTGCAACAGTGTGACAAAGGAACAGGTCACATGATATGCCTTGTTGCTGTTATAACCTAGGCAGTGGTTCTCACATTAAGACTTGCAAAAGTTACCTGGGAAGAATGTTTAACATTCAGATTCCTGGGCCACAAGCTCAGGGAATCTGATTTAGTAGATCAAGAATCCCCTCCAGAAATTTACATTCTTAATGCACTCCTCTGCCCCACTTCTCTAAATAATTCTCACATAAATGGTCTTTGGGGAAATTTAAAGAAAATGTGACCTAAAGTTAGGGTGGGGTCTTGAGGACCGATGTCTATGAAGTCTCTGTTGACAGTGTGTGTTTCTAAGCTGGTTCCACTCCAGGCTGTTCCTGAAATGTGTTTGATAAGCCAGATTTTTGTCCTCTTGCTTAAGCTAGTTTGAGTTAGGTTTCTGTCACTTAAATCGACCACATCCTGACCAACTTAGGTCCTTGATGATCTCAGTGACCATCTATTGTAATCTCTGCTAGCTGTGTGGGTCTGCAGCAGTGAAGTTATAATTTACTGTTGCCATGGTTACTGGCTCTGAGCAGGAACATAGAGAAGCCCTCCCACCTTTACAGCTCCTCATACTTTTTGGTAGACAAAAAGTCTACCAGCTTTTTGTAAGCATCTGTGATAAGTGTTATGCACAAAACACAAATATCAGCAACTATTCTCAAAATATTAATTTCTGACCGAACAAGGTTGCTCATCATGTCTATGACCAAGCACAAAAAATTTTGGTTAAATAATAAAGACTCATGTTTGTGATCACCCCACAGAGTCAGAGTTGGGTGTTAGGGCTCTGGAGTCCACATTCTGAATTTGCATCCTGGCTCTGCTACTCTCTGGCTCTGCGATGTTGGACTAAATCGCTTCACTTCTCTGAGTCTGTTTCCTCATCTATACAGTGAGTGCAATGAATAAGATTTACCTCATTGGGTTGTTGTGAGGATTGAATGCATTATGTATGTAAAGAGTTTGGAACAGTACCTGCCACACAAGCCGGGCTCAATAAGTATTAGCTATTATTACCTGGACTTGAATGTGCTTCCAATTGCAATCCCTACATTGGCTTTCCCAGCCTGATGACCTTTTACCCACATACCCACATTAGGAAATCTTGTTTGTAATTGCACTTCACTTTTTTCCTGCTAATAAATAATATTTTCCGTCTAAATCTACTGTTTACCTTCTGTCCCCCAGAATTTAGGCCCTTCAACACTTCCCCCTTTTCAGCCAATTCAGTGCTTGCTTCTTTTTATGAACTCCCAAGTCTCGGTGATTCCACCTTCCTGTGCCCTCAAGGCTCCAGTTTGAGCCTTTCTCACTGCGTATGTCTTCTCAATATGACCAAGAGTTTCCAGAGACCACAAAGAAGCTTCAAGTACATGTATGCCCCCAGAGCCTAGTACACACCGTCATGACCACTGAAGCCCTGTACCAGGAAGTAGCTGGCTAATGCCATAACTCATTCCATTCTTACCCAACCCCTGAACCATAGTTTCCTAATGTTAACTGGGGATGATGCTACCTACTTAACTGGATTGCTATAAAAATTGGAGGTGATGATATGGGCAAAGCCAGGTTAATGCTCAATAGCATTTACTATAGTATTATTATTTTCTACACCTGTAGAGGAAATAAAACAAATGAAAGTGCCTGCACTGGTTGAAGACTCCTTCAACTGTCACTTCCATTGTGCTCTACAATTCTCTTTCTCTCTTATTGTGGTAAAATACACATATCCTTAAATTTACCATTTTAACCATAGTTCACTTATGTTAAGCACATTGACATCATGGTGCGCACCATCTCTACAACTCTTTTCATTTTGCAAAACTAAAACTCTGTACCCGTTAAACAGCAACTCCTCCTCCCTCCTCCCCCTAACCCCCAACAACCACCATTCTACTTTCTGTCTCTGTGACTTTGAGCACTGTAGTTACTTTGAATGAGTGCGTACAGTCCTGTATGAGTACGGTACTTGTTCTTTCATGCCTATTTTATTTCACTTAGTGTAATGTCCTCAAAGTTCCTCCATGTTGTAGCATATGTCAAAATTTCCTCCCTTTTTAAGGCTGAACTATACTCCACATTGTTTTCATCCATTCATCCATTAACGGGCCCTTGGGTTGCTTCCATGTTGTAGCTATTGTGAATAGCGCTGCTATGAACATGGACATACAAATATCTCCTTGAGTTTCTGCTTTTACTTCTTTTGTGTAAATACCCAGAAGTGGAATTGCTGGATCATATGGTAGCTTTATTTTTAATTTTTTGAGGAACTTCCACAAAGGTTGCACCATCATACGTTCCCATCAACAGTGCACAAGGTTTCCAATTTCTCCACATCCTCACTGACACTTGTTATTTTCTAGGTTTTTCTTTTCTTTCTTTCTTTTTTATTTTTTAATAAGCACTATCCTAGTGGGTTGAAGTGGTCCATAATTGTCTTTTAACCCTTAGGGGGCTTCTCTGACCAAGGACAAGCTTCAGGGGCAGATTTCTCGATCACAGCCCCAGGGAGTGAGTGGATTTTGACAGAGGGAACACAGGCCCCAGAACCACACTCCCTGACTCATTTACTCATCAGAATTACCCTAAATTCTAGCATCTTAGTTTCACAAGTGAGAAAACAGACTCAGTGTGGTTAAATGGTCTTTCCACGACACACAGCTGGTATTCGAACTGGGCCCCACACCACATAGGTGTGGAAGAACTGCGGTGTATGTCAGCATTCACACTGTACAACCTGAGTTCAAGGTAAGGACATTTTCTCTCTGATTCTCCCTGAGCAATACAACCCTGGGCAGAAGCTTCCACCACCCCTAGCCCACAGCTGTTCAGGCACCTGAAGGACTGGGTGAATAGGCAACAAAGCTGACTGCATTTATTATTTAAGCAAGCATCCCAGTGCACCTGTTGTGGTATTATGTTCTATTTATGATTACAATAAAATGTGTAGTCCCAGCATTAGAAGGTTTATGAGAGTTTCCTCAACTCTAAAACTCAGAGGGAGGGAGGGGCAGGTGCCAGCCAGCTGGGGTCCCTTCAAATGTGACTTGGTTGCAGTGACGGGCATAAAATTGATGCATTGGGCTTGGTTTTGCCTGATTTTTGTCCAAACAGCAGCAGTTAGGGAACTCTCCCTCTGGCACAGCTGGGTGGGGTCACTGAGATATGAATGCTTGGTACAGAGTGGTGAACCAGGAGATAAGGCAGGGAAAGGCTCCCCAGGATCCCAGCCGGAGAGGACTGGTCCCATCCAACCCAGCCTAGCAGTCGGCTGGCCTGTTCTACTTGGAAGTCTTTGTCCCAGACACAGGTATCTTAACTGCACCCTAAGGGATTACTGGTCATTCAACCTGCAGCCCTGGTAGAAGCCTTGGGAACCTTTTAAAAGTGAACACATAATTACTTCATTATGTCTCTCAGCCACAGGTTAGCTAGACTCCACTGTCTTCATGCCTGTTCTATTTATTTCAGAAATGACCATCACTGTTGTGACGTAGGTGTGGAGGGGCTAGAGGCCAGCCCAGTGGGAACTGTACCCTCAAGGAAGGCTAGGACAGGGACCAAGGGGTTCTGGCAAGCCCAGCTTTCAACAGCAACATGGAGCAGATGACAGTGGAGGAAGGGCCTGAGGCTTTACCTGAAAGGAAGCCCAGGAAAGGTCTAAGTGATAAAGGAATCTTTATGGATGGGGTCCATAGTTGCTGTGGCTTTGACACAAATTGTGCAAATATCACAATCCATGAGCTTGAAAACCAAATGGGGAAAATGAAAAGGTATGTGGACAGCTGGGGATGCAGAGGGATCTGTCACGGGCCTCTAATCAAAAGGAATGCCAGGGCAGAATGTGTGGTCAGTTATCAAAACATTACAGTATACTTTGGGAGGCTGAGACGAGAGGATCACTTGAGCTCAGGGGTTCCAGACCAGCCTGGGTTACACAGTAAGACCTTGTCTATACTAAAAATTAAAATTAAAAAAATTAGCTGGGCATGGTGGCACACACCTGTTTTCACAGCTACTTGGGAGGCTGAGGCAGGAGAATCGCTTTGGAAAAGGGAAGCTAGGTGAATTGAAAGAAAGAACAAGGCACCTGCATTTTGCTGTCAAGACACTCTCCCCCAGGCTCAGGTTTCTTCATGCTCAGCTCCTATTTTAGGCTTGGTGACTCAATAGCATCTTAGTCCTGGGAAGGACTTAGGGGCCAACTGGTCCAGCTGCACCATTTCACGATGGCTCACAAAAGGAAGGTAACTTGCCTAGTGTTACATAGATAGCTAGTGACAAAGTTCAGACTAAAACCTTGATTTCTTCACTCTCATTGCAGTGTTATTTCCATCACTTCATATGGTTTCAAAATTGCGCATTTCCCAGATCCCTCCTGTAAGACTTTGTCCCAGGACCCAGCACTGTAGACCCTTTGGACAGAAGCCAGCACCTCAAGGAGAGGCAGGAGAGGAGCACCTGGGGAGGCTGGGGGATGGGTCTGCCCTGCAAGTTAATTTTATTCACTTCAATGGGACCGAATGGAATCAGAGCATTAACGTGGTGAGTGTGTCTCAGAGCTGTCTAAACCAGTCCTGAATACTAACCAGGGAGCTTAGATGGAGCTAAAAATAACTGGCTAATCACCACCAGGAAGAATTAACAAGGATTCTGAAGAAAGGAAAATGTCTTAATATTCCATCTCTCTAGCAGCTGGGCTCCAGCTGGGACTGAAGTCTCCTCCTGGCTTCCACAGGGCAGGTAATTAGGCAGTGCAGAAGCTCCCGCACTTAGAGGAGCTGAAGTGTGGCTGGGGGGTGGGGGGCGGCCCAGCCTTCAGGAGGGTAAACGGAACAGGGTTATTTGGGGTGATGTGAGTTGGAAAACTGTGAACACAAAAGCAATGTGCTGTGGCAGGAGGCAGGTTTTGAAGAATAAAGTAGTTGTTGCAGTTTACAGCCCTTCTCCAAGAAAGCAAAATCCTTAATTAAAGGAAAATATCATTGTATTTTGCTCTGCAAAATCCTGAGAGTCTTCCCTTCCCTAGTGCATAAAGACCTGGGTCTGAAGGCACCACTGAGGTTCACGCACTGGGGACCATGTTGAAATGGGGTCCCCCTAGCAATTTCCCTCTTTGGACAAGGATCAAGGCAGACCCACAATAGACTGAGCACTGTGATAGAGCAGAGCATGTGAAACCACGAAAGGCACAGCTAGAATGATTCATTCACATAACTTGAAAGAGTAGGATTAGGAACAATGATTACATGTTGTAAAAGGTCAGTTGAAAAGAAATAAAGAAATATTATTTTGTAAAGGGCAGGGTAATGTTCAAAGTTTACTTCCTCTATAAAGTTGTAAACTATAAAGTATATGGGACAGGTTTCAATCAATTTAGAAGTTTATTTTGTCAAGGTTAAGGATTATGACCTGTGGCACAGCCCCAAGAGCTCCTGAGAGCATGTGCCCAAGGTGGTTGGGTTACAGCTTGATTGTGTATGTTTTAGGGAGACACAAGACATCAATCAATACATGTGAGGTAAGCATTTGTTGGGTCCAGAAAGGCAGGACGTCTCTAAGCAGTGGATGCGGGGGCTTTCCAGGCCATAGGTGGATTCAAAGATTTTCTGATTGGCAATTGGTTGTAAGAGTTACTACCTAAAGGCCTGTAATCAATAGAAAAAAGTTGTGGAGACTGAGGTTCTTAGTACATAGAGGAAGTTTCATAGGTGGCCACTCTTACAGGCAATAGATGGCCATGTTTCCTATTCAGACCTTTAAAAGGTGCTAGACTCTCAGCTAATCTCTTCAAGATCAGAAAAAGACCTGGAAAGGGAAGGGGATTCTCTACAGAATGTGAATTTCTTCCACAAAAGACAGCTTTGCAGGACCATTTCAAAGTAATGTCAAAGAAATATATTTTGGGATACAATATTTTGATTTCTTTCAAGTCCTGCTATCTGCCATGTGATGCTACACTAGAGTCAGGTTGGAATTTGGTATCTTATTGCTACAAAGAGTCTGTGTTGTCAGTCTTAAGATCTCTCTTTTAATGTTACTGCTGGTCAGTTGTGCTTGAACTCCAAAGGGAGGAGAGTTCAATGAGGCATGTCTGACACTCCCTTCCCATCATGGTCTAAACTAGTTTCTCAGGTTTCTTTGGAATCCCCTTAGCCAAGATGGGGGTCCATTCAGTTGGTTGGGGGCTTAGAATTTTATTTTTGGCTTACAAGGTATAAATGGATTTAAATAAATAAGTATACTTTGGTGAAAGCAGCAGTCACCAACCTTTTTGACACCAGGGACCCGTTTTGTGGAAGATAATTTTTCCATGGATGGGGCAAGGGTGATGATTTTAATGTTCCAACTCAGAGCATCAGGCATTAGATTCTATAAGGAGCGTACAACCTAGATCCCTCACATGCAGAGTTCACAACAGGGTTTGCACTCCTATGAGAATCTAATCAGGAGTTAATGCTCGCTTACCTGTGGCTCACCTCCCCGGACCTGGGGGAGGTGGGTTGAGGACCCCTGGGTTAAAGGACTCATGAATGACAAATGCATTATTAAAAACAACTGCCAGTGAGAAACTGTGTGGGAGCACATCTCTAACTATTCAATTTCACATCGTGACAACATAATATTGGTTGTGATGCATCCCCCAGTCCCTGTACTTGGTGAGTTCAGGGGCTGCATCTGCTGGGATCTAAAAAAAAAAAAAAAAAAAAGGGCAGAGTGATGTAAGGGAAAAAATTGTGGATTTTAAAAAGAAGAAGAATATGGACTTTGGATGCAGAAGACAGATTCAAGTCCTGCTTCACCAATTTTTAGCTGGATGTCCTTGGCAAAATAACTTTCCTCTCTGGGCCTTTATTTTCTCACTTGCAAATGTAGATGGTAGGAATATCAGTTTCTCTAGGTTGGAGTGAGGATCAAACCACCTAACACAGGTAAGAACACTTCATTCATTGTAACAAGTGGTACAGATATTAATGACTCTTATCCTGTGGCAAGAGACTGACATGAGCTGGTCAGGACTGGGCAATCTTTCTAATCCACAGATCAGGACAAAAAAGCATTTAATGCTCAGTCTCCATCTCTACACCTACTTCCCACCACAGTCCTCCTTGGTTAGGAGGGTCTCATCATCCTACTTTCTTTTTTTGCTGTGTATTCTGACCCCAGGACTCTAGTGACTGGGTCCACCACCACCATGGCCTATGGGAAGGGTGCTATTGGTGAGTTGCAAGGAGGCCAATTTCTGGACCCCATTGAGTCTCTTGTGTTGTTTTCTCACAGGCAGAGAGGCCCCCACCTGCTGCATGAGTCACATTTAATCCCTAGGGAAAAGAGGGTAGTCTCAATTTTAGAAGAGAAAGCCTTCAGAGGATTCTTCCTGGGGTGCTAGAGAAAGCTGGATTTGGAGTTATAAAAGATCCACTGGTCTTGTATTGCTTCTCATCCCAAATCACTAAATTTTTTTTTTGTCTGTCTGACATTATTCAAAACTCCTAGATGGCATAATGGCATTAAAAGAGAAAAGAGTAGAAATCAGAAAACCTGGTTAAAATTGCAGCTGTGTCACTCCCTAGTTGTATGATATTGGGAAATAATTTAAGAACACTGAGCTTCATCTGGTAAGAGGAGAAAGAGGTTCTTCTTGTTATCTCATAGGGCTGCTGTGGGGTTCAATTGAGGTAATACATAGGTGACAGTTATGAACTATATTATCTCATTCAGATGTGAGGGTAATTCATTTTTTTCAGCTGTTAGGTAGATGATAATTCATTAACAGCTTGCATTAGCATGGCACCTTTTCTTTTATGGTCGAGTTTATTAAGGCATAAATTATTGCATGAAGTTTGCCCTTTTAAGAGTTTTGACAGAAACCCAGTTGTGCAAGCACCAATACAGGGGCAATCACTGATTTGTTTTCTGCCTTTATAGTTTTACTTTTTTCAGAATGTCATATAAATTGAATCATACAGCAGGAAGCCTTTTGAGTCTGGCTTTTTTTCACTTAGCATAATGCATTGAGGTTCATCCAGGTTAATGTATATATCCAGGAATTCATTCCTTTTTATTGCTGAGTAATATTTCATTCTAGGGATGTACTATACTTTCTTTATCCATTTGGGTTGTTTCCATGAATAAACCACTATTAACATTTGTCTACAGGTTTTTGTGTGATCATAATTTTTTACTTTTTTGGGCAAATACCTAGGAGTGGAATTGCTGGGTCACGTGGTAGGTGTTTGTTTAACTTTATAAGAAACTGACAAGGTTTTTAAAGAGTGGTTGTAGCATTTTGCATTCTAGCACAGCACTTTAAAAAATCCTAAAAAATTCAAAACACTGATGTATTTAATTTAATTTTATCCTCCAATAAGCTCTGTGAGATAGGGCAGGTAAATATTTCTATTCTTTTGCAATAGGTGGGAGCTTGAGGGCTAAAGAGGAGAAATGGCTGGCCAAAGGTCAATGTGGCAGAGCTGCTACTGTTCCCAATATATTATCCTCTCTCCTTCTTCCTTTGAGCAAAGGGTCCCTTGATCCCCACTGAGTTTTGGCTAAGCACAGAGTACCCATACAGAATCTACATTTCCCTGCTTCCCTTGCATACAGGAGTGGGCCATAAGACTAGAATTTGGGATATGAGTAGGAGTGATACTCCAATTTGCTTCCTACAGGCTTTCTTTTTTGTTTTGTTTTTAATTTTTTTTTTAATTTTTGAGATAGAGTTTTGCTCTGTTGCCCAGGCTGGAGTGCAGTGGTGTGATCTCGGCTCACTACAACCTACGCCTCCAGGGTTCAAGCGATTATCTTACCTCAGCCTTTTGAGTAGCTGGGGTTATAGGCATGCACCACCACGCCCTGCTAATTTTTTTTTTTTGAGACAGAGTCTCGCTCTGACGCCCAGGCTGGAGTGCAGTGGCATGATCTCGGCTCACTGCAACCTCTGCCTCTTGGGTTCAAGAGATTCTCTTGCCTCAGCCTCCTGAGTAGCTGAGACTACAGGTGTGTGCCACCATGCCTGGCTAATTTTTTGTATTTTTAGTAGAGACAGGGTTTTACTGTGTTAGCCAGGATGGTCTCGATCTCCTGACCTCGTGATCCATCCACCTTGGCCTCCCAAAGTGCTGGGATTACAGACGTGAGCCACCGCACCTGGCCAATTTTGGTATTTTTTTTTAGTAGAGATGGGGTTTCACCATGTTGACCAGGCTGGTCTCGAACTCCTGACCTCAAGTGATCTGCCGGCCTCAGCTTCCCAAAATGCTGGGATTACATATGTGAGTCACTGTGCCTGGCCCATGCTGACTTTCTATACTAATTTTTCATATTCTCTTTTCTCTTTCCTGCTAGCTGGAATGTGGTTGTGGCTGCAACTTAACTTGGATTTGCAGATGGAGACAGTACAAAGTGGAAGAAACCTAGATCCTCGATTGATCTCATAGAACAGAGCTTCTCTGTCAGCCAGGGCCACCAGACTGTTATGTGTCTTTTACTTACTCCAATGTAATTTTGGGGTCTCTTTGTTATTGCAGCTTAACATTTACCCTGGCTAATACAGTCCCATATCACATTAGTGGAAACACATTATAGCCGGTTCACACAACTTCATCCATCTTATTCAAAATATTATTAAGAAAAAAATTGGCTTTGCTAAAATATAGATATGCCATGTCTATATCAATCCCCTGATCTAACAGTTTGATAACCCCTATCAAAGACAACAGTGAGTCCAGGAAGTGGTATTAATATAATGAATGTATTTTCCATGAACCCTTATTAGCTCCTACTGATCACATCTTCTAATCTTCCCAACCAACCATTTGCATTTCTCTAGGTGCATACCTTTTCCAACCTCATGAATGTCTGGCCTACTGGTCTATGATGAGAGGCATTTATTTTATTCATAGAGATGTTCATCTGGAGGACTAGCAAGAAATGAGGTTGTTAGAGGTGAGAATGGTTACTCAAAGTCTGTAGAGGTAAAATGGAATCACTTGGACTTCATGGGTTAAGCAGGAGGCAGAAGGGGACCGAGAAGATAAAAATGTAGTTTAAAGAAGATACTCTGGCAGTTGTGTAGTGAGTAGATTGGAGGAAAAGGGTCCAAGAGTAGGAGGCCCACTCAGGAGGTGTCTAAGTCCATTTGGGCTACTATAACAAAAATACCAGAGACTGGGTGGCTTTAAAAAACCCAGGCATTTATTCTCAGAGTCCTGGAGGCTGGGAAGTCTAACATGAAGGTGCCAGCAGATCTGGCGTCTGGTGAGGGCCCCCCTCCTTGACCATAGCCAGCTGTCTTCTCACTGTGTCCTCACATGGCGGAAGGGCTGAGGGAGTTCTCTGGGGTCTCTTTTATAACAGCACTAACCCCATACATGAAAGCTGAGCCCTCATGACCAGTCACCTTCCAAAGGCCACACTTCTTCATGCCATTGTCTTGGTGGTGAGGATGTCAACCTATGAATTTTGGGAGGACACAAACATTCAGTCCACACCAGGAAAAAATTGTGATAGATAGCTATGGGGAGCTGGAGAGTGTGAAGGAAGAGCTCGGTGACTGTACATCGTGTGAGAGAACAAGGAGCCAGCACTGAGGAGGAAGTGGATGGGCTAGCCTTCGCTTACAGGGCCCCTGAACCAGGCTGTTAAAAGCCTCTCCCAGGGCCACCCACAGCCCCCACGCATTCCCTGTCCTGCTTTCCTGGTGAGTACTTACTAGCAACTCCATATTTGTTCAGTCTTCAAATCACGGAACAAGAGCCAAATAGGGCCTGACCTATCCTCTAGTAACACAAAATATGCCAACCAGGACTCCTGAATACGAGAGCAGCAGGTGAAGGACAGGGGAGGTTCCGATAGGTCATGGGGAGCACTTCGGGCCTAAAGATGAGTATGTCTTACTGAAGGTGGTATTTGAATTAGTAGAGTAAATCCCACCAAATAATCACATATAAAGAAGTGATTCGATTTATTCGGGTTATTGGATTAATTCAATTTGTCTAGGACCTAAATGCAGTCTTGTAGAGGGGAAGTAAAGCTGCTTGAAGCCTATGGATAAAGATAAGAAGTGAAGGGTAAGAAGGGGTAAGTGAAGAAGAGAGGACATCTCAGAGTACACGAGGATTAATTTCTATACCCCTACTTAGAATTTTATACTTTTGGAACTAGATGGAATCTTTAAAAACACCAAGAAAAAAAGATATAGCAGAATGGGAGGGTTTTGACTGGCACTCAGGAAACTGGGTACAAGCCCTAACTCTACCACTAACTTGCTCTGGGACCTTGGGCCAGCCGCTTACCCACTCTGGACCCCAGATGGACAAACCATGCTTATGATCCCTACAACTGCCAACATTCTATCTGTCAAATGCAATCAAACAACACGTAAATCAAACATGAACACATCACCTATATTGTTGATTGTACACTGGTGGGCTTGCAAATACCAAAGCATTAATTTTTAGATCTATGTTTCTCGAACAAGGTACAAGTTCCTCTGGAAGTGCTCAGCAGTGTCCCAAGGGGTATGAGGAGCCACATGACAAATATGGGCATCTTCCTGGAAGGTCAAGTTTATTTGCTAATAAGTGGTTTAAAATTTATTTATGTGATATCGGCTGAGCACGGTGCCTCATGCCTGTAATCCCAGCACTTTGGGAGGCTGAGGTAGGTGGATCACCTGAGGTCAGGAGTTGGAGACCAGCCTGGTCAACATGGTGAAACCCGTCTCTACTAAAAATACAAAAAAAAAAAAACAAAAAACAAAATAGCCGGGCATAGTGGCAGGCACCTGTAATCCCAGCTACTTAGGAGGCTGAGGTGGGAGAATCGCTTGAATCTGAGAGGCAGAGGTTGCAGTGAGCCAAGATTGTGCCATTGCACTCCAGCCTGGGTGACAAGAGAAAAACTCCATCTTAAAAAATAATAAAGATAATAAAAATAAAAAATATATTTATATGATATAAAAAACAAATATATTATGGAAAAGAGCACAACATTCCAATAAATTTTAAAAATATAACACAGAACTTAAAACAATCTTTGAGCACAGAGAGGGCTGTTTAAAATTATGCCCAAAGAGATTCCCAGAGTGTGTATATGTGTGTGGGGGATGAGGTGGGGGGTTGGGTGTGTGCATTAGTGTGCAGGTATGTGTCCCAGCTCAATAAATATGAGCAGACAGAAATCCAGGAAATTCATATTTTAGAATTGCACTCAGGTTACAGTGGGATTAATCCAAGTTGGGAGAAAGGCATGGAGATGATGTAGAAGTACAGATCTGGTGAGAGAAACTCACTAGGCGACCTAGAGATATGGAATTGGATGAAATTGCACAATGAGCCAGGGCTATAGCAAAGGCCAGGGGCAGGGAAGGATGGAGTGGGCCTTGAAGAGAAGGTTTGGCCTGTTGTCACCCCAGTGGTCCTCTCAGCCACCTCCTTTGTCCCTGTTTAACCAAGTGGTTAAGCTGCTGCTGATAGCAGGTTCTGGCAGGGAGGAAATGGTGAGGGACACAGAGGCAGGACTAGGGAGATCCCAGAGGCCTGAGGAAATGTGCACATGTGAGTTGCTGTCCTGGACCCGCTCCTTTCAATAAGCAGTGCCCAATCCCAGCATGTCTGCCCCTTCTCGGAGACTTCCGAGGCCACCAGCATCCTCCCACCTACAGATGTATCCACATCTGATCCCATTTCCTCCAGACTCTAAGGCCAAGAGGTCCTTCCTGCTATCCAGGCCAAGTGTCTCCTGGACCCTCCAACTCCCCACGTCCTGTGGCATGGATGTGGCTTCAGAGTCACTGCTTCTCTCTCACCAGTGTTTTCCATCTGACCCTCTTGATCTGCTTTTCCCCTTAGCCTATGAGCATAACCGAGTTTCTTCCCCCCAACACAATGTCCCCTCATCCTCCAACCCTCCTCTCCCTTCTCCTCCCCCCTCACTTGAGCTTCTGGGTTGCCCTGATTGTCCTCACTTCTCCATGGCCCCTTTACTCTGCAAGCCCTTGCAACCAGCACTATGCTAAACAAGGGCATTTTGAAGAAAAAATAATGAGCCTACATATGGATGTGTGTATGCACATACACATACACATATATTAAAACATATGTTTAAATTGATGACATCTTGGGAAAAAGTAGAATTCTGTTGGACTTTATTACAACCATAAGTTAGCATTGATTTTATTTTGAAATACACATGGTGGGGACAACGTAATCTTAGTGCTTAGGACCTCTAAAGACCTGCTCTTGCCCTGGAAATTAGGACTTCACTCCCATCATCCACAAACACCACTCTTACCAGGGCCATCAGTAAACAGCTATTTATCAACTCCAGTGGATACTTGGGACCCTTTCTTGGACTCCTCTCCTACATTCACACTGTTGACCACTCTCCCCTTAAAACTCTCTGCTCTCAAAAAATAAATAAATAAAATAAACATGTATACCTATGTAACAAACCTCCACGATTTGCACATGTACCCCAGAACTTAAAATATAATAATTAAAAAAAAAAAACCTCTTTGCTCTCTTGGCCTCTGTGACTTGGTGCTTTCCTGGCTCTCCCCTGACCTCTCTGACCACTTTTCTCTGCCTCCTTCATGGCCTCTTCCCTGATTTCATCCATCAAACATGGTGTATCTCTGTGCTGTGTGCTTGGTTCATTTCTCTTCCTTCTCTGTTTATTGTCTTTGGACCACCTCCTTAACCTCGTAGTTTTAACTGTTATCTCTGGCTCTTGAATCCACATCTGCCAAAGTGTCTGCTGAACTCATACACAAAGATGGGTCTCCAACAAGAAATCTGTATTAGTTTCCTGCAGCTGCCGGAACAAATTACCACATACAGGGTGGCCTAAGACAACAGAAATTTGTTCTCTCACAGTTCTGGAGGGCAGATGTCTAAGCCCCAGGTGTCAGTGGAGCTGAATTTCCTTAGGAGGCTCCTGGGGAGAATGCTTCCTTCTCCGTCCAGCCTCTAGTGGCTGCCAGCAATCCTTGGCTTTCCTGGCTTGTGGTTGTATCACTCCGACCTCTGCTTCCATTTTCACATGGCTTTCTCCTCTGTGTGTCTCAAGTCTTCCTCTATGTGTCTTTCATAAGGGCAACCATCACTGGATTTAGAACCCACCCAGATAATCCAGGATTATCTTTCATCTCAAGACTCTTAATTATATCTGCAAAGCCCTTTTTTTCCAGATAAGGTAAGTTTCATAGGTTCTGGGAATTAGGACTTGGATGATCTTTTGGGAGACCACCATTCAACCCACTACAAGTTCATTATCTTCCCCTAAAATCTGCTTTTCATCGCCACTAAAGCCACTGCCCTCTCCAGAGCTTCAGTGACTTGGCCTACACACTTCAAAAGCATCTGAGACTCTGTCTCACTTATTTCCTACTCCAATGAGCCACTGAATGGTGATTATTTTTTCTTTAACCCTGTGTCTCAAACCTGTGCCTCCTTACTGCCTGGCCTGGTCCATGCCCTCCCCATTTCGGACCACTGGAAACATCCCGGCAATGTTCCCTGCCTCTGGTTTGACCGCTTGAAGGTCTATCTTCCACTGCAACCAAGTAATATCACACAATTTCTCTGCTTGAAACTCTTCATGCATTCCTATCTTGTATGGCTTAAAGGGACTTCTCCTGGCTTAAAGCCCTTCTCCTGGCTTAAAGGGACTTCTAGAACATTCTGCTAGTACTTCATTAGACTCTTCCTCTGTAACATTCCACGTATCAATTCTGGATTGCTTCCTGGTGGTTGCTTTAATAAGCCACAGTTTTCTGTCTCTGTGCCTTTGTTTATGTTGCTGCCTCTTTTTGGAATTTTTTCGCACCTTACTTATGGCATCACCTTCTCCCTGAAACCTTCCTTTAACTCCCAGGAGGAGTGCCCACTCTTGGCACCCAAGATTTGTGGACATTTCTGTCATTACAACCTACCTGTTGCACCCAAAGTATTTGTTTCTGTGTATCTTCCCAAACAAATTCTATCTCATTCCCCTTTGTAACCCCAGTCCTCAGTCCAGGGCCTTATATAGTAGGTGCTTAGTCACTTTTGATATAAGTGTAAGTTGAATTGGACAGGAATTCAGCTAAATGTTTTTACTGAGCTAGCAGACTGGGTGTGAGAAGGCAGGACCCAAGGCTTGCATGGGTGAAAGAGGACGGGCTGGGGGAAGGTGCAGGATAGGAAGGGTTGAGTGACAGAGGGGAATGGGTACGAGGACACGCCATGGGGAAACTGTGTGTGTGTGTGTGTGTGTGTGTGTGTGTCTGTGTGCATGCGCACACACGCATGCCCGGGCAGGCTCTGGAGAGAGACGGAGACGGAGAAGGGAAGGTTATAAAATATAAAGAAAGGCCTGGCACGGTGGCTCAGACCTGTAATCCCAGCACTTTGGGAGGCTGAGGCGGGTGAATCACAAGGTCAGGAATTCAAGACCAGCCTGACCAACATGGTGAAACTCCGTCTGTACTAAAAATACAAAAATTAGATGGGCATGGTGGCACACACCTATAATCCCAGCTACTCAGGAGGCTAAGGCAGGAGAATTGCTTGAACCTGGGAGGCGGAGGTTGCAGTGAGCTGAGATCGCACCACTGCATTCCAGCCTGGGTGACACAGCAAGACTCCATCTCAAAAAAAAAAAAAAAAATATATATATATATATTTTATATTTTTATATTTTTATGTTTATATATATTTATATATAATTATATAATAAATATATAACATATAATATAAAAATGTATATTATATATAATATGTATAATATAGATATATAATATATAATATATTTATATATATAAAGAAAGAGTAAAGGGAGATAGGAGTGGTGAAGAAAGGGAGGGAAGAGACAGCTGGAAAGAAAGGAGTGAAGGATGGGAAAAATACCCTAGATGAGTTCTGTGGCTATTCACAGAAAGCAGATAGCTACTAATAAGAGAAGCAACAAGGTAGAATTTCCGCATTTGGCCTTGCTTGGGATTGGAGCTGGCTTGGGAGATGACGAGGACCTATAAACTCTAGAGGTTTTATTTTTCTTTCTGGAGTTCAGGATTACTATTTTCTTGCCTCTGGACCCTTTCAGGTAAGACTCTTTTATTGCCCTGACAGAATAAAACATAGCTGTTTTCAAAAGTGTCCTTCCACTCGGGGAACACCTCCTCCCTGTTTCTCCTGTAAGGTGTTTTCTTTCCCCAGAGAAATCAGCCTCGGCTGAGAGTCCACAGGCCTATGGGAGGCATAATTTGCTAAAGGAGGTCGAATAAATAAACCACCCAGAGTAGAGCCGTGAAGCCTGGAGAGTCCGTCATGTTCAGAAGCCTGCTGGCTGAAGAGCCCTCTCTCTCCCAAGTGGCATCTTAAGGGGCCCAAACAGGAAAACCCCAACAATTGGAGGAACACAGAGCCTTGCCTGGCATTGGCAATTGGAACTAGTCTAACTAGTTGCTCTTTGGCAGCTGAAGGGAAGGAAAAGGCCAAGCTTCTGACCTGCTCAGCCTGGCCTCAGCCTGTCACTGCTGTGCCCCCAGCCCCCACAGGCATGCAGAAGGAACTAGCAGGGTGCTGGGGGCACACTGGCCACTGGAGTCAGCCTCGCTCCTGCTCATGTTTCATTTACTCTAAGAAGCTTGATTTTGAGGGCCAACCCCGTGCAGGGACTGTGCAAGGCACCCAAATACAAACATGCATAATACTCAGTTCTTGCCCTTGAGAAGGGCACAGGATGGTGGAGGAAACAGATTGCCTGTCATATTTGCAGAGATAAGTGCTTCATGTGAAATACACTCAGGATGCTATGGTGCCTGCGAGGAGCACCTGCTCCAGCTTCCACCACACAGTCTCAACAGAGCATTTCAGGCCAAACAGACCCAGCGGGGACAGAGGCCCAAACAAGTGTGAGCTGCTGGAAGAAATCAGGTGCCACTCAAGGATGAGATGAAAGAAGTGGACGACATCCTGAGAGGATGTTCATAACTTCTTAGCCACAGCAGTTTACTTTCTTCTGAACTTTCTCTTCTACTCTGAGCTTTGAAAGATATGAGTTTGAGGGGTAGAGAAGAATGATGAGAGGGAAGAGTTCTTCCCTAGGCCTTGCTGTCCGAGTCCCCGGTCACTGCCATTGCAAGGCCTTTGAAAGAGGATGGTGCCCTCTGGGAGCTCAGAGAGGCAGACTGGGCACCAGAACATGAGGCGCTATGTGAGGTGCCCTGGCAGACGTGGGGACAGAGGGTTGGCCAAGGTGCACAGGAGGCTCACAGCTCCGGGGGAGGGCGGGAGGCAGTCTCACTTCATTCTCAACTTCCAGCTGACCAAGCCGATATAAAATTATTTACTTTCCCTCCCGCGATTGCTGCTTCCTTCAAACATATTGGTTGTTTTATCTCCTGGGTGTAGCAGAGTTGGAACATTCTGTCTTGGCAGGATGCCTCTTTTTGGAGAGAGTTCAGAAGGAGCTGCCCTTTTTGGCCTAGAGCAAGCTGAACCAGAAGTGGGTGCTGTCAAAGTCCAGGTACTTTCTGGTTGCCACCACCTTCAGAGGGAGGCTGGACTGGTGGAGATCAGAGAAGAACCAGCAGTCACAGGTCCTGAAGAAGGGAAACACAAATTCTGCTTTGGACTTGACAAAATTGGATATTTAAGATGAGTTGTTTGCAGGTTCTTATTGAAAAACAGTTTCCACATATCAGGTCCCTTCATACAGGTGTTTAAAAGTATAGATGAGTTGCTTTATCACAATAAAAGAAATTGCACCACCAGGCATGTTGTTTGTCTTGCTTCTGGGTATTAATGGTAGGATTTTTCAGGCCTCTGAGAAGGGGGTTAGACCTCAGAGAGTGAGTCTTACAACTCAGCAGTGGTTCCCTTCAACTTTCAGAATAAATTTCAACTCCCCTACTTTTCCCAACCCCCTGGCACCACATATGGCCTGTGTCTGTAAATCCACTAAAAAAGATTTTTTTTTAACAAAAATCACGAGACTTCATTTCAGGAAACAGTTTGTAAACCAAGGAGAAGAAGTCTTTGGTACAAAACGAAAGTGCATTAAAAGAGATAAAAAAGAGGGGTTATCTATTATAAAAAAAGTTTTTGCCCAGGTTCCCATTCTGGTTCGCTTATGCAAAAGAAGGATGCAAACTTGCTTAGTTTTGATTGGCTGATGCCTGCTGAGTTCGATTGATCAACACTTGTTGAATTCTGATTGGTCAATTCAGGTCTGTTGGTTGATCCGGGTGACCATGAACGGAGACAGACAGTTATGAAAGCCCCAAAGTTAAGTGAGTCTGGGAGTTTTCTGATAATGCAGACTACATATGTGACCTCTAGTCAGCAAATGGCCACTTGGCTCTATTTTGAATTTAGGCTCAGTTAGCCACTGAGGCATCATCTTGAAGGATTGACTCTTTCAGGATTCCCACCTGCTTTTCATTTTTAGGGAGAAAAACGGTTATCCAAAATTAAGCCATGGACGAACTGCATTTCCCATCTTTGCAGCTTGAATGAAACAAATCATGAGGTATGACTTGTTTCAAGTGAGAACTTGAAGCCCAGCCCTGACCCTCCCCTCATATTCATGCCCTGTGGGTGTCCTAACAGTCACCCCTACCTCCTGCTCATCTGTCAGCTGGCCCCATCCCATGCAACCTGGCCTTCCAAAAGCAGACAGAAATGAATCCTTATCATTTGCTTCTTAAATATGCCAGGTCTTCCACTCACCCCCTTTTTTTTTTCCTGATGGTCAGCACACCTGGCCTCATAGACTGTCCTGCCACAACTGTCCTGAGGTATAACCAGTATGCACCTGAAATTATGACCTTCTGAAATGAACTTACAATCTTTCTCACTTGAAAAACTGGCTACTTATGATAGATTCTTTTTCCCAATTGTGTAACCCCCCCTGGACCAGCACACTCTTTTGTCACCTTGCTGGTTTCTTTGCTGGCAAGAAAATATGCTTCAGCATGTGCTTAAGATCAACTGGTCTAAGACATATCCTGTTTTAGGAAGCCCCTGCCCTCCAGGCACACTCTTCTCTGAAGATTTTCTGTCTCCTTCTGGCCAGTCCCTGCCCCCAGGCATTTTCACATGCGAGGAGGACTGGTAAGTCCCTAGACCCATGCCCTGCTCACTCCAATTTGTCTTTCAAGATTCAGCTGAAGAACATCTCCTACTGAGAAGCCTCTCCTGATGGACTCTTCCCCAATTCCTGATTTTTTCCATTCCTCTCTCCATAACAGAGAGGCTCCTCCTCCATGCTGCCATGGTCACCTTGTTAACATCCATCAGTGGACACCATAAAACAACGTATTTTTGAAAACTTGCTAAGCTTTGTAATTTAATTGTGAAATGCATGGGAAATATTTGTAGCTAACATTTAGTTGAGTGCTTACTACGCATCGTGTCCCATTCCAGAACTTTACACAAATTATCTCATTAAAGTTTTTTAAAAGCCCTACTCTGTTGGTGCCTACTCTGAAGAAAAAACATATTTTCCTCTGTTCTTACACCATGACAATGAACACAGAAGATTTCCGTGACCAAATGTATGGGGGTTTCTCCCCACACACCAAGAAAGCAAGCAATTCTGTAGCAGACATCATCTGGGTGTCCTCCAGTTCAATTTAATTCTAGCATTATGCACCTGGAGATAGTGTCAGTAACCACAGGTTGAGGGCTCAGTCCCACAAGAGCACCCCCTCCTTCCCACCAGTCACAAGTCTGGGCTTCTAGAACTACTCATCAACTGGCTCCAAGTTGGGGTTACCACAACCCCCTCTTTGGGTTCAATTAATTTGCTAGAGTGGCTCATAGAACTCAGGGAAACACATTTACTGGTTTATTACAAAGGATATTTTAAAGGATACAAATCAACAGCCAGATGAAGAGATACACAGGGTGGAGTCTGGAAGGATCCTGAGTGTAGGAGCATCTGTCCCCGTGGAGCTGGGGTGCACTCCCCTCTCAGCTCGTGCATGAGTTCTTGTTCACCTTCCTATAAGCCTCTACCTATTTATTTTTCTGGAAGTTTCCCAAACCCTGTCTTCTTCGGTCTTTTATGGAGACTTCATTGAGTAGGCATGATTGACAACCAGGTAGAAATGCTATTGGACCAAAAGAGTATGGTCTCATGCTAACAGACTGAGTGGGGAAACCCAGCAAGGCCTGTTTGTTCAGATTCTTCTTGGCCTCTGTGTGCAGCATTCCTTCCTTCTGGGCATGGGGCAGGACCCTTTCTGAAATGAGGATCTTATGGTTTACAATCAGACAAGTAGGTCAGGAAAATTTCTTCATGGCCAGCTCCAAGACAGAAAAGTGAGGGAAGATGAAAGGAGGAAAGGAGGGCAGGAGAAAGTCAGAGAGAGAGAGAGAGTCTGTTTTCTGAGGCCTTCTTCTGAGGCCTGAAGCACTCCAACATTATAGCAAAAGACTGCAACAAGGGCTTTAGGAGTTATGAGCCAGGGACCATGGATGAAAACCAGAGTATATATATGTCATAATACCGCACTTACCACATAGCCCATTCATTTCATCATGGCTGTCAGAGCTCTAATTTTGTTTGGATGTCTACTGGTCTTCCTCAAGGAAAGATACCTCCCAACTCTAAGAGAAATTAGATCACAGTAATTGGTTGGGGCCAATTACTGTGATCTAATTTCTCTTAGAGTTGATTAGGTTCAGCATGGACATTTCATACAATTCTGGTCAGTGAACGATGAAGAGAAGTTTAATGGTTAGAGGAAGGTGAGGCACTTTTTGAAAGTTTCTTGATGGCAGAGACCTTGGTAAATACTTTTGCAAGCAGGAGGGGAACTAGCTGGGAATAAGGAGACAGAAAGAAAATGTCAGAAGCAAGAAATAAAAAATATTTGAGTCCTTGAGTCCATTGATGATTGGAGTAACCAACCAAGGTGTATCACAATTTCTTTGTATGTGAGAAGATATATTTTCCTTATTGTTTAAGTAGAAATATTAGTGACCTCTTAATCACTGCCAAATTCATTAGAATGCTTTATTATTATTTTATATTATCATTTTACACATGAGGTAATTGAAACTGAAAGAGCTTAAGTAAGTAATTTACGCAAGATCAACTGCTTGTAAAATGTTACTCTGGTTCTAGGACTTTTAAGCACCTCACAATGCTCCCTCTCTGAGAAAGGGGCCTGATCTTGCTCAGTTTTTTAATCCTTGCTTCTAGCACAGTGTCTGGAATATAATTAGTGTTCAATAAATACTTTTTAAATATGTGAGAGCTTATGTGATCTGAATTTTTGTAGATATCCTTTCCTTTTGTTTTTTCGAGATGGAATTTCGCTCTTGTCACCCAGGTTGGAGTGCAATGGCACAATCTTGGCCTCCCAGGTTCAAGCGATTCTCCTGCCCTAGCCTCCCAAGTAGCTGGGATTACAGGCATATGCCACCACACCTGGCTAATTTTGTATTTTTAGTAGAGATGGGGTTTCTCCATGTTGGTCAGGCTGGTCTCAAACTCCCAACCTCAGGTGATCTGCCCACCTCGGCCTCCGAAAGTGCTGGGATCACAGGCATAAGCCACTGCACCTGGCCTGTAGATATCCTTTCCTTAACATCACTCAATAGGCTGATATTCTCGGTACAGAAAAATATATTTCATTTGGATCCTGAAACACTCCAACTGGGTACCCTGAAGAAGGAAGTATTTCAAATATGGAAGCAATGTAACTGTATTACAAACAGAATAATAATGAAAATAACCCCCATAGCCTCTCCAGTCTAACATAATTGCCATTGCAAGGGGTTCCCTTTCAGCCCACTTTGTATGCATACTGGGCAATTCAGTAGACACATAAAACACACTTGATAAAAGTTAATATCCATTTCTAATTTTATAAAAATTGTGGCAAACGAGAAAAGAGAATACTTTTCTAGCCTTATAAAGTATATCCCTCAAAAAATTACTGCTTTTAATGTTGAAAATATGAAAATAATTTTCCCTTAAGTTTAGGATCAAGACTATCTCTGCTTCACTACTTCTACTCATCATTATATTGAAAAATCCTATCTAGTGGATTAACACAAGAATAATAAAGTTGAAAAGACAGGAAAAAAAGGAACAAAGCTATTATTATTCACGGGCAATTTTACTATCTACAAAAAAGACAAGGCCAAGAGAGTCTACAGAAACACTATTAGCCCTAATAAAAACTGTCTGCCAGGTTGCTAGATCAATATACACATTGTAATCCAATATATCTGCACCAATTAGAAAAGGTAATTTTTAAAAACACCATCTTCAACAGCAACGAAATCTATAAGGCTCGTATGCATAAAACCCACAACAAGAGTTAAGCAAGACCCCTGTAAAGAAAATTATCAGAATTTACTGAAAACCATTTAAAAAGACCTAAATAAGTGAAGAAATATGACAAACTTATGAACTTAGATTATTATAAGATTTCCAATCCTTCCCGAGTTAAACTATGAATTTTACACGAAGAAGAACGAAGAGGGAACTTGACTTACTAAGTATTGATACTTGATATAAAGTTATATTATTTAAGATTTCAAAAGCATCAGGTAGACCAGGGCTTCTCAAACTTTCATGCTCCAACTGTGACTCTTGTGGAGATCTTGTGAACCACAGATCCTTTATTAAGAAGGTCTGGGGTGGGGCTTGAGACCTAACAAGCTGCCAGGTGATGCTGGTGCTGCTGGTTCATGGACCACACTTTGAGAAACAAGGGTATAAATAATTAAAAGAACATAAGACGGAGCTCAGAAGCAAACCCATGCATTTATGAAAGCTGGCTATATGATAAAGATGTCATAGCAGATTGGTAGGAAAGTGAACTATTTAATACTTTTGGCCCAATATCCTGAAAAAGGAGGAGCAGGAGTGTCAGAGTGAGAGATTCTATGTAGCCGGCTTTGAAGATGGAGGGAGAGGCCACAAGCCGGGAAATGTAGGCACCCAGAAGCTGAAAAAGCAAGGAAATTGATTCCCCGCAGGAATGCAGCCCAGCCCACATCTTGATTTTAAGCCAGTGTAAGCCAAGTCAGACTTCTGACCTCCAGAACTAGAAGATAATACATTTTCTGATTTAGTCACTAAGTTTGTGGTAATTTGTCAAAGTAGCATGAAGAAACTAGTACACCATATAATAAACGGTGCCATAAAACAAAGCAAAAAGAGAAGCCACAGGTGGGAAGAATTTTGCAAAGCATATAGCCGACAAAGGATTTGAATACAAAAATTCAAGACAAACTACAAATTAACGAAATAAGACAAGTGACCCACTAGAAAAAGGGGCAAAAGACATATACAGAATTCACAGAGAAGGAAACCTCTGTGTTGGCCAAGAGAAATAAGAAGAGATATACAACCTCACCAACAATCTTGGGAATAAAAATTAGAACAACGGTGAGATACAATTTTCCATGTATCAAAAATTGAAATTTCAATTTTTGATAATGTCCAAGTGTTGAGATTGTAGAACAATAGTAACTTTCACAAAATACTGACAAGAGTAGATGTTTTTGCAGTGACTTTGGAGACAGCAACTTGGCAATTTAGTAAACTTGAAGGCACTCCTACTCCATGACCTGACGATCCCATTCGTCGGTATTTCACTAGACACTCTCATATATGTACTTGGAGAAACTGACAAAACTGATCATTAAGGGATTTTTGTAATATTTAACAGTTGGAAATAAACTAAATATCTTTCAGTGGGAGAATAGATAAGTAAATTGTGGTATAGTCTTGCAATGGAATGCTATACAGCAATTAAAATAAATGAACCAGCACTACCTCTCTTACCTATGTATGTAATTATCCCCTGACTGGTTCCCCTATTTTGTGTCTTCCCCATTTTTGTACCACTGGCAGATCTCTGAAAATCTGATCATGCCTCTACTTTAATTAAAAATGCTCCAGTGGATTCCTTAAAGAACTAAAAATAGATCTACTATTTGATCCAGCAATCTCACTACTGGGTATCTACCCAAAGGAAAAGAAGTCATTCTAGGAAAAAGACACATGGACATGTATGTTTATTTCAGCCCAGTTCACAGTTGCAAAGACATGGAACCAACCTAAGTGCCCATCGACCAATGAGTGGATAAAGACCAATGAGTAGCTAAAGAAAATGTGGTAGATATACACCATGGAATACTACTCAGCCATAAAAAGGAACAAAATAATGTTTTTTTGCAGCAACTTGGATGAAGCTGAAGGCCACTATTCTAAGTGAAGTAACTCGGAAATGGAGAGCCAAACACTATATGTTCTCACTTATAAGTGAAAGCTAAGCTATGAATATGCACAGGCATACAGAGTGGTATACTGGACATTGAAGAGCCAGAAGTGGGAAGGTGGAAGGGGTGTCGGATAAAAAAACTACATATTAGGTACAATGTACACTACTTGGGTGACAGGAGCACTAAAATCTCAGAATTCACCACTATAGAATTCATCTATGCAACCAAAAACTACTTGCACCCCAAAAGCTGTTGAAATAAAAAAATTAAATTTGTAATGCATTTTTATGTTCCAGTGAGTTTTTAAAAATGGTTTTATTGAGGTATAATTGATATACAATAAACTGAACATATTTAAAGCATACAGTTTGATAAGTCTGGGCACATGGATAAGCTTGTGAAACAGAACCATGATCAAGACAGTGCACATATCCCTCACCCCAAAAGTTTCCTGGTGCCCCTTTTAGTCCCTCACCCCAGCACTCCCTTCCCACCTGCCCCCAGGTATCATGAATCTGCTGTCACTTTAGAGCAGTTTGCATTTTCTAGCATTTTAAACAAATGGAATCATTGAGTATATACTCTTTTATTTGTGTCCTTTCACTCAACAGAGCTATTTTGAGATTCATCTATGTTGAAGTGTGCTTCATTACTTTATATTGCCCAGTAGAATTCCATTGTATGTACTTGCCACAATTTGTTTATCCATTCACCTGTTCATGGACATCTGGGTTTTTTTCAGTTTTGTGTTGTCTTTGAGACAAAGTCTCATTCTGTCGCCCAGGCTGGAGTACAGTGGCGCCATCACAGCTCACTGCACCCTCAGATTTCCGGACTCAAGCGATCCTCAGCCTCCCAAGTAGTTGGGACCGCAGGCATGTGCACCACACCTGGCTAATATTTTAGTTTTTGTAGAAATAGGGTCTCCCTGTGTTGCCCAGATTGGTCTCAAACTCCTGGGCTCAAGCAATCCTTCTGCCTTGGCCTCCCAAAGTGCTGGGATTACAGGTGTGAGCCATCACACCCAGCCCTCAGTCTTTTACTATTACAAACAAAGCTGCCATGAACACTCAACTACAAGTCTCTGTGTACACATATGCCTTTTTTCCTCTTAGGTAAATCCATCAAAGTGGAATGGCTGGATTAAATGGCAGGTATATGTTTAACTTTTAAGAAACTGTTGTAGCCGTTGTCCCATTTTACAGACCCTCTCCCCTAGAAGGCTTCCATAGGTTTTAAGAATGAGATTACAATGATCTGGGGCACTTGTCAGGCATTCAGATTTTCAGTCCACTCCCATGAGAAAAATCTGATTCACTAGGTTGTGAAGGGGCTGGGAATCGGAGTGTTTAACAGCAGGTACCCCAGATGATTACTGGAGCTGGTGAGTTGTGAAACATCACCCTAGGGGATACAGTCTTAACTCCCAGGTGATTTTTGGAGCAAGTGAGTTATGAAAAAATACTCTAGGGAATACAGTCTTAACTCCAGAGCTGGGTTTACACGCCATTCAGGATCTTGCTCCTGTCTAGTTTCCCAGCCCAGTGCTCCCTGCTTCAGCGTTATTAAACTGTACCCTGTTCTTTGTATGACCGACTCTCATCCGTCCAGTGCTTACTGAGTGTAGTGGGTCTAGTAGAGACCCCACAAAATATATGTCCATGTCCTAACCCTCAGAACCTGTGAATGTGATCTTCTTTGGAAAAGAGACCTTAGTAGAGGTAATTAAGTTAAGGAGCCTAAAATGAGATTATTCTGGATTTAGGGTGAGCTCTAAATTCAGTACCAGTTGTCCTTTTAAGAGAAAGGAGGACAGAGACACAGAGGAGAAGCCCATGTGAAAACAGAGACGACATGGAGTGATGCTGCCCCAGGCCAGGGAATGCCAGGGGCCTCCAAACACTGGAAGAGGCCAAGAAGGATTCTCCAGAGAGCCTTCAGAGGAGGTGTGGCTCTGCCCACGCTGTGATCGTGGACTGCGGGCCTCCAGAACTGTACATTTCTGTTGTTGTTTTAAGCCACACAACTTTCAGTTATTTTTTACAGCAGTGAGGATTTAAAGATTAAAAGGTGTAGATCCCGCTCCTGAAGAGTGTAAAAGTAGAAAAATGAACCAACAGGGAACAATTACATTAAATTAAGATAATTACTATGACAGGGTATATTTAGTAAGGAGAGTGATGGCAAATGTTGCCCAAGGGAGGTGGCTGTGTCCTGCCCTCTCCTTTCCCCCTCCACTTTACCCCCCTCTGTGGTTCATGTTGCCTATCTCAGTAAGTGGTATCCTCACTGCAAATCACACAAGCCAGAAATCTAGGAGTCACTCTGATATCTCACCCCCGGCCACAGGCCCCATGACTTCTGTCACCAAACCCCTAATAATGACATTTATTTCCTTAATATTTCTAAGAATTCCCTTCTCTCCCCTCCATAGCCACCACCATAGGCCAAGCTCCATCATCTCCCACCAGAGCAGTCCCTCCTAACAGGTCCACTGTGCATCACGCTGTGCATTAAACACGCTCATGGAATCACATGGCTCTCAGGAGAGAGGGTAAACCTCATAAGTGGACTCAAGGCCCTGCTGGTCTAGCCCTGCAGGCTGCTTCTCCTCCCCACTGATTCCCTGTGCTCCACCCACTGCCACTCTGGTCTGCCTTAGTCCTGTGCTTTCCAGCTCTTTTCACAGCTGGCCTATTCTGCAGCTGTTCTCTGCATGAAAGAGCTATAACCCTACTGCACCTAGGTGACTGCTACTGCCTCAGCCATCATCCCTATGGAAGCCCTCCTCCACTTCCTGTCAAAGTCACAGCTTCTTATTTTAATCCCCGAGAGAGTTGTGTGCCTCCCAGTCACAGTTGCAATTTACATTGGCCTGTGTGATTATTGCACTGAAGTAGGCTTTCCCCAGCCCACGAGATCCTTGGGCACAGGACTGTGACCTTTTTACTCACTTTTGTGTCTCTAAGGCACAGCCTGGTGGCTAATACATAGTAACTACTCAGTTCACATCTGTGGAATTAATGAAGAAATTGCCCATTGTTTATAATAGCAAAAAATTGAGGACAATTTACTGAGAACAAATTAAATAAATTATATCTATCTGTGCTATGTAGTACTATTCAGCACTTTCAAAAATAATGAGGTACATCTGTACTTACTGATGTGGAACATTGGCTATGATAGATTTCGAGTAAAAAAACAAAAAATGAAAAGAGCAAGTTGCAGAACAATTCTTAGGGTAAAACAGTGTTTTAAAATTAAAGCAATGATTTAAAAATTTTTTAAAAAATGTTTGACCTGGCATAGATGAAGGTATGGAAGGACAACATCAGTTAATACTTAGTGCTAGGCAGCGGGACTGGGAGAATCAGAGAAGCAATGGACATGAATTTGATAAAGAACTTACACAATTTTGCAGTGTTTGGACTTTTTCTTTTTACAAGCATATATCATTTTGATAATTCAAGACATGCTTTTAAAGATTGCCAAGAAGACAAGAAGTGACTCAAGGAAGGGAGGCACATTCCCTGTCACGCACCACCACCTCCTTTCCTGCCCTCCAACCCCATACATGCTTGACCTTACCCACTTGGCATAGACCTGCACCCCAACCTTCTCACCTGTATCCCTGCCCTCTCGCCTTCACTCCTGCCCTCTCACCTGAGCTGGTGTCCTCTCACCTGTGCTTATATCCTGTGGTTTGCATGTCACCTATCCCAATAAGCAGCACTTATGTTCCCGATAAGTACCACCTTCCTAGATTGTGTGGTTCTTTTGCAAGGTTCAGAAAGGTGAGGCTGTTGGAAAGGCAGTTAACCTCAAGTAAATTCCTGTTAGTGACTTTACCTCCCTAACTGCAATGTTAGCTTTCTGAGAAGGAAAGGAACTAACATATTCAAAAATTAAACTCCTAATACCTAGCAGGCATGCCTACTTATAGCTCATCAAATCCCCACAGGAACCTCGTGAGTAGGTATTCTCATCTCCATTTTACAGACCTGTGGCAACAAGAGCTTGCCACTTGGCCAGTGTCTCACATCAAGGACTCAAACAGAGCTCTGACCGGCTCTCCATGCCAAACTTTCTGTGCCACAGCATTGGGATGGTGGGGGGGCATGATTGCACCATACTGCCCATGGATTTCCTAGCTCATTTCCTCCAAGATAATAAATGCTGTATAAATGTTTGTATTATGAGGAAAGTAGTTTATCCTTCACCCAGCATGTCCATTAAATAGTCTTTGTATTCATTTTCTATTGAAGCTTGATCTCCCCAAAGCTTAAAATAGGATTGAAAATGTGCAGTGTTTGACCTATTTTCAGCCATTAGCGTAATTTATCAAATTAGAGAACTGAGAAGCAACGACCCTGAAGAGGAGCCAGTGCAAGCAGTCTTGGGGTGGGGGAGGCCAGGAGTCCCAGGGACACAGGGTCTCAGGACCAGTAGAGGAAGAGAAAGGAGGAGCGCTGACAATGGCTCAGAAGTCGAGGTGGGAAAGAGCAAAGACAAGCCCCACCTCTTTCACAGCAGAGTTGGAAAGAGTTGCAGACTTCATGGAGGCCACCTGGACTCGGACCCCCGCTCTGCTGCTCACTGACTGCGAAGCTGGGTCAGACTCCTTTATCACTTGAGCCTCAGTTTCCTCCTCTGAAAACTGTGAGCTGCGACTCACCTCACCAGGGTGACAACATTAATTTTAATGAGGTAATGTATGCGAATCCTGCCTATATAGAACGAAAACAGTAAGACATTTACAATGTTCCATATGGCCGCTCTACTGACATGACTTTGTCTTCTTTACTTTGGATTCAAAATTCTCAGTCTGAAAGATGGGATGTTACAAAATTGCATTAAATGCTTCAGAGGCAGAGATCATCTTTACATTCCCCCATCTCCTAGGATCCAGAATGGTGTCTTGCACATAACAGGTGCTCAGAGAGTATCTGCCAAAAGAATGATGAATGAAAGAATTTAGCTCACAACTACTACTTAAGCAGTGGCCCTTTAGCAGTAATGATTTTTACTGTCTTGCTCCCTGGCCCTCCTCCCAGGGTGTCTTCATGTGCTAATTCATCCAACAGCAGCCATTTGGGGATGATTAGAATAGGTGGGAGGAGCTATTAGGAATGGGGCACGTGTGGCCAGAGAGTCCAGGTGAACAACAGGAAGAAGAGGCCCCTGATCAGCTGTTTGCTGAGCATCAAAGACCTGGGGTGGAGCAAAAGGAGTCAAGTGAAAGAGTGAGACTAGGGAAGAATGCAATGATCTGATGATAAGTGAGAAGCAGCCTTCAAACTATTAAAAAAAAAAAGCAAAAGTAACAAATGAAAATAACAATGGATCTTAATTAAATGATTATTTTAAACACATAATGCATATACACACCCAAGTTGTACTTACAGGCACTCCAGTTGGTGTGATATATCTAAGGAAAATAGATTCTGCTTGATATTTGGTGGGCTTAAAATAAAATGTTTCGTGTGTGTGTGTGTGTGCGTGTGTGTGCACGCACATGTGTCCTTTCTCCATGTCCCAGTAAACACTGTACTATGCTTCCCTCCATAGGTGCTGATACATAACACTGTTCATTTTCAGCTGCAGCTCTTGATTGCTTTTGGCAGCAAAAACACTGCTCCAGGTCCACATGAGAGAGTGACTTGGTAGAAGATTAAGATGGATTCTTGAATGGTGGTCCCCAAAAGATGTATGCATATCTATGTCTCAATCCCTAGAATTTGTAAATGTTACCTGGTTTGGAAAAAGGATCTTTGCAGTCGTAATTAAACTAAGACTCTTGGGATGAAATCATCCTGGATATTCAGTGGGCCCTACATCCAATGGCCAGTGTCCTTATAATATCAGGGCAGAGGGATGTTTGAGACAGACGGAAGAGGAGAAGGCCATGTAAAGACAGAGGCAGAAATGGGATTGATGTGTCTACAACCAAGGAATGCCAAGGATTGCCCCAGTCACTAGAAGCTAGGAGAGAGGCATGGAATAGATTCTTCCCAAGAGCCTCAGAAGGGAGTGTGGCCCTGCTAACACTATGATTTCAGACTTCTGGACTGCAGAACTGCAAGAGTTCTATTGTTTTTGTTTTGTTTGTGATGGAGTTTCACTCTTGTTGCCCAGGCTGGAGTGCAATGGCAAAATTTTGGCTCACTGCAGCCTCCACCTCCCGAGTTCAAGCAATTCTCCTGCCTCAGCCTCCCGAGTAGCTGGGATTGCAGGCATGCACCACCACACCTGGCTAATTTTGTATTTTTAGTAGAGACAGGGTTTCTCCATGTTGGTCCGGCTGGTCTCAAACTCCCGACCTCAGGTAATCCACCCGCCTCGGCTTCCCAAAGTGCTGGGATTACAGGTGTGAGCCACCATGCCTGGCAAGTTCCACTGTCTTTTTTTCTTTTTCTTTTTCTTTTTTTTTTTTTTTGACAGAGTTTCACTCTTGTTGCCCAGGCTGGAATGCAGTGGTGCAATCTTGGCTCACTGCAACCTCCACCTTCCAGTTTCAAGCTATTCTCCTGCCTCAGCCTCCCAAGTAGCTGAGATTACAGGTACCTGCCACCACACCTGGCTAATTTTTGTATTTTTAGTAGAGACGGGGTTTCACCATGCTGACCAGGTTGGTCTCAAACTCCTGACCTCATGATACACTCACCTCGGCCTCCCAAAATGCTGGGATTACAGGCGTGAGCCACTGCGCCCAGCTGAGTTCTATTGTTTTAAGTCACCCATTGGGATAATTTATTCCAACAGTCCTACAAAACTGGTACAATTCTGAAATGCTATCTTCTCACAAATGTTCAATGTGAAGAATTTCACATAAACACGCAAACCTAAATTCAAACTCCCATGGTGAAAAGTCCCCAGGGAAGTCTTAGCCAGCTTCTCTGTGCTCAACAAGTCTCACAGAGTATGTGTCCAGTGTTCCCTAGGCTCCTTGACTCCTGCATCAGAGCTTTGCCCCCTTTGTAGTATTACAGATCCTGTATAACCTTCCCCAGAAGACGTGCTCTATGGAGCCCCCTGCCCAACACCAGCTCTTAGAGAAGTTTAGCACAGTTTCTCTCCTGCCCAAGCTTAAGGGCTCTAGGGCTTCAGGAAAGTCTTAAGATGTGCCTAAAATTCTCGTAATGAGGATATGTTGATTCTGGTCCTGGGAGTGGAGGGACTGTCTTTGTAGTACTGTGCTTATGCCACAGTGTCTCACCGCTATGAAGTGCTAGTTAACTGCATACTCACTGACTAAAGCTCATATATATCCCCTATGAGATCTGCCTGGGCAAACTGTGAAAGGAATGAAATCATCTAACTTCCTCATCTCCAAAACCTCCCACACCCTTAGATACCCAGGGCCTCTGTGCTGCTCTGATCTCTCTGTGGGGCCCATTTTGCTGCTCCTCTGACTCCACCCACAAAATGAACTTGTGCCATGCCCATTGGTCTAGAGTTTTCTCTAATGCTAAGGGACAGTTATAATTAATGCATTAATTAAGTCAGTTCAGGAGTTTGACAAATTTATCATGATGAAAATCAGATGGAGAAATGTGGGCTGGACAGTCAGTGTATCCATGGGTAGATTCATAGGTGGATGAAGGCCCTTATCCAGTAATAAAACCCTGGCCTTCTGAAGGGAGGATCCTTGCCCTTGGCCCAATCCTATTCAATATTTTAATCAATGATTTGAATAAAGTCAAAGCAGCAAGTTTATCTGCTTTGCAAACAATCCAACTCCGAGCAATGTAGAAAACATATTTGTTAACATACTCAGTTAAAATCATGAAATGATGGACTGTAATGAATACCTCAAAATTAATGTAACTTCTTTCACTTAGTTTCAAAAAACAAGCCACAAAAGTAAAAGATGGGTTAACAGCACTCATGAGAGAGAAGAATTAATAACTTTAAGTTTATTTAAGCTCAATAAGAGTCAACAGTATAAAAAGAGGGTTTGGTTTTTTTGGTTTTTGTTTTGTTTTGTTTTGTTTTTGAGACAGAGTTTCACTCTGTCGCTCATGTTGGAGTGCAGTGGCTCAATCTCAGCTCACTGCAACTTCTGACTCCCGGGTTCAAGAGATTCTCCTGCCTCCACCTCCCAAGTAGCTGGGATTACAGGGGTGTGCCACCACACCCGGCTACTTTTTGTATTTTTTAGTAGAGATGGGGTTTCACCATGTTGGTCAGGCTGGTCTCAAACTCCTGACCTCAAATATCCACCCTCCTCGGCCTCCCAAAGTGCTGGGATTACAGGCATGAGCCACTTCAGCCAGCCTACAAAGAATTTTTTTTAAAAAGACATAAACATAGATTGCATTTCTAGAATGTATAGACTCCAGATGAAGGGTGGTGATAGCTCTGGAATGCTCTGCCCTGGTAGAACAGAACTGCAATTGAGAGTGTGGTTTGTGTTTCATGGTTGAAAGGAGATGTTGACTAGTTGGCAGGTATTGAGAGAGACGTGTCAGGTTGATGAAGAGTTTAATAGCATCATCACCTGAGCAAAGTTGATTTTTAATCCAGAGAAGAAAAGACTTAGGCAAATATGTTATCTATCTATCTGAAGAATCATCTACATAGAAGGGGTGTGGGTAGGGGTGGGGTGGCAGGTTGAAATCCTGTGTATTTTCAGAGAGGGAAACAAAGACCAAAAAAAAAAAAAAATCTGAAAGGACCAGATTTGAGTCTATTTCCAGGAATCAGAGGTGTCCAGCAATAGAGTGGTCTGCTTTGTGAAGGGTGATGATCCCATCCTTGGAAATATTCAAGCAAAACTATTATCCCAATGATCTCCAGGATGGGCTAGACTGGATTCACTGGCTAGCTGGGTTCCTCTTCCACCTTCATCACTGTGTGTGTCTCCCCTTAGAAGCCATGTGGTTGGTCAAAAAGGATAACTTTTCCAGACCAAGGATGGCCATTCTTTGTTAAAGAGTCTCAAGTGGCATTGTTCCTAGCTGGAATCTCTAAATAAGTTCTCCAAGTTCATTTGAATGAGTCTTTTAAATAATGATGCATTACTTGTACAGAGCATTTTTTTTAGGATTATTTTGGTCTCAGGTGACAAATATCCAACTCAAATAAGCCTAAGGAAAAAATCAATATGCCAGAATATTGATTGGTCTCAGACACAATCATCCATCTCCATCTCTGAATTTCTTCTTCCTCCATTCAAAACCCATGGCTGCAAAGAGCTTGAGGATCACTTCATCCCTGCTAATAGCCCAAGAGAAAGAGAGAGGGTATAAAGCTCTTCCTCGAGAAGAGCTCTCAGTGATCCAGTCAATCACGTGTTCACCCTTTGGACTAATTACTGTGGCCAAGGAATTGGGGACTATAATTGGAGAGATTTAGGTCACTTTCTTGATATATTGACCCAGGAGAAGGAACTGTGATTAGCAGCCAACCAGAATCATACGGATAAATAATGGAAGTAAGTTACCAGGCAGACATAACACTGGCCATCTATTATTGTACTTAAGTTAATGGAGCACTTTCACACACATGATCTCACTTGATTCTCACTACAGCCTTGTGAGGAATGTGGAGCACATATTCCTTTTCTCCACTTCACTTAACAGAGGTAGTAGATTGCACATACAAAACATTCTAAATTTCTTAAAGAATATTGCCATTAGAAAGATAGACTTATTTGAATGGCCTTTATTGTCCTTTGTTACAAATCCTTGCTCTGATGCACTGCCAGCTCTAGATACTTCAAGTCAACTCCTGGTAGAATAGGAAATTCCCTTCTGGGTTTTCTGATGACAGGTCCCTGGGGAGTATCCTAACATCACACAAAAAGTGTAGCAGTAGCAAAGCAGTCACTGGACTCCCTGAGGGACTCATCCTCTAAAAATAGGTCTTTCTTCACTTCCCCCAAATCTTCCCTGGTTCCTTCTCTATCAGGAAAATCAGCCGCCATTAGGAAAATGAGACAGGTGTTATTTCAAGCAGAACTGCAACTGACAATACTTCATGTATTCATTCATGCATTCATTTTATTTTTTTCTCTTCTTTATCCATTCATCTATTTGTTTTTTTTTTTAATTTTTTATTTTTTGAAATGGAGTCTCACTCTGTCACCCAGGCTGGAGTGCAATGGTGCAATCTCAGCTCACTACAATCTCCACCTTCCGGGTTCAAGCGATTCTCCTGCCTCATCCTCCCAAGTAGCTGGGATTACAGGCATGCATCACCCTGCCCAGCTAATTTTTGTATTTTTAGTAGATACAGTGTTTTGCCATGTTGGTCAGGCTGGTCTTGAACCCCTGACTTCAGGTGATCCACCCACCTCAGTCTCTCAAAGTGCTAGGATTACAGGCGTGAGCCACCACACCTGGCCATGCATCTATTTGTTTGCACACAAAAAATTGAGTTGAGCACTTCTGCGCTGATGAGTGCTTAGGCAAAGCAGTTTTAATAAAAAGATCCTAAAAAAGAATAGTTTAAGGAAAATTGTAGTTTATTTCTCACGTAAGTGTTTGAGGTAGCAGGGAGCTTTGCTGGGGACCCAGGTGCCTCCTATCTTGTGACTCTGCCATCCCCAGGGTCTGGTTCTTATCTGCTTCATCTGCTTTCCAGACCATGGGAAGGGGAAAGGGCAAAGGGGACAAGCTACTTCATTGTTAAAAATTTGAAGTGGAGGTTCACCTCACTTCTGCTCTCATCCAATTGACAAACACCTCACAGGGCCATGCCTAGCTGCAGAGGAATCTGAGAAATGCAGCTCTAGCTGGGCAGCCATATGCTTGGCCAAAACTCACTGGAAGGAAGAAGGGGGCCTGGGTACTTGGGACAATAGCCGTGTCTGCCACAATCAGCTCCATATAACACAGTGTGTGCTCTCAAGTTGCTTGTAAACAAATGGGCAAGAAATGCCTTGTTCCATAGCCGCAGCACAAGGCAATGTGGAGGCAGGGTCAGGGGAGTGGGGCAAAGAGCTTAAAATGTTCAGAGAGGGAGGGATGACTTGACCTTGAGATGACCAGAGCAGGCTCCTGAAGCAGGTGGCATGTGAACTGCTTGGCCTGGCTTAAAAGATAGATATGATTCTGAAATGGAAATGGAGTGGCAACAGCAAGCTAAGCAAAGAGCAGTGACAACCACAAACCAAAGGGCAAGCGTTCAGGTGTGCATGAGGGGTTCTTCAGCTACCCATTCCTGACAGCACTACACACGGTGCATCTGCTCACTTCTGCACCCATCTGCACCAGCATCTGCCAGTCACCAAGCCTCAGGGCCCTCCTTGGTCTTGGAAGACATTCGAGGCATCCTCCAGCCCTTTGGAGTGAAGAGGCCACATGGCCTCGGAAGACAGGCCAGGCTGTGAGTCAGAGCCAGGAACCTGGGGTCTAATAACCTATTAGCAACAATCACTTACAGAGCCTTGCAGTTTCCAGAGTGTGCTGACCTATAGAATTTGATTTGATTTGATCTCATCTCATTTCAACTTTGAGGAACTGACTAAAGTAAGACATTAGATATGAAAATGGTTTGAAAAACCAGTGCTATAGAGTAGAAAACATCATTATAGCAACACTAACTCAATTGATTCAGAATTTGTGGACATTTGCACAAGGGTCTAGGCTGAAACTCTCTTTATGCTCAACATAACTGAACGGATTTGCTAAGCAAATTAACAGCATGGCCAAGATTGCTGGGAGACATTTATAACCGATGGAGGACAACTGTTTTTGGTAACTATTGTAGCACTACTGTAGGAGTATTGGACTTCAATTAATTTTGAACAATGCTCTTTTCATTAAAGTAGGTCTGGCAGGATTTCCTCAAGGCAATAAAACTTGGTTAGCTATTTGTTTGAGCTTCTCATATTCTAAAGAATAGGAAAATTGCTAAGCAAATTAATTTGGGGCCTCACTGAGAGAATTTGAGTGTTCAAGAAAAGACTGGACAACCATTTGACCAGGACGTTTAAGAGGAGATTCTGGCACCAGTTTTGCAGCTTGGACTAACTCTTCCTTTTCCTTTTCCCTAAAACCTACATAAAAGTTCCATCAACCAGATGAATGCAGAGTGATTCTGGGTAAGCAGGGGTGTGTCTGCTTGATCTCCTACCTTTACTCCTACTCCCCACAAAGCACCTTTGACTGGGCTCTGAAAAACTCAGTCCAAAACTTAGTGACATTTAAAACCTCTTTGATTCTATTGCTTATAAATAAATAGTAGCTAACTTATTCAGAGCTTATTCTGGTATATGTTAAGTGTGCTATTTTACAAATGAAGAAACTGAGGCTTAGAGAGTTTAAGAAACTGGTCCACGGTGACACTAACAGTAAGTGGTGGAACAAGACTTAGCTCGTGTCACAAACACAAAACACAGGCTTTTAGAATCATCTTCCTTACAGCTCATGCCTTAGTGTCTACATTTTCCATCTCTTGGCTGGTCATGGTGGCTCATGCCTATAATCCCAGCTGAGCCAGACAGATCTCCTGAGCCCAGGATTTCAAGACCAGTGTCTCAAAAAAAAAAAAAAAAATTATCTGTTTAGTAGGTCATGATTTAGTGGTGGTCTTACTTTCTGCATTTTTAATTATGTGTATCCTAGCAAAACTCAGAGGATGGGAACTCTTCTTCCAACTATATCCGTTGAAGCCTTAATAAGAGAGCTTGGTGATGTGGTCTGTGTCCCCAGGGGCCTGGAGCTTGATGAAGAAGTTGACAACAGCAGAGAAACTCAGTATATTAAAACCTAAATGTACAAATATGTACTATGTTTTAAACTGGATGCACCATGGTTGGGCATGGGGTCTAGAAATCAGACATTTGGGATGAATGTAGAGCTCAGCTGAACAATTTGTAGAATTTAACTTTGGTTATTTTCTCTGAAGGTCATTCATTTATCAGACATTCATTGAGCCCCATGCTATGCTAGACACTGAGCTGAATATTGAGGATATGGAAAAAAGAAGAGATCCCTGACCCTCAAGGAAAATGACCTGTTAAAAATATAATGATATTCAAAAATAATCATTATAACAGCCTGGGCAATGTGCAGTCGGAGCAGATGTGGCCACCAGTACTAGGACTCACGCACTGAGGGTGAGTCCAGTATTGCACTGCAGTAACAAGGGAGGGAGGGATCTTCCTTAAAGAGTAAGGATCAAAAAAGACTTCATCAATAATACTCTCATGAAAACTCACGCCACTCCAAGGGACACTGCTGTCATCTCACAGACAGAAAGTTGGGCCAAGGAGAAGGGCCCTGGTAAGAGATGCCCCAGTGTCCTTCTGCAGCCTCAGGCTTCCTGGGCAGCTGGCTCTTGCTGTCTGCATTTGGAGAATGGAACATGATGGATTGGAGGATTTGGAGGTTGTTCTTTCACCTCAGATACCTCTCACTTTCACAGAGGGAAGCCTCTGTGACCAAACATTCTCCTCTGTGGTCAAACTCCTTCTGGCTGAAACATCTAGTATTCTGTCTACCTGGGGAGTCCTCACTCACCAGGGCACTGTTTTCTGCTTCCAGGGTTCTTTGTTATTCTGATGGGAGAGAAGCTGTGGGCTTCCAGAGGGTAGGATGCAGGGAGAGGGTGACGGGCCTGAGGGGAGTTGAGTCTCTCACTGATGAAGAGCTTTGCATTCACCAGTTTTGGTGCTGGTGGTTACCAGATGCACTGCTGCATCCTCTCCTTTCAAGGCCCAAATGGTCACCGCTTTCCTCCTCTGGCCTTCTCTTAAATGCTTTGAATTTCAAAAAACAAGGTCTCACTCATGTAGCTTCAGGTAAGGGGCTTATTCCATGGGTGTGCTTGGCTATAAAAACAACTGAACTCTCAGGGGAACCCAGGGAACCTTGGCTTCACAGGTGCCAGAAGAGGGTACAAGAGCCCGAACCATAGGGACCTGGGACAGCAGTAGTCTATTTTTTCTCTCCATTATCTTGGCCCCAGAGGCTCTTCCATTTCGCAACATTGTGGAGACTCTCTCCTCTTCCCAGCTCCACCTCCCCTCCTCTCTTTTTTCCCCTCCTCCCCTCCCCTCCTCCTTCCCTCCTCACTTCCTCCCTTCCAGCCCTCCTCCCCTCTTCCCTTTAAATCGTCCTCCCCTTCAACCCTCCTCCCTGGCATTGCTTCTGGGAATGCCTGTAGCTTTATGCTGCCCTACAGCTTCTGCCCTATCAGGACTCCTGCTATCTTCATGGTCCTGCTTGCCCAACTACTCTGGATTTTGTTTTGGTTTTTTTCTCCTTTTCTCTTCAGTTTTTGCTTCCAAACCCACCAGCCTTTTTGGTCCAGGCAGCCATAGCCAGGTGACCAGAGTCACACGGTGTCACAGTTCCTTCTGAGGAAGGACTGTTCCTTACTGGAGGGCTGTGGACTGGTTTCATAGCCCCACCTCCCACCTGCTTGAGATGGGAGCTATAGGCATTGCTGGCGTTAGGGGACTTCTTCTGCCCAGTGAGGGCCTCTACTTTCAGGACAGAGACTTTGAGAGGGGAGGGCCCTAAAAATCACCTAGCCCAAAGTCCCCATAAGGCTTCGGTTCCTTGTACCACACCTGGCCAAGGCATCATCCAGTCTTTCTCCGTAGCTCCTGTAACAAGGAGGCTCCTCAGGCAGTCCAGTTGATGTGCGGTTCCCTCTGACTGTTAGTGAAATTCTCCTTCTGTCGAGCTTGAATCTGCCTATAGCTTTACTCATTGGTTCTATTCCATCCATCCAGGCCTTAATGGGCAAGTTTAATGCCCTTTGAATATTACGTCTTGTTAACAGAGGGTGGTTTTCTTGCATTTTCCCTTCAAGAACGAAATACCCCCATTTTCTACAAGCATTCCTTATGTGATTTATTTTTTACTGATTTTAGCACCCTAAGCATTCTCCCTGGAATGTGGTTCTATTTGCCTGTGTTTCTTCTAAGATGTAGTCCCAGAAGAGAAAGTAATTCTCCAGGTATGGGCTGACACATTCTCAGAAAGTGTGGCTAGGCCTGTTCCTGTCCGGATTTCTTTCTTTTCTTTTCTTTTTTTTTCCCTCACTCTGTTGCCCAGGCTGGAGTTCAGTGGCACCATCTAGGCTCTCTGCAACCTCTGCCTCCTGGGTCCAAACGATTCTCCTGCCTCAGACTCCCAAGTAGCTGGGATTACAGGTGTGCACCACCACACCCAGCTAATTTTTGTAATTTTAGTAGAGACGGGGTTTCGCCATGTTGGCCAGGCAGATCTCAAACTCCTGACCTCAAGTGATCTGCCTGCCTTGGCCTTCCAAAATGCTGGAATTAGAAGTGTGAGCCACCGTACCACACCTCTTATCCAGATTTCTGATTAGAGTTGTTCCTCTTGCACTTTATTCCAAGCATTAGCTCAGTGGTTTCCAGTGACACTGCTGATTAGCACATTGTTATCAGCAATACTTTGCTTTTGCAGTGTGCATATTATCAAAACCGTATCATACCCAGCTATTCAGGAGGCTGAGGCGAGAGGATCACTTGAGCCCAGGAGTTGAAGTTCAGCCTGTGCAAAACAGCAAGACCCATCTACCAAAAAATAATTAATTAAAATTTTTTTTTTAAAAGAAAAA